>NC_000006.12:33999393-34302424 GCF_000001405.40 Homo sapiens
GATGAGGGTATATGCCTTTCATGAGTCCTTAGCCTGTCCCCCACTCATCCTCCATTCACAAGAAATGGTGAACGGCTCTGAAATCGGAGAAAGTCTACCAAGTGTTCCATCTGGTGCACAGCTCTGGGCTATCTGATTCTGAGGGGCTTCTGCCTTTCATTGCCTCTGAGCTCTTTTATAACTTGGTAAGTTGCACAAAACTGAGGGTAAAGTAAATAGTTCTTGTCCATAGAAATGTCCCTGAAGTTTGTCTGATAGAAGTGCCGTTGACTATTGGCTTGTAGATATGGCCTGTTTTTCATCTATTTGCAACTTCATTTCCTGGTGGCCTATAATGGATCTACTCTTCGGACTCTCCTTTGAACTGGTTGTAACATCTTACTGGTTCCCTCATTACCTAGTAAGCTAAAGTCTTTGACATGTATTAGTTTTCTACTTACATGAAAGTCATGATCTCTTTAACATTCTCTTACCCCAATTCCCTTTCTACCACCTTCTCTAGATGTCTCAATGTCCATTTCACACCAGGGTCAGCAACTCCGCAGCCACCGCATGGGGGCTACTCACAGAAGCTGAGTTCCCTCTGCCTTGGGGAAAATAAGTTTGGCATACTTACAGACACAAGACAGCCTCTCCCCCACACCCTTTCTCACAGAGGAGTCCTTAGATGGTGATCTTGGTGAAGACCAAAGACTTGTGGGTCCTGGGTAAAAACTTGGTGAGGTATTTCTGCCCATCCCAACATCTTTGTCCCGCCAAGCTGGAGGTCCCATGGTGAGCCCCAGAGGGAAGGAAGGGGAGGGGGCTGCGAGAGGAGGCGAAGAGGGAAGGCGACTCACCCTGTTCTTGGTTCAAAGAGCTGGGTGTGTGGAGACAGAAGAAGTGGAACTGACCCTCCTGTTGAGGCAGAGCCTGGGGAGCCCTGCTGGGCTTGGGGAGGCCCTGAGGCCCAAGCACTTTCCTGAACCTTCAAAGGCAGCTTTTTTTCAAGGAGGGACACTGGGCAATTGCTGTGCCAGGCTGAGCACACAAAATCAATGGTGCCTGCTAATGAAGGGGCCGCCGCCACCAGGGGTGCTGGCCTGGGGTGCTGGACTGCCACCAGGGTCCTGCCCTGGGCACTCCATGTCTCTCCAGCTCCCGAAACTGCCTCTTCCAAAACCCAGGCGAAGTCCATCATCCCTCCTTCCATCCCCACTTCTCCCAGACCTACGTGCCCACTGAGGGGCTCTCTGGAGACCAGAGCAATACCCAGAGACTTCAGAGGCAGTGAGAGGGCTTGAGGGCAGAACTGAGGGAGCACAGGGGGCTGAGGGTGTGACAGTCAGGAGGCAGAGAGTCGGAGGCAGAGAGTAGCTGTGGACAGGAACAGGAGGTCACAGCCCTGCCCCCACACATGTCCTGCTCCCCAAAGACTAGAACACAGAAGGAAGGCCCTAGAGAAACACAGAAGGAAACCCCTAGAGACTTTTGCCTGCCTTGTCCTTTTGGCCAAAGAGTAATTGGAAGGAGAAGCTGCAAGAGGCCAGGACCTCCTGGGCTGAGGCTGCTCTCAGAGGATAGAGGAAAAAGGAGAGACGAAGGCTGGGGATAGGGCCTTCCTCCTCCCCTAAAACTACCACATAAGGATCATTTGGCTGGGCACAGTAGCTCAGACCTGTAATCCCAGCACTTTGGGAGGCCAAGGCAGGAGGATCACTTGAGCCCAAGAGTTCAAGACCAGCCTGGACAACATGGTAAATCCCATCTCTACAGAAAATATACACAAAAATTAGCCGGGCATGGTGGCACACACCTGTAGTCCCAGCTACTAGGGAGGCTGAGGTGGGAGGATCGCTTGAGCCCACGAGGTCAAGACTGCAGTGAGCTGTGATCCCACCACTGCTGCACTCCAGCCTGAGCAACAGAGGCTCTGTCAAAAAAAAAAAAAAAAAAAAAGCCGACATGCATGAAGACACAGCTAGTAAGTGATGGAGACAGGATTCAGACTCAAGTAGCCAGCTTGGCCTACTTTCTGATTTCTGTCATTTGAGAATGTGGGGAACCTCTATCATCACTGAATGTTCCACAAGTATTTACGTAGGATCTTTGGCCTTCACCAAGATCACAATCTAGGGGCTCCTCTGTTAGGAAGGATGTAGGGGAGAGGCTGCCTCAAGTCGTGCTTGTCTCACATTGTGTCTATAAACATGCAAAACTTGTTTCCCCCAAGCAACAGAGGGAGAGTTGAGAATCTTTCTATGCTGTCTCAAGCATGGCTCTCCCCTCAGCCTCACCCTAATCCTGCAGGGAGGTATTGGTATTGCTTTTAGAGAGGACAAAATGAGGACCGAGAGCAGAAGTGACTTGCTCAAGGTCTCATGGCAAGGAGAGGGGCAGACCCGGGATTTGAACCCGGGGCACGATGGGGACCTTTCAAACCCCAGGGCCACGCAATGACCACATCTGGCCGGGCAGGAAGGAGGTGGTTTGAAATCAAAGGTGGGGGGCAGTTCAATCGATAAATCAAGCCGCCTCCCCCTCGCCCTCCAACTGGTTTGCACACTTGTCCAGGGAGGGTTCAAGAAGAGTTTACAAGCTGCGTGATGGGAAGAGGCTGCGTGATGGGAAGAGGCAAGCTAACTAACCCTCGCGGGTGTGGACGAGGGCCACGACCACGGGATGAAGAGAGCTAGAGGGGTCCTGGAGCTGAGGGGCCTTTCTGCAGGGTCTGGGAGCGGGCTTCCAGAGTGGGGCGGGCTGGCTTCCGCGGTCTCCATGGCGACGCGAGGGCGCTGGGAGAGGCCTCTCCGGATAGATCTAGCTCCAGTCAGACTCAATCCCGAGTGAAATGGATTTTTTAATAAATCTATTAGCTGCTTTGAAAACGCAAATTGCGTTCAGGAGAGACATCAGCCGCCATAAGAAAACAATTTGACGTCTGAGGCCCTCGGGGGGAAGGGGACGCCCCAGCGCAGGGTACCCCCCACCAAGCCTGAGCCTAGCCTTGGTGAGGCGAAGAGAGGGTGGCCTCTCTCCAGGGCCTTTACGCCTCGCCCGTCCCCAGGGTTCGTGGATTTAGCTGGAGTTGTGCGCCAGCTCTTCTACAGAATTGAGCAAACTGCGGCCCATAGGGAAGCCAGGTCTCCTGAGGGGCACAATCCCGGAAGGCTTCCTGAAGGAGGTAGGATTCTGAGGGGCCTTTGAAGAGGTACACTCAGCAAATCCTGGACTCAGGTAAAATATAAGACCCAGCCAGCTTTTGCCCAGAGCTTTGCAATTTATAAACGACTCTCTGGTTCGCTCTTAGTCCTCTTCATGATGATAGGGGCGGAGTAATTAGGAGCCCATTTTACAGTTGAGGAAACGGAGACTGGGGGGCCTTAAGGATAAAAGGCTTGTTGCCATGGTCATTCAGGCAGGGTCAAGGCCAGAATTCCCAGTTTCCCTTAGGGGAAGGAGCTGGAGGAGCCGGCCTGGGCCACAGGGCTTGGGGAGCTGGGGCCCGAGTTGGGATGGTTGGGGCTGGGGAGTTGGGCTGGCCTCTCTATTGAGGCTAAGGAGGGCTCTGGAGGAGGTGGGAGATAAGAGGAAGAGCTGGGGTCTGGCGCTTAGGTACACAATTACTTTCTTCCGTTATCATCATGTCTGTCTGGAGCCTTCTTTGCATATGCAAATGAGTGCATCCTCCCACAATTACACAGTACTCAGGAGCAAATTACCTTCTTGCTGTTTACTTTCAGCGTCCTTAATTAATCCGGTTATTAGACGATTAATAAAGCTTGTTTGGTGAGAAATTCATAGCAAGAATGGACAAGGGGGTGTGTACGCATAAGGTGTGGGACCAGGGGAGGTGCTGTCTTTACCCAGAAATAGAGACAGTCCCTGAGTTTCCCCTCAGCACTCTCTCCTTCTCAGCCTCTCCCCTGTCGTCCCCAATTTGTTGCACACACCCTAGCCCCACCCCACCTTTCCCCATCCCGCCATTCCCAGCTTCCTCTTACAGCCCATCACCTCCTCCATGAAGCCTCTGTGGATGGGAAGGCAGCCCTTAGTGTTCTCCAGAGTCCCTTGAGGGGGGACTAGAGTCCCAAGCAAGATCAGAGGTCTAGGGTCAGCCCCAGGCCTCCCACTGCCTTTAGGGTCAATTCCAAGTCCCCCAACTCCCACTGCTCTCCCCAGACTGTAGCCAGGCAGTGCTGCAAAGGCAGCCCTCACCCTCTCCAATCAAAAGGAACCCCCAACAGCCCGTGTTCCAAAGGGATGTGAGAGGTTCCCTCTGTGGATGTGAAACCACCAGGCCCCATTTGAGGGATCATTAAGATGATATACATTTTTAATTTTAATAGTAATGGTCTGAGCCCCCACCTGCTCATGCTAGCAGTAATCCAGCATTTCTCCTAGGGTCCCCTTCACTAGGTCATTTCTGGGCACCCCAGAACAGTGTTCATGTCCCATAGATCCATCCTGGGGTCATTGTAATCTGACTTTTTTCTATCCACCTGCTTTTAAGATCTTTTTAGGTTTCTGCAGTTTCACTATGATGTTTGTAGGTCTGGGTTTCTCCTTATTTACTCTGCTCAGATCTTTATATTTCCTTCCCAGGATTTATCTTATCATTTCTGAAAAATTTCTAATCAACACATTGTTAAATATTGCCTCTCCCATTCTCTCAGTGATCTCCTCTGGAATTCCTAGATGACATTTGTTCAACTCCCCTTTCTGTATTCCATATTTTTATTCCTGTTGTTCATATTTTTCTATCTGTGCTGCATTATAGCTAATGATTTCTTCATATCTGTTTTCCAGTTCACTAATTATCTCTTCAGGTGTATCTAATATGCTGTCTAACCCATCTATTGGGTTTTAAATTTCAATATTATCATTTTCATTTCTGAGTCTATTTGTTCATTTTCATAATTTGCTTGGTTATCCTGATAGCATCTTTATTTCTTTAAACATTTTAAATATGATATTTAAAAAAGAAATATTCTGGGCCAGATGCAGTTGGCTCATGCCTATAACACCAGCACTTTGGGAGGCTGAGGTGGGAGGATCACTTGAGGTCATGAGTTTGAGACCACCAACATAATGAGACATAGTGAGACCTTGTCTCTACAAAAAAAGAAAAAAAAAACCCAGCCAAGCACAGTGATGTGAGCCTGTCATCCTAGCTGCTCAGGAAGCTGAGGTAAGAGGATCACTTGAACCCAGAAGGTAGAGGCTTCAGTGAGCCAAGATCACATCATCATTGCACTCCACCCTGGGTGACAGATGGAGACCTTGTCTCTAAAATACACACACACACACATATACATATATATACTCTGGATCTGATTATTCCAATATCTTAAGTCTTGAAGGTCTACTTCTGCCATTTGTGGTTTTTACTGACTTCCTTGTGATCAGTTGTTTCCCTGTATGCTTTGTAATTCTGTATTGTAAACTTGAGCTTAGCTGGTCTCTATCCATGGGAATCTTGTACAGCAAAAGTTGAAGGTGTGTCCCTCCCAAGAGAATTTGCTTTTGCTTCTGCCAGCCAGGTGGCTAGGTGCTACTAACACACTTGGAGTTAGTTCCACCACCTGGCATTTCCTGGAACACACATAACGCAAACATTTACCTATACCCCTGTGTGGTCAGGCTTGTGATTACAAAATTTAAAGAAGGCTTTTATTTTTTCCTACAAAGAGCACATGCCAAAATAGACAAATGTTCTTATCATTTCTCTTTGCCACCGAATGGATGTTTTTCTCTATCCTTCCACAAAAAGTGTAGACTTTTGAAAGTCTTAGTTTTTTTGTGGAGCTCTCAATTACAACTGCCCACTGCCCTGGGCCCACAGCCCTTCTTCCTTGTGGGGCCCTTTACAACCAAGCCTCTAGGCCTGTGGTTCTCCACCTGGACGATTTTGTCCCCCAGGAGACATTTGGCAAAGTCTGGCAACATTTCTGATTGTCACACTAGAGGAGGAAAGTGCTACGGGCATCTGGTGGGTGAGGCCAGGGGTGCTGCTAGACATCCTACAATGCATGGGACAGCCCCTCACAACAAAGAATAATCAGGCCCAAAGTGCCCATCATGCTGCTGTTGGGAAACCTGGATCTGGTTCTTGGAGAAGCATGATCTGCAAACCACCTGAGGCCTCCCAACAGCTTCAGAGTCCCCTACACTCAGGCTTCCAGCACCCTCTTTATGTTTGACACCCTGAAGGTTTTCCTTGTATTCATTCATTCATTTTACAAACCCAGCCATGTATTGAAAAAGAATGGTTGTTTCATTTTGTGGAGCACTTCTGGGTGTTCTGTGGATGGCGATTCCTCAAGGCATCCACTGTCCCTCGTGCCTGCATCCTTCTCTCTAATGTTTACTGCTCCAGCTCGCCTCTCTCTGCCTGGTAACCACCTTTTTTATTTCACCCCCTCTCCCTGCACCAGTGTGCAGCTGGAAGCCCAGAGCATGTGCTACTGAAGGTTTGGGAGACAATCAGCAGGGTCCTGAGAGTGTGTGACCTGCCTGCCAGCAGCAGTTGCTCTTGAGGCTCACAAACCCACAAATCCCACCCTCCTTGTGGCCCCTGCCAGATTCCATGAAGCCAAGGCCTGATTCCACAACTTCCTGCCTCTCCAGATCTCCAGGTCTCTTCACCTCCCTGGCTCACAGCCTCAGGCTGTCCTCTCCTGCACCCCCCTCCCTACTCATGGCTCTAGACCCAAGCGATGCCTGCAGCAGGAATACTCATTGCTTCCTGCAGAGTCTGTGTCAGCCTGGTTCACTCTGGGCCACACAACGTGCTCAGTACTGACTTGTTGAATGAATAAATGGATGATTGAACGAATGAATGAATGAATGAGGACTGCCTCTGGGACTAGGCAAGGCAATCATAATAACTGTAAAATACATCTCCAGAGTCTGGTTGTTCAACATCAAAGTGACACCATGTTGGGACAGCCACAGTTCAGTCTAAATGTGCATTTAGAGAAAAGCATTTCCCTAATGCTTCAAGGGCACAGCCGGGATAGAGACGCTCCCAATTTACATGACTAAACAGCACACTCGACGCGGCAAACTGCAGCATCTGCATTCCAATTTGTGGTGGATGACTTTTCAGTTTCCTCTGCAAACAAATGGGGGTGGGCTCTGGCTTGCTTGTGTGGAACTAAAGGGCCCCACCTGGAGTGAAGAAAAAGCAAACAGAATCTGTTCCAAAGTAGTTCATTCTGCACCTCCAGAAACACAGACTTTCAGTAACCCCAGTTGGCCTCTCTCTCCATAAAACAAAGCAAGGTCTCTGTCCTTCTAATGGCGCCTAGAATTTCAGGCATTTGCTTCATTCATTCATTCATTCATTCATTCATTTAATAAATATTTATAAAACATCTTCCATGTGCCAGGCACGGTTTCAGGATTTGGAAGTTCAGTAGAAAGCAGGCCGGGTGCGGTGGCTCATACCTGTAATCCCAGCACTTTCAGAGGCTGAGGTAGGCGGATCACCTGAGGTCAGGAGTTCGAGACCAGCCTGGCCAACATGGTGAAACTCCATCTCTACTAAAAATACAAAAAAATTAGCCGGGTGTCGTGCCACATGCCTGTAATCCCAGTTACTTAGGAGGCTGAGGCAGGAGAATTGCTTGAACCCAGGAGGCAGAGGTTGCAGTGAGCCAAGATGGTGCCTCTGCACTCCAACCTGGGTGATGAAGCCAGACTCCATCTCAAAAAAGAAAGAAAGAAAGAAAAGAAAACAGATCAAAGTTCCTACCTGTGCAGTGCTAAGTTCTGCTGGGGGAGGGCGACACAGTAACTACTGTCAGGGAGTGATGAAATCTAGGAGGGAAGATGAAGCCATAGGTGGCTGCAGGGATGCGGGGTGGGTGCTGTCTAAGGTGGGCCAGTCAGGAAATGCCTCTCTGTGAAGGCAACTTAGCTCAGGAGAGCCTGCCAGAATTGGGGGGAAGTGCGTTCCCTGTTGAAGGAACAGCAGCCGAGTGTTTGGAAAGAGTGAGGAGGCCCAAGTGGCTGGAGTGAGAAAGAGAAAAAAGGAAGATGAGGCTGGAGAAATGCCCGGGGACTGGGCCCTGCAGTCTCATAGACTGGGTTTAAGGTCTCATAGACTGCCATGGAGGGTCTTCAGCAGCAGTGTGGAAGGATCCATTGACATTTCACAGGATCCCTCTGACTGCTGTGTGGGGGTCTGACTGACGGCCAAGAGCTGAAGCGGGGATCCGCTGGGAGGGCCCCTCAGAACCCAGGCTAAGGATGGCAGTGATGGGACCGTGTGGAGGGAAGCTGTTGGATTCTGGAGGTGTCCTAAGGCAAGGCAAGGGCAGCTGCAGACACATGGATGAGGAGGGTGAGGAAGCGGGAGGAGCCAAGGTTGGCCCCAAGGTTTCTGCCCATGAGGGTGGTGGGGCCTTTCACTGAGAGCAGGAGGGGAGGGAGGAGGAGGAAAAGGGGGTGGAGGGTCACCTGGAGGTGCCTGGCAGAGCTGGGGGTAGGCAGTGGGCCACACGGGTCAAGTTCAGGTGCAAGGACAGGGCTGGAGAGGCACACTTCGGAGTTGGAACCACAGGATCTGATGAGATCCCCCAGGTAGCAAGCGCAGGAGAAGCAAAGGATTCTGTGGTCTGAGCCCAGAGACACAAACATTTCACAGGTCACTAAGGGTGTGTGTCAGGCCCCATCCTGCTTAAAGCCTCCCAGCGGCCTTCCAGTGGATGCCTAGGTCCCGGCCTCTCCACCCTCACTTCACTCCGCCCTCCACCCCAATCCCTCTGTGCTGCTTCACGGGCCTCCTTCAATTTCTTAAACTTGCCAGACCAGCCCCCTTCCCACCCCAGGGCCTAGCACATGCTATCCCCTTTCCCTGAAACACCTTCTCCCGGGCTTTCCCTGACTTCTTCCTTTTTCTGTGGGTCTCATCTCAAACGCTGCCTCCTCAGGTGGCCTTCTGTGACTCCCCATTCTAAAGTAATCACACACGCACATGCACACACACACACCATTATTTTCTCTCAAGAGACCCTGTTCATGTCTTTTAAAGCTCTTATTACAAACTGTCATTATCTGGATATGAGTATGTTGATTTGAGAAATGTCTGTCCCCTCTTCCCCACTTGACCATAAGCTTCATGAGACAAGGAACATTAACTGTTTTTCACCACTGTGACACGGTTGGATGAGTGACTGGGGAACCAAAACAAACACTGGTTGATGGTATGCTATGTTCTCGATACCGTGCCAAACTTTTCCATACCCAACTGTGGTAGCCGTTGTCATGGCTCACCAATAGCTCCAGTTCTCCTCTTCTAGGCAATAGGATTACATATCCTCACCCCTCTTGAGGTGTGGCTGCAGGACTTGCTTTGACAATGAAATATGAGAGAAAGAACATGTGCTGCTTTCAGGTGGAAGCACGAAGAGCCAGCGTGCAGTTCTCCATATTCTCTTCCCCTGCCAGGGAAGCCTCGCATGAAGATTGGAGGAGCCTGCGTCATCTGCAATCCCCGAGTCACTATAATGAGCAGACCCCCCTCCCCGGATAGATAGTGTGAGTGAGGAAAAACAATCTTGTGCTTTTAAGCCACTGAGAATTTCTGACTGTCACACAGCATAACCCAGACCACATGACAAATAACACTGCACTCATTTAATTCTTCCAGCAACCCTGTGACATGCTGTCTGCACCCACTGCTCAGAACCATTCAACCAACACATATTGAGTCCCTAGGAGAGGAAGGCACTGACCCCACAAGCAGAAATAAGATATGGCCCCCAAGAAGCTTATGGTCTGGGATGCAGAAATAGCCAAGAAAGCACAATAAAATGTAGTGTAGTGGAGGTACAGCAGAAGGACTATTCTTGGAAGAGGGAATGCCAAAGTAGAATCTTTTTTCAAAAAATATTATTGTTGTTATTTTAAAGACAAGGTCTCACTATATTGTCCAGGCTGGTCTCAGACTCTTGGCCTCAAGCAATCCTCCTGCCTCGACCTCCTGAGTAGCTAGGACTACAGTCTTGAGCCACCAATCTTGACTTAATGGTGCCCGTTGTCCAAGCAGGTAGAGGTGGAGGTACCAGAAGGGATGGCATCCCTGGCACAGGGATTAGCCTACACAAAGCTCAACACTGGTGCATGCAGTGTGCACCAGCATGCCACTGGTGCATCAGTGGCATGTAGGTGCATTAGTTCAAGTAGATGCTAAGCTGCTCTTACAGACACTCCAAAATAGAATGGCTTAAACCAGTAAGAACTTGAGTTCTTCCACACACAATGGCCCAGAGCTTGGTACTTCCAGGCTACAGTGCAGCTCTGCCATCCCTTAAACTTGACTTCAGTCTCTGAGTTCAAGGTGGCTACTCCCACTCCTGCCATCACATCTGCATTCCAGCAGGAGGGGAGAGGAAAGGGTTGAAAGGAGTACATGCCCATTCCTTTTAAAGATATCACCTAGAAGCACAAGTCTTCACTCTCCCCTTCTGGCAGCTCCACCATCCAGTCATCCATGCCAGCATTGCCCCACTCCATCTGCTCAGTTATCTTCTGCATCCAACCGAGTCCCTCGTCCCCAGGCCCTCATCTCTCACCAGGCCCATAGCAATGGCCTCGTAACAGGTCTCCCAGCCTCCAGGCCAGACCCTTCCAACCCACCACCCACAGAGAGGTTGTCCAAATTCACAGCTCCACCTAGGTCACTCCCTTCTTAGAAGAAAGTCCAGGCCACTGGGTGTAGCCCACAGGCCCCCTCCCCTTGCCTTTGCCCGCCTCTTCAGCCTCATCTGTCACCCCTGGAGTGCTCATCTTGGTCTTCCCAGTATCTCTACTGGGCCTCTCTTCCCAAATACGCTGTTGATCATCTCTGTCCTTTGCTCATCTCTGAAATCCCTTCCCTGTCTCCATTCCACCAGATGGACCTTTAGGGATAAGCTCAGGTGTTAACTCCTTCAGGAAGCTGACTCAGAGACCCTTTTCTGAGCTGCTGGTGTGTGTAGCCACTCTCTTCTTCCCCATATTTTATAATTGTTTCTTCAAGCTAGTTGCTCCATGTCTCCAAGAACTGCAGTATATCTGGGCTCACAGTAGTGCTTGAAACACAATTGAATGGAGAAATGAATGGTGGAGGCAGAGACCAACCAGAGTGTCTTAGGGAGGCAGTGTGGAGTAGAGGCTAAGGGTGAGGACTGGAGCCAGACCGCCTGGGTTCAAATCCCAGCCCCACCTCCAACTCCTCCTGCTGCGTGCACTTGAGCAAGATATATAACCTTTTTAAGCTCCAGTGTCTCCATTTGTAAAATGAGAACAAAAAGAGTACTTCCCCCATACACTTGTTGTAAAGATTAAACCGTTCAATACATGTAAAACTTAAAATAGTGCCTGGCACTGCATTAGCCCTTCTTGTTATTAAACTGGGGGCAGTGAGAAAGCTCAGGTGAAACCGAGCAGCGGAATCGCCTAATGGGATCTGTGTCCCAGAAAGACAGGAGGACACGCCCAGTGCCAACTGAAATGAAGGGACAGGGATGTCTTAGTCAGTCTGGGCTGCTGTGACAAATGACCACAGACTGGGTGGCATATAAACAACAGAAAATTACTTCTTGCAATTTTGGAGGCTAGAATGCTGAGATCAGGGTGCCAGTATGGTCAGGCTCTGGTGAGGGCTGACAGCCACTTTTTGTTGTATCCTCAATGTCAGAGAGCAGAGCAAGAGGCAGGCTCTCTCAGGATACTTACAAGGCATGAATCCCATTCCTGAGGCCTCTGCCCTTGTGACCTCATCTAATCCTAATCACCTCCCAAAGCCCCCACCTCCTAATACCACCACTTTGGGGGATAATATTTTAATATATGAATTTGGGGAGGACATAGAGATTCAGTCTGTAACAAGGCACCAGATTTACCTTCTTGTCTGAAACAGCTGAAAAAAAAACAAAACAACAACAACAAAAAACACATGGAGCCATGGTTCTCAGGACATCAGACATTGGACATTAAGCAGTGAATGACAGTGATCCCTAAGAGATGGGAAACAGATGAGATGAGCCTACCATTGTCCCACTTAGTACACAGGGGGAGGGGACTCAGGCAGAGCCGACTGAGCTGGAGCTCAGGGAGGCCGAGGGGGCTAGAGATCACAGGCCAGAGTGCAGCGAGGAGAGAATTCACAGAGAGCGAGCCCCCAGGTCCTCCTGGAACTCTCAGCTGAATACTGCTCCATGTATCAGGTTCCAGTAAGGAAACTGTCTGAGGCTGATTAGAGGGAACGATCCCTGGAGCTCACACATGATCCACCAGCCAGAGTGGAAAACTTCATAATTCACAGGGCACAGGCTAGAGAACTCACAAAGATTTGCCTCAGAAGTGGGGCACAATCAGCCCTGGACTCAATGCTGCTCTGGTCCTGTGTAACAAAGTTTAAAAGCAAGACCCGAAAGCATCAAACCATTTCCAAGTAACTTAACCACATTCCAGACAAACCTCAAGAATATTTCTTCGTATACAAAAATAATCAGCACCCAATTAAGTAAAATTCATAATGTCTGGCATCCAATAAAAAAAATTACTTGGGGCCAGGCGTGGTGGCTTATGCCTGTAATCCCAGCACTTTGGGGAGGCCAAGGCAGGTGATCACTTGAGGTCCGGCGTTCGAGACCAACCTGGCCAACATGGTGAAACCCCATCTCTACTAAAAACACAAAAATTATCCGGACGTAGTAGTGCATGCCTGTAGTCTCAGCTAC
Organism: Homo sapiens; assembly: GCF_000001405.40. NCBI lineage: Eukaryota > Metazoa > Chordata > Mammalia > Primates > Hominidae > Homo > Homo sapiens. Next base: position 34,012,107 of record NC_000006.12, read on the forward strand.
TTGGGAGGCTAAAGCAGGAGAATCACTTGAACCTTAGAGACAGAGATTGCAGTGAGCCGAGACTGCGCCACTGCACTCCAGCCTGGGCGACAGAGGAAGCCTCCATCTCAAAAAAAAAAGGAAAGACATTGAAAGATATTGGGTATACAAACGAGGAGGAAAACGTGGCCCATAATGAGAAAAAAAAATCAATCTAGAAATGACACGATAGAATTAGTAGGCAAGCATATTCAAACAGTTATTATAATTGTATTGCACATGTTCAAGAAGCTAAAGGAAAAAAAGAACTTTTAACTAGAAATATGGAAGACAGAGAAAAGATCTCATTGAGCTTCTAGTGATGAAAGCTACAATGCTGATATTTCTAAAAATGCACCGGATATAATTAACAGCATGTTGGATACCACAGTAGAAAATGTTAGTGAACTCGAAGACATAGCAATAGAAACTATACAAAATGAAACACAGAAGGAAAAAAGGCCAGGAAAAAAATGAATAGAGCATTATTCAGTTGTCAGACAACTTCGAGGCCTGATATATGTATAATAGAAGTTTCTGGAGGTGAGCAGATAAGAGTGGCAGACGGAAACATTCTTGAAGAAATAATAGCCAGACATTTTCCAAATAATAATGAAAAGTTTGAACCCACAGATCCAAGAAGTTCACCAAAATCCAAGTAAGAGAAACATGAGGGCCAGCTCACACCTGTAATCCCAGCACTTTGGGAGGCCAAGGCAGGCGGATCACAAGGTCAAGAGATCGGGACCATCCTGGCCAACATGGTGAAACCCCGTCTCTACTAAAGATAGGAAAATTAGCCAGGTGTGGTGGCGGGCGTCTGTAGTCCCAGCCACTTGGGAGGCTGAGGCAGGAGAATTACTTGAACCCAGGAGGCGGAGGTTGCAGTGAGCTAAGATCGTGCCATTGCACTCCAGCCTGGCGACAGAGCAAGACTCTCTCAAAAAAAAAGAAACACGAAGAAAACTACACCAAGGCACATCATAACCAAATCGTTTAAAACCAGTGAGAAAGAGAAAACTTTAAAAGCAGCCAGAAGAAAGAAACGTGTTATATACAAAGGGACAGCAGTAAGGGTGATGGCAGATATTGGGATGCTCCTTGAGAACCATGCCATTCAGAAGACAGGGAGCAACACCTTTAAAGCATTGAAATAAAGGCTATGCTGGGAGCCGGGGTGGCCCAGGTCTGTTCTCCTGGCACATAAGGAGGCGAGGCCAGGCATTCGAGGCCAGGCTGGGCAACATGGAAAGCTCTCATCCATCTATCTATCTATCTATCTATCATCTATCTGTCATCTATCAATTATCTATCTATCTATCTATCTATCTATCAATCATCTATACATATACAAGGAATAAAGGCTGAAAGCTGCAGCAGGAGCTGGGAGACAGTGACAGCTGTCCAGGGGAGAGAGGTGATGAAGGCATGAATCCAGGAGGTGGCCCTGGGCATGGAAGCAGGCAGAGGGAATGTTGGGGATTAGCAACTGATGAGAGGTGGGAAAGGGGGCCTAGAATAAGGCACAGGTTTCTGGCTTGCATGGCTGCTGTCACCAAGATGGGGATCACGGGAGACAGGAAGAAGAAGACTTAAGAGAAGACCATAGGTTCCACCGTAGACAGTTCTGAGCAGTCAGTGGAGTGCTCAAAAGGAGGTTTGGAAGCTGGGAGAGATATATAAATTTGGCACTCGTTTGATAGTATAGTAGTTAGGATAGAAAAAGCTATAAGTGGGCCGGGCGCGGTGGCTCATGCCTGTAATCTCAGCACTTTGGGAGGCCGAGGCGGGCTGATCACAAGGTCAGGAGATCGAGACCATCCTGGCTAACACGGTGAAACCCCGTCTCTACTAAAAATACACACACACACACACACACAAATTAGACAGGCGTGGTGGCGGGCGCCTGTAGTCCCAGCTACTCCGCAGGCTGAGGCAGGAGAATGGCGTGAACCTGGGAGGCGGAGCTTGCAGTGAGCCGAGATCGCGCCACTGCACTCCAGCGCCTGGGTGACAGAGTGAGACTCCGTCTCAAAAAAAAAAAAAAAAAAAAAAAAGAGATATAACTGGGTGGGGGCAGTGGCTCATGCCTGTGATCCCAGCACTTTGGGAGGCCGAGGCAGGTGGATCACTTGAGGTCAGGAGTTTGAGACCAGCCTGGCCAACATGGTGAAACCCCGTCTCTACTAAAAATACAAAAATTAGCCAAGCGTGGTGGTGGACACCTGTAATCCCAGCTACTTGGGAGGCTGAGGCAGGAGAATTGCTTGAACCTGGGAGGCAGGGGTTGCAGTGAGCCAAGACTGTGCCACAGTATTCCAGTTGGGTGACAGAGCAAGACTCCATCTCAAAAAAAAAAAAAAGAAAGAAAAAGCTATAACTTAGTAACAAACCCTGAAATCTCAGCATGTTAGCATAAAATAAGTTTATTTCTTGTTTATAGAAAGTTCACCGTGGGTTGGCAGAGGCGCTCCTCCATCCAGTGATTCAGGGACCCAGGTATCCTCCATCTTACGCGCCACCATTTCAACATGTGACTTCCCAGGTCAGCACAGCAAGAGGAAAGAGACGTGGAGGGGTGTACCCAAGCCTCAGTCCAGAAGTGACTGGCATTATTTATACCCATAGGTCACTGACCAGAACAGTCACATGGCCTCAATCCAACTGCAAGGGAAGCGGGGAAATGTAGGAGGAGGACATGGGATATTTGGAAAGCTCTGAGGCCATGAATTTAAATGAGAGGGGCCATAGAACTTCTGAAGTCAAAGAAGAAAAGAGTTCCAGGCCTGGAGCCCCAGAGGGAGGCCTAGCATTTGAGGAGTGGGTGGAAGAAAAGAAGCCCAAAACCACAGAGGAGGGAGGATCCGGGTAGGAAGACCGCAGAGAGCATGCTGCTCTGGAAGGAGAGGCAGCCAAAGGTCAAGGGTACGGCTCACGTCCTCTCCCCATCTCCTGTGGTCATGCAATGATTTTGTAGTCTTGAAATCATTTTCAGTAGATACTGTTTTGTTTCACAGATGGGGAAACTGAAGTTTGGAGAGCTAAGAGGCTTAGGTACCCAAGTCACAGAGACCTGCAAAAGACTAAAGCCAGGGTCTCTAACCTGACTCCTCAGTTGGCCTTATCTGTGCATGGCCCCAGATCCTGCCTATGCCCAGCGGGGCATCCGACCACCTTCATGGGCTGGACGAAGGTGGATCCTTACCTCCAGGCTCCTCTCCCTGCTTCCCCAAGAGCATATTACAAGCTCCGAAAGAAGTGTGTTTACAGGGCCCTCTGAAAACCATGCACTCCCCTAACTTTCCGGATTGAGGGACGGCAGGTAATCAGGATGTGAGGTGGGGCTTTACGAGACCTCTCAAGTCTAGACAAGCCTCCTGACTCTCTGGGCCTCAGTTTCCTCTGTTAATGTGTATGACGAGGAATAGTGGATGGTCCTTGGGGCTTCACCCAGCTTACCCCTCATTCTACGCTTTCTTCACCTGCCAGTGAAGGAGTGGCAGAGTGCAGGGCTGACGGGCCCATCCTCACTGATCCCCTCCACCAACAACCCCCACCGGCTATCCATCCTCCTCCACTGCTCCAAACGTTAAACCTTTCTCCAGTCACAGACAACCTGGGCTGGCGAAGCCAAAGGAAGGGCCTCATTTGCATACTTGAGCCCCTCCCCAACCCCTTAGTGTATGCACAGTTGCCATAGCAACTGGCCCAAAAGACTCTTCTTGGCAGTAGCCTCCCTTTTCTGCACTGCTGGAATGCTGGCTGCTTACTCAGGCTCTGAACACTCAGAGCTCAATCCCTTATTTTAAGGATGAAGAAAATGAGGCCCAGAGGGGACGCTACTTGCCCAAGGGCACACAGCACATTGGTCGCAGAATCTTACCTACAATCCAGGTCACCTGATTTCTACCCCAGCGTGCCTGTCATCCTAGGACGGACATGGGGGTCACTTTCTACCCAATGACAAGCGTGCTACATCCGTGCTCTACATCAGGCCTCTGGGGAAGACCTTGGGAAGCTTAAGTGAAGAAACTAACTTCGGGCAGAGACTCAGATATTGCTGAGTGCTAGAGGTGGAGATACAGCTAAATAGGCTCCTGTAAGTATCCATTCCATAACAAACATTTGTTGTATGCCTGCTATGTGCCAGGTACTGTCCTACACCCTGAGATTCAGCAGCAATGAAATGTCCTGCCCTGGTGGGGGCTGACAGTCTGGCAGTGGGTAAAAACTATTGTGTCCGGAATTGGTGGGTTCTTGGTCTCGCTGACTTCAAGAATGAAGCCACAAACCCTCTCGGTGAGTTTCACCGTTCTTAAAGATGGTGTGTCCAGAATTTGTTTCTTCTGAGGTTTGGATGCGTCAGGAGTTTGTTCCTTCTGGGGGTTTCGTGGTCTTGCTGGCTTCAAGAGCAAAGCTGCAGACCTTTATGGTGAGTGTTACAGTTCATAAAGGCAGTATGGCCCCAAATGCTGAACAACAGCAAGATTTATCCCACACAGTGAAAAAACAAAGCCTACACACCGTTAAAGAGAACCTGAGCAATTTGCCACTTCTGGCTGGGGCAGCCTGTTTTATTCCCTTATCTAACCCCACCCACATCCTGCTGATTGGCCCATTTTACAGAGAGCTGATTGGCCCATTTTACAGAGAGCTGATTGGCCCATTTTACAGAGAGTTGATTGGTCTGTTTTGTCAGGGTGCTGATTGGTGCGTTTACAATCCCTGAGCTAAACGCAGAGTGCTGATTGGTGCATTTACAATCCTCCAGCTAGATATAAAAGTTCTCCAAGTCCTCACCAGATTAGCTAGACACAGAGCACTGATTGGTGCATTTACAAACTTTTAGCTAGACACAGGGTGCTGATTGGTGCGTTTAGAAACCTTGAGCTTGACACAGAGTGCTGATTGGTGTATATGCAATCCTCCAGTTAGACATAAAAGTTCTCCAAGTCCCCACCCGACTCAGGAGCCCAGCTGGCTTTGCCTAGTGGATCCCCGATCACGGCCGAGGGCGGAGCTCCCCACCAGTGCCATGCCGTCCGCCAGCACTCCTCAGCCCTTGGGCGGTCGATGGGACCGGGCACCGCGAAGCAGGGTGCGACGTCTGTCGCGGAGGCTCCGGCCGCGTGGAAGCCCACCTGGGGCGTGGGGGGCGGCTTGGGCATGGCGGGCTGCAGGTCCCAAGCTCTGCCCCGCGGGGAGGCGGTTGAGGCCCAGTGAGAATTCAAGCACGACGTGGGCGGGTGGGCCAGCAGTGCAAGGGGACCCAGCACACCCTCCGAAGCTGCTGGCCTGGGTGCTAAGCCCCTCACTGCCTGGGGCTGGCGGCGCCAGCCGGCGGCTCCCAGTGCGGGGTCCGCCAAGCCCGCGAGCGCCGCGCGGAGCCATGGTTCCCGCCCGCGCCACTCGTCCCACACCTCCCCGCAAGCAGAGGGAGCCGGCTCCTGCTTCTGCCGGCCCAGAGAGGGGTTCCCACTGTGCAGCGGCAGGCTGAAGGGTTCTTCAAGAGTGGCCACAGCGGATGCCGAGGCCGAGGAGGTGCTGAGAGCGAGCGAGGGCTGCTAGCACGTTGTCACCTCTCACTATGAGCAAGCCCTCTGAATATAGGATAAAGTCTAGGGTTGAAGGGGCATTCAGAAAGTGGAGGAGGACCTGCTCTTGAGCTGGGGTAATTTGGGGAGCTCTTTCAACACCAGATCTTTCAAAACTTACCTGTCCCCTGTCCCACACCTTAAGGGCAGCTGGTGTCTTGATGCTGAATTCCAGTATGGTTGCTGGCTGGTTGATGTGTTTTGGGAGAACATGCCTTGGCTCAGAAGCCTGAGGCTTTAACTGCAGAATTCTGGGCACTGACGCTGGAGTTGGGAAGATATTTGGGGGCAGCGGGCTCCCTCAAACCATGTGGGCAGCTGGCCGGCCTGTTCCAGCTGGCCTGCAGGCTTGGAGAGTGATTTCAGATGCTCAAGGAAGGATCACCCACTGCCACTCACCAGCACCAAAATAATGACGGAAATGCATCTCCTGGTGCAAAAAGACAGCCCTTCACCTCATAGTCAGAAAGAAAGAAGTGCCCTGAGGGCAGATACCAGTTGCCCTGCAGTCAGCAAACCCTTTCCTGGGGGTGGAGCTCTGTTTAACTCATTATGGAAATTTTCCCGATATACAGGAAGGAGAGCAGGATAAAGACTGCCCGCTCAAGAATCATCCACTTTTGGCCACGTTGGCTTCAGCTCTGCTGCTCCCTGCCCTGTGTACTTTGAAGCGAACTGGGGCTGGTTTTATAAGAAAAGGGAGAAGAGGTGCCCTGGAAGTTAAGTGGGTCCCAGGGGGTAGCTGCACCCAGAATGGGGGTGGGGGTCCTGGTTCTGTGGATGGAGTAGGAGGAGGTCTGGCTGAAGGAGCCAGGCCCCATTTCCTACCCCAACTCCACCTTTCTTTGTCTTCTCCCTCCCCCCTTCCCCCCCTCACTCGCAATAAAAACATAATTATGGTGCTTTATAGAAAAAAAAGGCAAATTATGGTGACATGCTTTAATTATCCACCGAGCAATGGCGGGCTGAATTACACAGGCAGGGCCTTGGAGGTTACCTAAAAATAAAGCAAGAAGCCTCATTACATGCTAATTGCTGCTTTTGCCAACTGAAGTGAGATTCTGGTGCCGAGTGCCATTTAGTGCTGGGTTGGGGGTGGGGGTCTGAGCCCTGTGAGGCTCACAGTGCCAGGGCCAAGCCCTGAGGGGCAGCCAGGACCATCCAGGGCAGGCAGGATGACAGAAGGAGCCCTCAGTGCCAGGGGAGTGCCTCAGTTTCCCCTCCCTGTTCAGTGGGCAGATGGAAACCTGGGATGGGAAGGGGGAGCCGTGGAGCCAGTGAGGGTGTCAGAAAGAGGGGCGCCCAGCCTTATGCAGGCTCAGCATCTTCTCAGGGGCTCCCCAGGACCCCTTGGAGGCCTGGAGGCTGAGGCAGTGTGGGGGCAGCTGGCATGTGGCCCACTGAGACCTCTGTCCTGCCTGGCTCTATGCCTCTGCCTCCAGGGCCTGAGAAGTAAGGATGGGAGGGGCAGACCATAAGACATTAGAGCTCAGAACAGCCCCTCAGAGCCGGAAGGGACCTGAGACTCTGCTCCTGAGGTGGGTCTCCCCAGGGTCCTAGGAGTTCCACAAAGGTGCCCTGTGCATCCAGCTGGCCTGGAAGCTCCTGGGTGTCTGCTCAGGCTGGCAGCAGCCCAGCCTTGGGCTTGAGCCCCAGGCAAGCTCGAGTGGGCACTGTTGCTCCCTCCTGACTTCACAAGCCCCAAAGTCTGGTGCCACTCTTGGCCCACTTGACTGCACGGCCCATCTGCTGGGGAGCTTTTAAAATATGCCCGTGCCCAGCCCTCCCCCCAGAAGTTCAGGTCCAGTGTTCTGGAGGGAGCCCAGCGTCTCTATTGTCTAGAAGTTCCCCTGCTGGTTAGAAAGTGTGCTGTGGGGTGGGATGTCTGCTAGCCCAATCCTTCATTCAGACATTGAGGAGGCTGAGGCCACGGGGGTGAGCACATACCCCCTGCACACAGCAAAGGTCTCTAGGGGCCGCTGGCTCCCTATCCAGGGTGCCAGGGACCCTGAACCCCCCATCTTGTTGAAATCTAACATTCTGAAGATACTTAGCAGCTTTCTCCAGTCATTAATAATTGAGGATGAGAGCAAAGGTGAGCAGCCAAGCCAATTGTGAAGGGCCAGGCGTCCCTCCTGCCATGGGCATCAGGGCAGGTCCCACCCAGGCCAGCTGTGGGCCCCAGCCCTGGCTGCACTGGCCTGAGCCTTCTAGGTGATGGACCCAGGACTCCAGCAGCACCCACCCTCCCAACTGCTGCAGCAGGTCTAGCTGGCAAAAGTCTTGCTAGGGCCTGGTTCCCTCCTGTCCACCTCAGGCCCACAGAGCCCACCTCTGCACCCCAGGCTCAGATGCCCAAAGTCACACCCACCCAAGGCTTCCCTCCTCCACCCACCTCATTCTAACAGTCATTTTACTTTGGGACACAGTCTGCTGTATCTCCCCCATCACACTGGAAGCTCCCTGAGGGCAGGGCTATTTCTTCCCACTGGCAGGGGACTGGTAGTCCCTGAGGGCCCCTCCTGAGAGCCAAGGGGAGCCGAGGGGCAGCATCCCCCTTGGAGAGGTGATTCTCCTGTTAGAACCTAGATGGGGGCCCCACAGATGTAGGGGGACCTAGGCAAGTCCTGGACTGAGCATGAAACCCCTGCAGGCCCTGCCCTGGACCTAGCCTTGGGCCTCAGAGCATCAGTCACTTCAGGAGGGGCGTGAGCCACAGAGCAGGCAGGGTGCCCAGGATGGGGGTGCTGCCAGAGTCACCCTGGGGGAGAGCTGGCTGCACCCGCTTCTGCATTCCCCATCCCTACCCCCCACCCCCCCACCCCCAACTGCCCTGGAAGCTTTTGGGAGATACCCTTGATCTGGCAACCTAGTTCTGCCTGACCGGGCTGGAGCACTGGGTGGAATCTTTCCTGGGCAGAGGTCTTAGGAACCATTCCGCAAGATGATCAGCGAGACACTTCCTTTCCTGTCTCCTTCCCTCACACAAACATTTATTGAGCATCTACTAGGTGCTGCACACAGACCCCAGGGAAGAAGAGATTTCCTATGCACAGATGTGTGAGATGCCCAGGCCAGGAGTAAGAGTGGGCTGATGGAGAAGACATACCTGGCATGATTCAATGTCCCAGCCTCAGTTATACACACACTCTCATACTCTGTCCCTGCGTGGCCCCCTGCCTAGGGTTCCTCCAGTCCCTTCCACTGTGCTCCATAGCGCTGTCAGCTAGCCTGGAGGTGGGAGGGGGTGCAGGACCCAGGGGCAGGGCAGGAGGGGACGGCACAGGCAGCCCAGGCTCCAGCTGCTGCCTATGGCCTCATTGTGTTTCTGGCTCTATAATTTACCCCAGCCAGAGCCCAGCCCCTAAGCGCTCCTGTTTCCCACCTCCCAACCTGCCAGGGAAGCCAGCTGAGGTGAACACTCGCCATGGGCCTGAGACAGGCATCTGCATGAGCCACCGGGGCCCAAACAGATGATCAGACACGCAAACAAGACAGGCACGCATGCGCATGGAGGCGCTGGACGTGCACACAGACACACAGCCAACACAGCCAACACAGCCACACGGCCATGCCTGTGCCGTGCACTTGTGGGCCCACGTGGACACATAACAACACACTGATCTCCAGGACAGACACACATCTTCTTAGCACCCGAGCCTGGAGCCAACACAAGCAGGAGGGGACGGCTATGAGTGCTGGCAGCCCGGGAAGCTAACTTCTCAAGAAGAGGACTTCCTGGCTGGAAGGAGAGAGGCACAGGTTATGGGGGCAGGGGTGGAAGGGCAGTCCCAGGTGTGAGGGGTGTGAGACAGAGGACAGGCAAGGCAGAAATGTTACCCTCCCAGGGCTGCAGGGCAGGGGACAGAGCATACCCCCTAATTAGGGGACTACTAGGTGCTGATTCCTGGAATTTCCTGCAATGTCCCTGCCCCTTACCTGGGAATCTGGCCCCTCCATGCCCAAGGCCTCACCACACCACACTAGATCCCAGCCTAGGGAGCAGTCTCCACAGCCCCCAAGCCCTGGGTCTCCAGAGCCCAGTTCCCGCTTCCCTCTAGGTCTAAGCCCTCCAGCTGCAGGCTGAGCCTGTGGTCCCATGGCAGGACCCTCAGTGGATGTGGAGCCCGGGTGCAAAACCATGTGTTTATTTTTATTAGAAATGTTCTTGGTATAAAAACAATCATGCGCTACACATTGTCGTCAATAACCATCACCAAACACCCAGGCACTGAACTCCGTGTGGTCGGCAGGAGGGGCAGGCGGGCAGGCGGGCAAGACAGACGGCAGACGGGCGGGGCAGGCGGGCAAGACACACGGCAGATGGGCGGGGCAGGCGGGCAGGCTGCGGGCCACAGGGACACACACAGAGGCCACCAGGAGGACGCAGCACTTGGCAACACACTCGAGATTTGTTTTCGTTTTGGCTTTTTTGTGTTTTGATTTTTTTTCCTTTTTTCTCTTTTGCAACATGTAAGGTTTGGTGAACTGGGGAAGGGTGGCAGGGAGAGGGGAGCAATGGCTGGACGAGAATGAAGCAGAGGAGAACAGGAAAGAAAACGGCAGAAAAGTGACACTGGTGGGACCCAAGAAAGCAGGAGGAGCTGAGGACAAAGAGGATGAGAGAGAGAGGCGGAGGCAAGAGCCAGAAAGGAGACACAGAAAAGGCCAAGAGTACAAGCAGCCGGGGACGCCAGAGAGGGAAAAGGTGAAACAAAGAGATAAGAGAACAGAAAGACAGGGCTGGAGACAGACAGAGGGGTCGCCAACAGCACAGACAGAGACGAAGGGAGGGAGAGATCTAGCACTGGGGCCCACACGACCTGAGCCCCTGTGGTTTGGGGCCGGGAGGGGCAATGGTCCAAGACGCAGGTTCTTGTGGTAGCCTGGCACCGCCCCGGCCCCTCGTCCTCCTGTTGCTCACCCGGTTTGCCCAGGCTGCCAGCAGTGATGGCTGGGGGCTCTGCTATCCTCAGCACCAAGCCACGTCCGTGGGTGCCCACGGGCAGGCAAGACAGCTGGGCCCTTGGGTGTGGCCCTGGCCCGACGCACCTTCCACAGGGTCACGGCTCCTCCTCCTGCTGCTCAGCTCCATGGACTCGCTAGATTGCATGGTTGGTGTAAGTGACGTAAGTCTGTTTGGTGGCCAGCGCTGGAAGGAGAGAGACCAGGGGTACCCAGGAGTCAGGGGCTGCTTTTCTCAAACTGTCCTTCCACATGGGCACAGCCCTGCACAAGAACCTACCATAGCTCCCCGCCTCTCATGGCATCCAGTCCTGAGCTGAGCAATCGACACTGCCCCAAACTGCACCGGCCCCGCCTGGCCCACCCGGTTGCTTCTCCTGCTGTTCCTAGCTCCCCATCCAGGGACTGGGCCCATGTTTCGCACCTCCACGCCTTTGCCGGGCTGGGCTGCTTGCCTGGAGTGCCTTTCCTCTTCCCTTTGTACTCTAGAGATGACTCCTTCCTCTAGCACTCCTTCCCAAACCCCACTCCTGTGTGAGGGGCTCCCCAGCACGGGGCCCCTGCCACCTCCTAATTCTACCACCCTTCAAAAGAAACCTTTTTTTATGACATCATATAACCTTAAAATATTATCAAAGGGAAGTCTTTCAGAAGTTCAACCACACGCATTTTGGATGCGCACATGTAAGGAATATACATTAAACTAGAACAGTGGCCTAAGGGAAGAGAGTGGGGAACAGGGACAGAGGAAATAAATAATGAAAACCAGAGTGGGGCCGTGCATGGCTAGAAACTGAGGCATGCGATTGACTCAGCCCTCCGCCCTACACCCAAGGAAACACAAGTCCCCCAGATCCCCAGGGCCCTCTGAGCACCTACCCTTTCTACTTCTTGGTGCCCCTGTCTCTCTCAGTCTTGAGCCCCCCTTTTCTGCCCCTGTCCCTCTGGCCCTTACTCCACACCAGGACTGGGGTGGTACATGGGGGTATCTCCCATTCCTGTCCACAGCTGAGTGACGCCAGCAGCTCTCATGAGCAGTGTGAGTGTCCCCCACCCCTCCAGAGTGCAGACCCCACAGCAGCCTAGTGAGGCAGCCAATGAAGCATTGCCCAACTTGACAGATGAGGAACTGAGGCCAGAGGGGTGAGGGGCCTGGCCAGACCCTTGGTTTTGTCCTGTCTAGCCAGGGTTTAGGGCCTCCCTCAGTGGCCTGGGAGCCGCCTCAGTGGTGGTAATCAGGGCAGTATTGCTGCCTGGGGCAGGGGCTGATCTGCGAGTCTGGAGAGAAGCAGTGGGTGGGAGAAACCAGCTGTCCTTTGTCTAAAAGCTGCCCTGACCCTCGGTCAGGATCTGTTGGCTCAAAAAGGAGGCACATCTGCCAGACTCAGCCAGGGGCATCTGGAGAAGAGAAAACTGGGGGACAAGTGTGGTGGTCTACAAATTGTCCCCCCGATCCTCTCTCCCCTATTTCACTGGGCACATGACTCTGAAGGACTAGGTTTCCCAGCCTCCCTTGCAGCTAGCTGAGGCCTTACCTGACTGTGTTCTTCCTCATGAAATACACATGGAAGGACTGTGTGCAGCTCCCATGTCATTCAATTAAAATGGGTCTTTCCCCCATGCGTCTTCTCTTTTCCCTTCCATGAGCAGAACAACCATTGAGGTCATCTAGCCTCAATCTTCAGGGAGCCAATGGAGCAACAAGATGGAAGGATCCTGGGTCCTCACTCCCACCCACCCACCATGTCCTATTACGGCAGAGAGCAACAAACATCTGTCTGATTTGAGCTGCTCAGTTCTGGGACCTCTTTGTCACAGCAGTGTAACTGGAAGCCCACTAACACAGGCAGAAGTTTGGTGTCCAACTATCAGTCTATCACATGTGGACGAAGCAAACTGCTTGAGGATGGGGTGAGCAGAGGGGTCCACCATGGGACCAGTAGGGAGGCATGAAGGTCAGGGTCCAGCTCAGTTAAAGGAAGAATTTTCTCCTGGCCAGAGTTGGGTGGAGTCAGTGGCCTATGAGCTCCCTGTCAACAGAAAAATTCAAGCAGACGATGAAGAATCACTTAGCCGGATGGTGGTGGGCAAGTTTCAAGGTTTATGTGCTACCTGGACAGGTGCCAATGGAAGAAAATGGTGCCACAACATCCAAAAAAAGAATAAGAACACAGCATGGCACCTTACAGCTCATGAAGAATTCCCACCTTCATCTCTGAAATGACCCATGTCCTTCCAGGGTGCTGGATGACCAAGAGGGCAGAGGGACCACAGGACAGGTCATTTTGGATGGGGCAGCATCCAGGAGGTAGCCTGGGATGGCAGGTGCTGAGAGGGAGATGAGCACAGACCAGCACCCTGAGGGCGGGAGCCGAGATTCTAGTTGCTGGGAGGCCTCACACTCTCTCTGAGCCTCAGGCAGCTCTTCCCCTCCTTTGCTGGGCCTCAGTTTCCCTGCTTGTAACTTGAGCAAAGTGGCCCTTTTTGCCTAGACTACTTCTCCTGAGGGGCTTCCAACTGCCTCCAACATCTTCACCCCATTCTATCCCCCATGGTCAGAAAAGGAACAGCAGTGGCTATGCGAATCACAGCAGGCCAGGCTGGTGAGAATCAATTCCCCAGAGCTCCGTCACCCCCTGGGGGAACTGATAAAACTGAGCTTCCAAGCCTGTAAAACCCATCAGCAGCTCCTGGCTCAGAGGTGAAAAAAACTCTCAGCAGCCACAACAAAATCTCCACTGACTGCAGGGGATGCGAGCCTGAGGGCAGCTGAGGGGCACCAGGGGCAGCTGCAGACTAGAGAAAGTGTAGAGAGGAAGGACCACAGGGCCTCTGCTCTCCTCTAATGCCCTACCTGTCTGCCCTAGAAAACCCAGCTCACAGGTTCCAGAAGCTGGGGAGCTCTTCACCCAAGCCTCAGTCTCACCATCTGGAAAATGGGAGCCGTGAGTCTGCCCAGGGCCCCCATGAGCTAACAGTGAGGCTCCAAGGGAAAGGTTCACCGGAAGTCAGGACACTTGGGGACCAGTCCTGCCCGCAATGCTGTGGGGGAATCTCGACACCTGCCATGTGGCCCTTCTAACAAACTGACCTTCTCAGAGCCGAGAGTCTCTCATCTGTAAGATGGGGTGATAATAAACACCACGTGGGGTCAGCCAAGAGGTGAACAGAAACACTCTTTAAATCCTGCAAAATGCTGGGCAGAAGGACAGGGCTGGAATTATTCCAGCACTGGGGACTGGATAGGGACAGCAACACTCCCGGAGCACCCTCAGTGTGAGGGGAAGGCCAAGGGGTGTGGGCCGAGGCCCCGAGCCCACCCGGTGCTGACAATAGGCCCTGGCTGCTGGTTTTCAGTTGCCGGAGGCGCAGATAACAATTAGCCAGGCAGTGCTAGGCACCAGCTGACAGTCCCCGTTTGTCACCCCTTGTCTCCGCACCCAATCTGCCTGCAATCAGGCCCCTGAATTATTTATTCTGTTGTTTGTTTAAAGATATGTAGCCTGCCAGTGACAGAGTGAAAAATGTCCCTGTTCCACAGGAGTGACACCTTCCCACTCCTCCTGCTCACACCCCCTCCATCCGGCTGTCCCCAGAATTAATCACCTGGCTCCTGCCCGGTGCCTCCATGGCCCCTGTTGTCACTGAGCTGAGAGACAGTGGGGGCACAGGGTGCTGGTTGCTGCCCTTCACACAGGAGGTGGGGAGAGGGGCTCCCCACTTCCCTACCATGGAAGCCCCTAAGACTTTCAGAGGGGAGGATGCCAAGGCCTGCAGGGGGTCTGGGTGACCACAGACCCCTCGGTCCCTCCCAACCCCAGAGCAGCTGGAAGTGAGGCCCATGGGGGCTGCCCCACAGCCTGGAGACCCCCAGGCCCCTCTGGGCAGGAAGCAGGGGCCTGGGGATACGGGGTCTCCCTCCCCAGGCCTCCACACCCCTCCTCTGGCAGGAGTGGGTAATTGTCCCATGTTCCCAGGTGACTGGCTGGAGCAGAGGCAGAGGGCAGTACCCGTACTGAGCCATCAGAGCTCTCTGTGAGGGCCCCACCCTTTATGGGACCCTCTGCCCTGTCACAGCACCCGCGGTGTCACCCTTTGGGGCCAGGGTGTCACCTCCGGGAGGGGCTAATACCCCCTAGCTCTCAGGAGCACTGGGGAAAAGCATATCTGACAGACCTGCTCCTGCACGCAGCAGAGAGGTGGTCTGGATGGAACAGGACCTGGGACCTGGGAAGGAAGGTCTCCATGGGAAGGAGGAAAACTGGAACAGGGAGAGGGTCCCCAATTTGGCAGAAAGGCCTGGTCAGGACTTCATCTGGGGTTTCCGAACATCCAGGTAGACATGAAAGGCCAAAGGTGGGAGTCCCATGGGCCCCTCTGTCCCTTCCCCGCTCTGCATGGGGGCCAGCATGGCACCCGAAGGGAACCCCAGGGTCGTAGGTTGAGGGAAGCTGGTGTTCTGTGGGGAGGAGGAGGACTGGAAAGAACCAGAGGTCGCAGGGCAGGAAAAGGGGGACACACAGGCATCAGGGGTGTTGATCAGAGAGGGAAGGGTATCAGAAGCCAGTATACTCTCCACAACAGAGGTGCACAGGCTGGATCTCCGAGGAAGAGGGAAGTTGGCAAAGATGGTGGCACTGCTCCGTTACCAGCCCTGGAGGGACCTGTCCTGGCCAGCTCCAGACCACAGGCCTGCCCCTCAGCTGCCGAGGTCCCTGCCTGGTGCCCTCCCCCACCACAAAGCATGACCCTTTCCTGCTGGGTCTCCCCGGACAGTCCCCCAGACAGGCAACTACCTGAGCGCCGCTAGGCAGTCCTGTAGGCCCCTCTGCCTCACCCTGCCCTCACTCACCGGTCCTGGCCGGCCCATGTCCCGGGTCCCCATAGCTCAGGTGCCTGCTAGGGGGTGGCTGAACAAAGCCGAGCTGGGTGTTACAGCTGCTCTGGGCTCAGGGCCGCTCCCACCCCACCGGGTTACCAAAGGGCCAGTGTGCAGGGCCCCGGGGACGATTCCTTCTCCCAGAGGGGCTGAAAGGGCACAGGCAGGGGCACAGGCAGAGACCCAGGCCCCAGCACAGGGAAATCCCGGGGTCCCCGCTCACCCTCAGGGCCCAGGCGCCCCCTGGTGGCCTGCCTCGGGGTGGGGCACAGATCCCTGGAAGGGCGCTGCTAGGGCACCAGCTGGGGAAACCTTGAGGTTCTCTCCAGGCCACCAGGAGGGGCAGGACAGAACGGGCTCTAATGTGGTGCCTCAGGGCTCTCCCTGAGAGGCTGGCTCCCACCTGTAGCCTCAGGGTTCCCCCAGTGTCCCCCGCCGCCTCCCCAGGATGGGGCATCGGGGCAGGGCGGGGTGGGGAGGGGCAGGAGCTCAGCCCACCTGCTGCAAAAGGAGCGGGGCCTGGGGCCCGAGAGGGCAGAACGGGGCCAGGCACTCACCTGGGGCCTCAAGGTTCTCGCAGAGCTCAGACTTGGCCTCTCCGTTGGGCCGGAAGTTGCCCTTCTGCGTGAACTTGTTGGACATGGTGGCCGCCGTAACGACGGCTTTGAGGCTGCGCTTGCGCTTGGGCACGTTCTGCTCCGGGTGGAAGAGGATGATGTAGACTTTGGGCATGTAGAGCATTCCCAGGGACACCGAGGCGCTCAGACTCACCGAGACCGTCAGCGTCGTCGTCTGGATGTACAGCTGGCGGAGGGCACGGTGGCGTCAGAGCAGGCTCTGCCCCGACTGAGGGCCCTGACTCCCGCCAGTTCCCACCCAGGGACCCACCCGGCATCCCGCTGCCTTCAGGCAGAAGGAAGTCGTGGCTTGGAGCTGGGACTGCAGACCAGGGTTTCTGCATTCAAATCTTGGCTCACTACTTCCAGCTGTGTGATATTAGACACGTCACATCCTTGTGCCTCAGTTTCCTCACGTATAATGTGGGCGTGATAATGATAGTACTTACCTCCTAGGGCTGTTGTGAGAATTAAGTGACTTAATAAATGTTTTAAAAGTGTGGAAAACATCTGGCACATGGTAAGTGCCATTTCAGGTTACCGCTGTTATTTGCTATGTGGAGGACGTGCGCCTGAGGAGAGGCTCTCAGGAGACCACAGCTGGCCCTTCTCAGGGCTGAGGGCGAGAGGAGCACCCCTTGGTGCTTTGGGATAACACCCAGTGGCCACGTCACAGCCCCTCGGATCAGACCTCCATTCAATGACTGCCCCCGCAACGGTCCCCCAGTGCAGAGCATGGGATCCTCGGCACCCATCGCGATATGGTGGTGGCAGCAGTCAGAGCTCATTTCATGCTCGCTCGCCAGCACTAACAGTGACAGATGTTTAGCAAAATGAAAGCCCATTAATCTGGGTGTCGGATAATCCATTTTACAATAGTAGAGCCTTCCAGGCAGGGTCCGGCAATTCCCACTGTCCCCGTCTGGGATTCCCCTCCCTGCCTCTCCCTTCCTTCGGGTCCTCCAGGCCTCAGCCGCCCCTCTGAACCTCCTCAGCCAAGGTGGGACCAAAGGAGACCCAGGCTAGGCCTCCTGGGTCTGGGCATGAAGGAAGCAGGAAATGCTCTTTCCCAAATCTGCTCTTTCTGAGCCTGGGTCCTGCCCTGGTACATGGCTGGTGTGCTTCCTCCAGGAATCCTCTCCTGACCCCCAGCTCTATGGGCCCCCATGATACCCTTCATTTCTTCTACCCAGACCAGCAGTGTGGACACAGGTCTGGACTTGTTTCCTGAAGGCACAGGGGCCCTGGCCTCATCTGGCAGTACCCCCCATGTAGGGACCAGGTCTTCCCATTCTTATATTCCTCCCTGTCCCTTGCACGCCGCTCCATAGATGCCTCATGACACTGGATGGGATGACCTTCATTTCCAGCCACCCTGCCCTGGGTTTCCTACCTTTGGGAGAGGGACTGGAGAAGCCATAGGGCCTAAAAGGAGAATCCTGCCCTTCTGTGGGCCTCAGTTTTTCCCTCAGTGCAATGGGATGAAAGCAGCTACCTCACCCAAACCATGAGGGTACCCCAAGCACAGACTGTGAAGCCATGTGAAACTTGCTTTTAGTGACCGCAGGCACTGAGATGAAGGTGAGGAGAAGAGACATGGGGGACACGGGGGCATGACCGGACAGCCATGATGTGCCCAAGCCAAGGCACTGACACTCCTCAAAGTGCAGCCTCCAGGCTGGCGTGGCCCAGGTCAGGCAGAGCTCCGAGGGGAAGGAGGCCGAGAGTGGCCACTGGTTCAGGGAAATGTCACAGGCCCAGGGAAAATGAAAGCCTGTCCCCCAGTGAGCACATGCCGCTCCAGACACAGACAGGCCTCCATCCTCAGATACTACTTACACTCTCACCCCTGGGCATGGAGCTCTCCTGGAGGGAAAGGTCATGACCAGCCAGCGGGGCCGTGCTGGCCGTCTCTCCTGCCCAAACTGGGGCTGGTGGCCAGGGTGAGAAGGCAGGAAGAAGCTCCAGAGCATCAAAACAGACGCTTGGGGAATATCGTAGAGTCTCGGGCTAATGGAGAATAGGCTTGTCATCTGGGTCTTCACCATGAGACTAGGAGTTCCCTAGGGACAAGGTGTGTCTCCCTGATTACATCAGGGTTCCCTGAGGGCAGGGCTGGCTCTCCTCTCACACTGGGGGTTCTTGGAAATAGGGGTTGTGTCCCAGGTAAGACACCCATCTTAGACCCTTTGCCTGCTCCTTGTTGATGGGTGCAGTGCAATTGGGCCCACATGGAGTTGGTGGGACCAGGGATTGAGGCCCTTCTCTGGGCAGAGGAACCCTTGCAGTGGACACAGTTCTATGTCGAGGGCCAGCGTCCTGGGTTCCAGATTCTACTCTGCCTCAGCCCACTGTGGGATGCTAACAAGTTTCCACCCCTCTCTGGGCACCAGATGCCCCTCCATGAACACAGGCAGGGCCAGC
This sequence comes from Homo sapiens, assembly GCF_000001405.40. Taxonomy (NCBI): domain Eukaryota; kingdom Metazoa; phylum Chordata; class Mammalia; order Primates; family Hominidae; genus Homo; species Homo sapiens. The sequence goes on from NC_000006.12 coordinate 34,030,604, forward strand.
GCTATGAGTGTACAACCTGTGCAGTCACCCAGGGGCCTGTGCCTAGCTCTCAGTTTAAGGTCCTTCTGCCACCATATTGAATCGTGGATAATTTCTGAACAGTGGGCCCTTCGTTTTCATTTTGTGCTGGGCGCTGAAAATTATATAGCCAACTCTCAACACAGGCATGGGCACAGTCATTGGTATTCTCTTCTATATTGTTTTTCAGCCTAGGAGCCTTTCTGCGAACAAAATTCAAGGGATATAAATAGATCAAAACCCTCCCTCCCAGCATGGGCCCTGGGGGCTCCTCTAGCCATCCCCAGCTGGGAGGTAGGCCCTGTACACAGCAGGAGTGGGGCTGCCCACCGCCAGTTCTGCTCCTTGCCCCAGGGTGTGGAATTTGAGCCCCACCATGGGAGCCTGCCTCTGGGTCAGACATTGTTTCTGGAGCCCCCTCTGTGAAGGTACACATGGCCACCAGGAGGTGGTAGCAGGTTAACCCTTATCAGAGAAACAGTGGTCCTCTAGACCCCAGCAGGCACTCCCGAGGGGCTGAACCCAGGCACCAGGAAGGTCCTAAAGGGAGGTAGAGCGAGAGGCGGCCTTCGGGCTATGATCTCCCCTCCTCTCCCACCCACCTGCCTCTTAGCCCGCTGGTGCCTGAACTCCCACCATCCCTGCTCTCCTGTGTGGATGGGCCCTCACTGCACTCCATCCTCCATGAGGAATCCTGCATTCAACCTCACTAGTCATGTGCTCCCCATGGTGAAGGAGCTTGTCTGAGCTGAGTTTGATACAGGAGGACAGAGGACACCTGGGGTGAGGATAGGGCACAGGAAGGAGCAGCTGTAGATGTGGATGATGAATTTCCTGCTTTCGTGCTAGGCCTGGTGGGTACAGGGTTCGAGGGGCCCCAGTGGGGGCACCAGGGAGCTCTGCCTGCCTTGTGCTTCTGCCGGCTGACCCTGATAGGAACCAAGATCCTCCAAATCTGTACAAACCAGACAAATAAACTTCCCCACACCCTGATTGCCTCTGCAGCCACGTCCTGCCCAAGCATGACTGAGCAGTAACCCCACGTAGTGGAGAAAGCCCGCTCAGTGTAATTCCAAATGGCTGTGGTGTTAAGCCCTGGAAATCCGGGCTAAGGCTGGGAAATCCAGCCGCCTGCTCACCAGAGTGGCACAGACAGCTTCACTCTGTGACAGCACCTGAACCCTGGGGGAACGGGTGCAGCTGAGCATGTGCAAGTGCGTGTGTGCATACATGCATGCCTGCTCACACACACATCAATATACACGTACGTACCTGCATTGACACATACACCTGACCTCACAGCTGCACATTTGCATCTGACTCAGCTGGGCTCTCTCTCTCTCTCTCTCACACACACACAAACACACACACACACACACCTCTTCACACATGGGTACACACATATACATAGACACAAATGTACTCACACATCTACACACATCCACCTGCACACACTCACTAACATTTGCACTCACACATCTGCACACTTGTGTGCACAAACACTCCTGGGCACATATGCTCAGCCTACACATCCATACACACACCAGCAGCTACATACCCTTCAGCACACCCATCAACCCATCCCCGCTTAATCTGCATGCACATGGGCACACACCTGTGCACACACACCACACATGCACCACTGAGCATGTACATGCACAGAAAGGCACACACACGTCTATACACACACACCTCTGTAGGCACACCACAACTCCTGACAACAGCCACACCCCGCTTGATCTACATGCAAACACACACACTTAGCAGCCAGACCTGCAGCTTGCACTGGGGCATCTTGCAGCTCGGCATGACATGGCCCAGACACAGCCCCAGGTTGCCTGAGTCTCTAAGAAGCCTGGTAGTCTGAACCGCAGGAACTTCAGAACACATGTCCTCCACCGCCTCCCGTTCAGAGGCCCAGAGTGGGAGAGGTGTATGTCCCATGTCCTAGGCCACCAGGGAGAGAGCACACTGGTGTGAGGCCAGCCTGTCGTATGACCTGGGACAAGTCCCTGTCCCTCTCTGGGCCTATGAACTGATCATCTCAGGGACTCCCTTCATAATCAGGGCTGGCTGGGGGAGCCTCCTAAAAAGGCAGGAATCAGAGGCTGGTAGGTCACCTGCAGAGATTGAAAGGGTAGGGAGGCTGAGTTGGGGGGCTGGGTTGCAACATCTGGAGACTGGAGAGCCTGATATCCTGGGATGACAGGGACCCCACTGGGGAGTGGGCTGCTGGCAGGCAGCCAGGGGGAAATATGGCAAGGTGGAGGGAGGGGCTTAACCATCACGTGTGGGCCTCCCAGCCAGGTACCTTTACTCCCTGAGGAGGTGTGGGAAGGGGCCTCCTGGTATTGTTGAGGGTAATTTCTCAAGCTGCCAGTTTCCTGGGGTATGGGATGGCCTCCCTGCTGGCTCCATGGGGCCCATGAGCATTGAGAGGCGTGAGGGCCTCTGCCTGCACCTGCGCTCAGCAGGGAGGGTCTCCCACAGCAGGCCTGGTGGAGGCCAGAGACCCAGCTCACAGCATGGGCCGGGCGCCATGGCTGCACCAGGGCTGCTTGGCTCAGGCTTGCAAGGTGGGATCCCCCTGCTGAAGCAGACCCAGTCTCAGATCTCAGATCTTAGGACACTCACTGCCAGCCCCAAGGTCTGCCTCTTAGGGCCCCCACAGGGCCCCCATTGGAAGATGACCCTTGAGGAGCTGTTGGAAAAGAGGTGGGCACCTACCAAGGAAGTCCCAGGGCATGAGGTATCCCAGAGCTGCAGGGGGGAAGGGTGTGCTGGGGATGGGGGGGTGCTCCTAAGTTAGACAAAGTGGGGACAAGTCCAGCTGTGCCACCAAGGCAAGTCACTCCCCCTCTCTGTGCCCCTGAGTCCTCATCTGTAAGCAGGGGATGATGAGACCTCACCAGCTGCCATGGGGCCAAACGGCCGTTAGGTAAACTGTCTCCACATGACGAGCACCCCATCCCATGGCTGCCTCACTGAAAACTAGGCAACCCTGGGAGCTCAGACTGGCGCTCACAGCTCGCTCTTTCTTTCTCTCTCTTTCTTTCTCTTTCTCTCTCTCTCTCTCTTTCTCTTTCTTTCTCTCTCCCTCTCTCTCTCTTTATTTCTTTTCTTTTCTTTTTCATGAGATAGACTGTCACTCTGTCACCCTGGCTGGAGTGCAGTGTCACAATCTCAGCTCACTGCAACCTCCGTCTCCCAAGTTCAAGCATTTCTCCTGCCTCAGCCTCCTGAATAGCTTGGACTACAAGCATAAGCCACCATGCCTGGCTACGTTTTTGTATTTTTGCTAGAGACAGGGTTTCACCATGTTGGTCAGGCTGGTCTCGAACTCCTGACCTCAAGTGATCCACCCGCCTCAGCCTCCCAAAGTGCTGGGATTATAGGCATGAGCCACCACACCCAGCCTTGGGCTCACAGCTCTAGATGCCAGGCTCAGGCTGACAACTCCTCAGATATGTCTCCAGCCCAGAACTTGCCCCTGAACTCCAGACTCCTATATTCAACCACTGACTTGGCAGCTGCATTTGGACGTCTAATGAGCATCCCAAACTTAGCATGTCCAAAGGACCCCTTCTCCTGCCCCTCCCAGGCTCCTCTCATTGTCTGCTCTTCCTTAGCATGGGAAACTCCTTCCTTCCTGATTGCTCAGGCCTCAAAGCATGGTGTCCTCCTTGACTCGACTGTCTCCTCGTCTCCCACCCAACGTGCCATCCATTGGAAACCTGACCAGCCAGTCTCCAGACAGGCCCAGACTCCCCCACTCCCCACTGCATCTGCTGGGGACACCCTCTCCTGCAGAGCATGACAGTGACCTTCTCACAGCTGCTCTTGGCAGCCAGAGGGTCCTTTTCAACCTACATCAGATAGCACCCTCACCTGCTCAGAAGCCTGCAGCGGCCTCTCTTCTCACTCATGGTAAAAGCCAATGTCATTGCCACCATCTGGCCTGTCACCTCTCTGATCTCGTTCCCCACTCCTCTGGCTTCCTCAGCTCCACACTCCTTACAGTGTATTAACTGTTTGTGCACCCACTGTGTCATGTGATTGTGACAATACCTGGAAAGACTGCAGGGAAAGGGACATGGTCCCAATTTACTGATGAAGAAACTGAGGCCAGGGAGGCCAACTGGCTTGCCCAGATCCCACACTTATACATGGCACTCAGACCAAGACCTGGGTCCTTGGTGCACCTTGATGCCCTGCCTTCAGTGACTCCCAGTACTTCCAGATAACACCCCCGAGTCACCCAGCCAGCACCAGGACTGGGATGTGGGCCGAGCATACAGGTCTCTTGGGGTGTGCCCAGGTCCTCGGACCAAGCCAACAGGAGGCAGAGGTAGCCACTCTGCAACTCCAGCCAAGGGAAGGAAAGGCCCTCTGCCAGCCCCTAGCCTTTAGGCTTCCAGGGCAGCTTGGGGCTGGGGAGAGAAGGGGGGTCCCATGGGGATCTTGTGAGGGGTAGATGGAGGAGGGAGAAGAGAGGAGTGAACCAAAAGGAAGACAGGGTTGAGTAGGGAGAGAGGTAAGAGAAAGGAGTCTAGAAAAGAATGAAGAGTGAAGGAGGGTACAGCGCTCCAGGCTTATGGAGGGGGGAAGGGGTGAGAGAATAGGAGGAGGAAAGAATGAAAGGAGATGGGGTAAGGGCAGCAGGGATGGAGAGACAGGGAGAAAGAGGAGGAGGGGGAAGGAGAACAGGGGGAGGATGGAAAGAGGGAGTAAAGTGGGGCTGAAGGAGACAAAAGGAGGAGAGAAAAAAGGAGAGATGAGACAGAGAGAAAGGGGGAGAGAGAAGAGGGAGAGGGGCAAAAACAGAGAAAGAGGAGAGAAAACCCAGAACCCAGAGAGAAAACTTGCAGCTGGGAGAGAAGGCAGAATGAGGCATGAAAGAAGGCAGAATGAGGCAAGAAAGAAGGCAGAATGAGGCATGAAAGAAGGCATTTCTGGAGCAGGGGGGAGGCCAGCCAGCCTCAGGAGGCTGCCCCTTGCTCACTGCCCTCACCTACCCACCGTCCACCCCCGGCCCCCACCACTCACCTTGTCGGCCGACTGCGAGGTGCCAAAGAAGATGGGGATGAAGGCCAGCCAGACGATGCAAGTGGTGTACATGGTGAAGCCAATGGGCTTGGCCTCATTGAAGGTCTCGGGCACGCCGCGTGTCTTGATGGCATACACGGTGCACGTGACCATGAGCAGCATGCTGTAGCCCAGCAGGCAGATGAGCGACAGGTCCGAGATGTCACACTTGAGCACACCCCTGGCGAAGCGGGGGTCGAGTGTCCGCTGGTCCTGGAAGTCCACCACCGAGTGGGAGGGGTCCACCACAAACCACACACAGATGCCCAGCAGCTGCAGCGAGATGAGGCTGAAGGTGATGGCCAGCTGTGAGGCGGGGCTGATGAAGCGTGGGGCACTGACCGAGCGCTTGCCCTGCTCGAAGATGCGGTAGATGCGGTTGGTCTTGGTGAGCAGGGCTGCATAGCTGATGCTCATCCCTAGTCCCAGGAAGATTCGGCGCAGCGAGCAGGTGCCAAGGTCGGGCTCAGCGATCATGAGGAAGGTGGTGGCATAGCACAGGAAGATGCCTGCCAGCAGCACGTAGCTCAGTTCACGGCCCGAGGCCTTGACGATGGGCGTGTCGTTGTAGCGCACAAAGGTGATCACCACGAACAACGTGGCAGCGATGCCCACCACGGCCAGGAAGAGGGGCAGCACGGCCCAGGGCGAGCCCCACTCAAGCTTGATGATGGGGATGGGCCGGCAGCCCGTGCGGTTCTCTGTGGGCCGCATGTCATAGGGACACGTCTTACAGGTGTAGCGGTCCACCTGGTACTGGTACCCTGTGCAAGGCTCGCAGTGCCAGCAGCAAGGCATGCCCTTCACTGTCTTCTTCCGCTCACCCGGTTGGCAGGGCAGGCTGCAGATGGAGCGGGGCAGCTGCTGCCCGCTCCCCGGCCAGTGCATCCGCTCTATCTGGCAATGACAGCACCGTAAAGCAGGCCTCAGAACATGCCACCCGGTGCCCCGGACCATCCTACTGGGTGGTGGCACCTTGTAGCCCCACACTCAAATCACCCAGCTAGTTGGCTAAAAGTCCAGCTGCCCGGACCCCACAGGGACTTACTGAATCTAACAGCTGGAGTTAAAAAAGGTCTCCGGCATAACTCAGACATAATTGACCTACAGGGAATCCTGACTGAACCCGAAACTCTCAAGACTCATATGAAGAAACTGAGCCCAGAAAGCAGTAGTGACAACCTAGAGTCACAGGAAACAACAGTGCAGAGCAAAGAGAACTCAAGAGTCCTGACTCTTAGCCCCTAAGGCCTTGCTGCTCACAGTGGTCCCCAGGGCGGCAGCAGCAGCCTCACCCAGGAGCTTGTTGGAAAGGCAAATTCCAGCCCCATCCCAGACCTACTAACTCAGAATCTGAGTTTCAGCAAGACCCCCAGATGATTCCTGTGCACACTGGAGTGGAAGATGTGCTGCCCTACGGCCCAGCCCAAGGCACCTCTGCCAAACAGCAGGGAGTTGGATTCAGCAGAGAGCTGAACAAAGGTTTAATCAGAGGATGCTTAATGTGTGCTCAGGGGTTAGCATTTCTTTACATCTTGCTCTAAATTAGTGCTACCCACAGTTACACGTCCCTGAAGACACAATGACTGTGAGCAATAGAGCCACACGAGTGTTGTCACACCCTACTGAATATGTTACAATATTCTGGAAAGTGAGAGTCCCAAAAGAGTCTCAGGCATCAGGCAAAGGGACTTGACTACACCTGGGAGCTGTATTCAAAGCGACTGTTCTAAATAAAGTGTCTCTTAGGAAGTGCTCACTCTCAGAGCACAGCAAGCCTGGCTAGACTGGTGCATTTGCACTGGGTGCTACCTCCTGATAAAGTGTAACTAGCTGGTTGGGGGGTGTGGGGAGGGCTTTAGAATAAAGGAAAAGGGGCCAGGCATGGTAGCTCAGGTCTGTAATCCCAGCACTTTGGGAGGGCAAGGCGGGAGGATCATGAGGTCAAGAGATCGAGACCAGCCTGGCCAACATGGTGAAACCCCGTCTCTACTGAAAATACAAAAATTAGCTGGGTGTGGTGGCGTGCACCTATAATCCTAGCTACTCAGGAGGCTGAGGCAAGAGAATGGCTTGAACCCAGGAGGTAGAGGTTTCAGTGAGCCAAGATCATGCCACTGCGCTCCAGCCTGACGACAGAGCAAGATTCCGTCTCAAAAAAAAAAAAAAAAAAAGAATAAAGGAAAGGGGTAAGGTGGGTAAGTAGGGATGCCTCGTGGCAAGGTAGGAAGAAAACCTCAAGGTAGAAGGTTGTCCTGTGGCTCTGGGCATGACAGGATGTGGATTAACTCAGAAGCCAAAGCGCACAGAGCAAGGACAAGTGCCACCTGTCCTGCAGGAATGTGGAGGCGAGACGGTCCCTGTGGACTGCAGCTGTGCAACTGCAGGGGAAAGACCCTTCCCCAGAGGACACGGGGCGATGGTGAGTGTTCCGGAAAACTCTGTGATTCAGATGGAAAGAGCAGTGACTGAGGTCAAGTCCTGGGATCACAGTTCTGTTGCTACCTGGCTGTGCGTCCTTGAGCAAATGGCTTCTCCTCTCTGAGCCTTTGTTTTCTCATCTGATCCAATGAAAGCAGATATGAAGCCACTTTGCCCTTTGTTACTTGGAGTGACCTCCATTTAGAAGTCATAATGGATATACTTTTTAATATTTCACTAGAACGTCAGCTCCATGAGGGCAGAGGCATTGTGTTAACTTCCCTGCTGTGTCTCCAGCCCTCAGCACAGGCTGGCACATAGTAGAGGCCCAGCAGGTCTCTGTGGAATCTATGAAAGAATAACTACACAGGCAAGAAGGTCCAGGGTACCAGTGATGCGACGCCGCCACACCCTGAGACCCTGGAGGAGGACAGTAGCCAGGTAGGTGGTTACAGGTACCTTGCTTGCTCTGTGGCCCTCACAGCACAGCCCAAACTGAGCCACTCACGGAGAAAGTGGGGAAGGTTGATGGTTAAAGTCCAACCCCATCTCACCTCCCCCCACCACCTCAGCTCTGTCTGGGCCTTACAGGTGAGGAGGACTAAGAGGGCATTGGGAGCTGCATCAGAATGGGCCATGAAGACGGTCTGGCCGGTGGAGGGGCCTTGTATTCCTGGGGAGGGGACTTTCAGGGGAAGGGCCCACTGCCACCCACACGTGCCCAGTCCCTGCCACCTTCAGTTAGGACATCTGGAAAATGGGGATAACTGCCTGCCTCACAGAGCTGTCATCTTCACAGCAAGGGGACGTGCTTAGAGTAGCAGCTCGGACACAGCAGGTACTCAGTAAGTGCTAGCTGCTGCCGCTAGTGAGTTGCAGTCCCCGGCCCCCGTGCTCTGCCCACTGCACCAAAACAAAACGGGCACATCGACTTGGTGTTATCCCACTTTGCCAAGTGCTCCTCACACCCTGTTGTGCCCATCGCTCTCCACACAGCAATCCAAGGAGCCTCATTTAGGAACAGGCTGTTCCTGCCACACGGTGTGGCCTTTAGGAGAGTCCTTCTGCCTCCCCAGGGCTGGTTTTCCTGGGAGATTTCCTCTGACTTAGAAGATAAGGTTGGGCTAAATAAGACTGCAGGCCAAGAGTGCTTTGAAGAGCAGAGCACGAGGGGTTCCTCGCTGGAAGAGATTATGACAAGAGGAGACGGCGGGGCCTCGATGCAGCACCCACGGGATCCCAGGACAAGGAGAGTGGAGGCCAGATGAGGACCTGTCTCTGAGTCTCTCCAGTCTATCCACGGGGTCACAGTGGGCCCACCCCGGTTATGGCTCACCCCTTCCCCTTGCAAGGTAGAGACCAAGTCCACAAGCACTTTGTTGAGGAACAAACCAAAGGTCCTTTCTCTCCGAAAACACTGCTCTGTTTCACAGCTGGGATACTGAGGGCCAGAGAGGGAAAGTCACCACATCCGTGGGACATTCCATGAGCTAGGAAAGCGTGGCTAGGAGGACCCAGAAAAATGGCTGCCTTCTATCGTGCTTTGATGGGGCTGGGGAACTGGCAACTGGCTCACTACCCACCAGTCAGTGGCACAAATCCCACCGTTCAACCTGGGTCCTTTGCCTTAAGACTTCCTCCTTTGTCCAAATGCAGCCCTCCCCCTCCTCACCTTATTCCCCCATGCCCCCCCCATCACCCCCCACTTGCCCACCCAAAAAGCCTTTGAGCCATTTCACACTGGTGTGAATTCTTCTATCCAGAGTCCCCCCATCCCCTCCTCAGTGGGTAGCAGGCAAGAAGGCCCCAGGCTAAGGGAGGGGGCAGGGACCAGAATGGCAGCAGAACTCCGACTGCCCTGTCTTCCATTTCAGGGTGGGGGCCTCAGAGCCGCTGAGGTCTGGGAGAGGGCACTGGGAAGGAAGCCCCAGCCTGGCAGCAGCGGTCCTGGAGGTCAGGGCTAATCAGCAGCAGCCTCCCCTTGGGCCCCCCTCCCAGGGGCTGGAACTGCGTGAGTCACTCTCCACCCACTCCCTGCCCTCCCACTTACTCTAAGGTGCAGGTGGTCAGTCCAGGAGCCAATGACCTTGTACTCGGCAGAATCGTTGCGCAGCTGGTATTGGTAGATGTCATAGCGCCCAGGCGCATCTCCATTCTCATTGAAGGTCACAGGGTTCCCTGCGATGCCTGTAAGGGTGGGCGGGTGTCTTTGCAGAGCCTTTACCCAGAGGCAGGGCGGATGATGAGCCTGGGGCAGAGACCTCTCTGACACACCCATTCATGGAACATTCTGGGAGATTTCACCTCTTGGAAACATCAGGAGAGGCCTCCCATTCCCACCCCACAGAGCCTAAGGGCCCCTCCCCTCGGGCATGGCCCAGGATACCCAGGGTCAGGCACAGTCCGCACCACACCCCCACCTGAGAAGTTGACGTTTCGGATGTACTTAAGCAGCTGGGTGCCATCTACAGGGTCCATGCGCGGGCAGAGCCCCACGCGGCCGGGACACAGGTCACGGTGCATGGCGTGCAGCGCGTGGCCCATGGCGTACACGGCATCGATCACAAACTGCACCTTCCCCTCCTGCTCATAAGCTGAATCCTGCCCAATTCGCTCACGGTCTGCAATGAAACACCAGGAACAGGGACACTCGTGAGGCCCACTGTCCTCACAGTGGTGTCATGGGGGCCAGACCACCCTCTGGCCACCTGGAGAAGTGGCACGGCCCATCTGTGCATGGCCAGGCCTCCTGACTCCCAGCCCAGTGCTCTATCACCCAGGAGATGGCCCTGTGGAGGTGCCTGGAGACAGGCCCATGGGTGTAATGGGAGGGTCCACCGGCCTGGACACCGTACCACTGATGCCTGTGCCACCCAAGGTCCCAGAATATCCAGGGCAGACTACCTTGTCACCTTTCACCATGGAAGGCAGTGTCCCAGAGGTCTCCCTGTGGCTGTGGCCCTTGTTGCCTTCCCCCAAGCCTGGCCTGGGATAATCTTGAGAGCAGCTGCCCCTCTCGAAGTCTGGGAAACAGCCAGGACAGGGGCTATGTCCATCAATGAGGGGAGTGTCCTTAAAGCCACTCACCCATGGGCAGTTGCTCCAGCCAGAGGATGTTGCCCTCACCCCAGGGTATGGGTAGGGAAACTGAGGCCCAGAGAGGCTGAAAGACTGCCCTCAATGGTTTCTAGTCACCCTAAATACCAGAAGTCACCATTGCCCCATCCATCCCTCTTCTACCTCAGGGACAACCCTCTTGTCCCCCAGTGGCAAGGATAAGTGAACTTTGCAAACTGAGAAACCCATCCCCATGGGCTTCTCACTGCTAATTGCAATGACTCCCCAAGGCACCGTGACCTGGGGTCTGACCTCCCATCCTCCTCCCCTCCCCTCCGTGTCCACTGACCTCTGCTCTGGGGCCCTGTGCAGCCTCCTTGGTTGTCCACGTCAGCAAAAAGGGGATCATGATCCCACCTCACAGAGCTGCCATGAGGCTTCCATGAGATAAGGTACCGAAAACACTTGACAGCCAGCAGATGGCTCGTCCACAGTGTCCTATGTGCTAAGTGGGCAGAACAGGGGCTTCCAAGAGGGCTATGGAGGTCCCTGGGCTGGAGCAGGTGGGACGACTTTGTGGAGGGGAAGGTGGTTCTTGGCCTGGGCCCTGGGTAATCATGATATTAGATAACATATTGAATAACAACAATAACATTAAGTAAGTAACTTCCACCAGTACTTGCTATGTGTCAGGCATTGTACGGAACTCTTGATGTATATTCACTCATTGATTTCTCACAACAATGCTAAGGTGTAATCACCTCCATTGTAGAGATGAAGAAACTAACTGGGCATGGTGGCTCACACCTGTAATCCCAGCACTTTGGGAGACTGAGGTGGGTGGATCACTTGAGGTCAGGAGTTCAAGACCAGCCCAGCCAACACGCTGAAACCCCATCTCTACTCAAAATACCAAAATTAGCTGGGAACATCAGGAGAGGCCTGATGGGAGGTAGCTGTAATCCCTGCTACTCAGGAGGCTGAGGCACAAGGATCACATGAACCCGGGAGGCGGAGCTTGCAGTGAGCTGAGATTGCACCATTGCACTCCAGCCTGAGCGACAGAGTGAGACTCCATCTCAAAAAGAAACTGAAGCCCTGAGCACAGAAAAGCTCAGTAACATTCCACGACTATGAAAAGCTGATGTGAACCCAGGTACTCCAACTCCAACCCTGAGCACCACACTCTGCCACACAGGGATGCAGGTGGGCAGGAATGTGGGGAGGGGACCAGGGATCTGAAGTGAGGACATGGCAGGAGGATGGCTGGGAGGAGGAAGGGGGAGGATGGGCAGAGATAGGGAAGCCTGGATTCCCCTCCTAAGACCACAGCCCTTGCATACAGCATGGCCTTCTTCCTCAAGGACAGGACGAGGAAATTACTCCTCCTATCATTCTACTCCTAGCCCGTGCCTCTCAGCTAGAGGGCACATGCCACACTGCACAGAGGCAATTCCCCAGAGGGCAGCAGGGTGCACACCTGCACCTGTGTCCTGCCCCCATAGGCCAGGGTTAAGCTGGGTCCACATGAGGCAGTGATTCCCCGGGGACTCCAGAGGTCACTGTGTCCAGCCCCCTGCCTTGGACACCCTGAAGGCAGACCCAGGGTGCAGGGGATCTCACTGCCTCTCCCTGAGGCAGTACCCTCTAATCCCCTCACACCCTCTAATCCTGGCCACACCAGTGGCCACACCCACACAAGGATGTGGGGATGGGGGATAGCTGGCCTGGTCGCTCATTAACCCTGCCAGCCAGAACCACATCCCATTTTCAGCCTTCCTCAGGGTAGGTACTCAGATATTGCTGAGTGGACAGTAGAAACCATAGAACCACAACACTAGGGACACCAGGACCACGGGGGTCATCTGCCCCCGCTGCCATTTTAAAGACAAGAAAACTGAGGCTGGTGGGAAAGCCCAGGTCACATAGCCAAGGGCGACAGGATGGGCACTTCCAGCTTCTAGACCCCACCCCTGCTCCATCCCAGGCTGCATTTGACTTGGGTCGTGTCTGCTAGCTTTGCTAACCAGCAACACTTTTTCCAGGCCAAGGCACAAACAGACAGGATGAACACAAAAGACAGCTTCACCATCCTGCCTTGTCCAAGGCCTCTGATCACAAGGTCACGAGGGCCTAGGGAGAAATGGAATGGACGATCCCATCCCCAAAGGACATAGAGAAGGCTGGGACAGTGTCGCCTGGAAAGACCCTCCCTGGACCCACACTTGCTCCCCGCAGGCCCCTAGGCCCTTCCCTCTCCAGCCTGAAGAAGCATAAAACACTACTTGACTCCCCCACAGCTCCCATCACACCCTCATCTCATATGGATGAGAGACTAAATTATTAACCAGGGATGGAGTGGGAGGCTACGGCCGCTGCAGAGAGAAGGCAGCTCTCTCTCAAGGCCAAGGACGCACCCAGCCATGGGAGGCTAGCTGGATCTCTGGGGAAACACACCTCCCCCAGGAGGCTGGCCTCAGCCTCTCCTCAGAGGCTCCCGCTGAAGCATCCACTCCTGGGCCACTTGGGCTCGGGGCCAAGTGCTCTCTCTGGGGTCACGAAGCCATCAGTATGGATGCTAGTGTGGATATCCCGCAGGAGCCCCCTCACCAGGGTAACCTGCCTCCACCCAGGGCAGCTCTGGGGGAAGGGCTCCAGAGTGCTAGGCCTCGGGTGCTGCCCTTACAGAGCATCCATCCCAGTGCTGTCACAGCAGCGTGGACTTCTAGCAACTTCTCAGCTCCCTGTGGCCTCCTGGACTTTTGTCTCAAGTCTACCCCCAGTAGCATATGGAAAGACTGGGGTGCAGTGAAGTGACCAGACCAGGAGGATGCCCACCACACACATACACACACACACACATAGACATACATACATACACATATATACACAGACACACACACACACATAGACATACATACACATATATACACAGACACACACACACACATATACATACATACACATATATACACATACACACACATATACATACATACACATATATACACACACATATATATACATACATACACATATATACAGACACACACATACACACACAGAGACATACATACATACACATATACACATACACACACACATAGACATACATACATACACATATATACACAGACACACATACACACAGACATACATACATACACATATATACACAGACACACACATACACACACATAGACATACATACATACACATATATACACAGACACACACATACACACAGACATACATACATACACATATATAGACACACACACAGACATACATACATACACATATACATAGACATACACACATACACACACAGACATACATACATACACATATATACAGACACACACACAAACACACAGACATACATACACATATATACACAGACACAGACACACACATAGACATACATACATACACATATATACACGCAGACACACACACATATACATACATACACATATATACACAGACACACACACACAGACATACATACACATATATACAGACACACACACATACACACACAGACATACATACATACACATATATACACATACACACACATAGACATACACATACACACACAGACATACATACATACACATATATAGTCACACACACATAGACATACATACACATATATACATAGACACACACACAGACATACATACACATATATACAGACATACACATACACACACAGACATACATACACATATATACACAGACACACACACACATAGACATACATACACATATATACACATACACGCACACACAGATACACTGAAATAAACACACACACACCACACAGATACACACACACACCCCCACCACACCACACACACTCCTCAACTCTGACCTCAGATGCCTCAGGCCCTTCCCTTGTGCCCCACAGGAAACAACGACAGGACCTAGGTGACTCCCCTGGCGGGGTAGCGGGGCATGTAGGGGAGGGGTGGGGGATACTGCAGGAACCACAAACCCTCACTAAACAAGACAGGACGCTCTGGCCTAAATGAGCAGCTGCAACTATGCCTGTGACGGCAGCAGCTTTGGGCTCACACAACCCGGCTCCTCAGCAGGTGACTCTGCAGCCGTGGCTCATGCTTACCCAGAGCCATCGTGTGCCTGGCACCTCGCCTTCCCACAGCTCTGGGAGACAGGCTTCACTGGCCCCCTCACAGGGGAGGTAGCAAGGTTTGCAGGTGGGTGGGTGGCGTCCCAGAGCCTCACAGGAATCCTGGCACCAAGTAGGTGTTTGACACATACCTGTAGATGGAGCTAGCTCGGAAGTGGTGGGGCTGGGACTTGAACCCAGATGTCTTTGGTTGTCCAAAAAAGTCTTCAGCACCCTGAACTGCCCCTCCTCCATTTAGCCGCTGACCTGCCTCCTTCCCCACTGTCCTGCGACCCAGGCCCTGCCCCCATTGTCTGGCCAGGCCCAACCAGGGATTAAGGACTCCCTGTCTGCAGGTCTAGAACAGGAAGGTGGCAGTGAAGAGAAAGGGGTAGGAAAATCCCCTCTCATGGGTGGGCAGGAACCCCAGGACCAGGCAGGGGCACCGCAGTTCTGGGAGGAAGCAAGACATGCATTTCTGAGAGCTGTTGTAGGAGACAAATTCCAGACACATGGCAGTGACAGTAGCAACAGTTTGAAGATGTCCTAATTGTGTCCCGGGGCACAGTGAGGCAGAGATGCATTTGGCTCTGCCATGGGTGACAGTCAGCTGGGGAACCATCCAGGGAGGATTTTCTCTGTCAAAACCCCGAAGCGTGGTTACTACGGCGACTGCAGCCTTTGTCTGCAGGTTGTAAATTGTAATTGAAATGAGTTTTCAAGGTTGAAATAATCAGAGTCCTTCTCGTCTCCCCCCTCACTTCTCCACAACTCACCAGCCCAGCCACAATCCTCCAGTTCTAGCACTGGTACACACGTGCGTGCACACACATTGCTGAAGCAGCTCCCTCACGCCAGGGTAGACAAAATCCACCACACAGACACTCACAGGTATTCACATCTGCATGCATAGAGTAGCAAATACACAAACCTTCATGCATTTACACATGTCTACACACACATGCATGCTCTAACACAGATGTACATATAAATGCTTCTAATATAGCTACAGCTACACATTTAACACGACACTAATACAAACACATGGGCATTCAGATTCACCCACTGGCTTAGGCTGAGAAGTCCCCAAGCAGATGCTGAGGAGGAGTTGAGAGCAAGGGTTTTATTGGTGGGTGATGCCCGGAAGCATGAGGAGGGGACAGGGAGGTGAGGTGGGGGAGGAAAGTCAACTAATGCCAGCCTGTGGGGTTCCGTCCTGCTGGGGACCTCCAGGAGACCCTGCAAACTACACCTCAGCATTGTCCCATCCACAGGGATAAATGCTCCAGCTCCGCCAGTCCTAGGCTGAGGGCTGCTCTCAGGGGCATGAGCCCCATTGGTGCACACAGGGATGGTGAGTGCTGAGGGGTACGGCTGGGGCAGCGATAGCATCTGCTAAACATGCACTCATTCACATGTGCAGTCAAGCATCGATCCATGTCTACACCACACACCTACACAGATATAAACCTGCATTTACACAGCCTGTCTCCCAGAGCTGTGGGAAGGTGAGGTGCCAGGCACACGAAGGCTCTGGGTGAGCATGAGCCACAAATATACACCTACACCCGTTTTTGTCTCTTAAGCAAACTTCCAGGGAGTAGGGAGTAAAACAAGGGGGTCCCAGAACCCCATCAGAGGGCTGTCTGGTGTCATGGACCAAACAAACACACATGGCTCTGACTCTTGGCTGGGCCATGGCCCAGCTATACACTCTAGGCCAAGTATGGGAGTGTTCTAGTGCCTCAGTCTCCCAAGTGTGAATTCCGGATAGTAAGACTTACTTCGAGGGGCCACTGGGAGGACTGAGGGAGATGCAACACCATGTCTTGTGCACAGAAGTCCTCTCTCAGCCTCAGCTCTCCTTTCCTCCCTGACACGCCCCTGCTGGATGACACCCCACCCCTGGAGGCCTCCCCTCCATCCTGTCTGCAGCCTGGCTGGCACTGGCTCTAGTGCTGATTCTCCCCACTCCTTCCCCACCAACATGCGATGGGCGAGGGATGCCCACCGCATAGACAGACCCAGACCTAGCCCAACATATGGATGGGGTGGAGAAAGCTGCCACTCTGTGCTTCCTCAGACATTCAGTTCCTTCTGTCCCTCAAGTCCTGTTCCCGAGTCCAGGCTCACCATCCCACAAGCCCCCAAATTCCCAGAAGTCACCAGCCAGGATCTCCCTGGCCCAGAGTCACACGCTTGCTTTTCAGCCCTATACCGCAGTTTTGCCGGCCCCCTCCTCTCGAATTTTCATCCTCATCAAGTCGCCTGCCTTCCAGTCTGGGAATTTCTAACCCACTTGGCTGGGTCTCCTCCATCCCTAGCTCTGTCCCCCACAACTCAGCCTTGGCCCAACACCAACTCCTTCCAGTCCCAGTGAATGATGCATCCAGGTGTTTCGAGGGCTTAGTGGTTGGGCCAAAAGGGATCCCCATCTCAGTGATAAGGAAACTGAGGCCTGAGGAGGTGAAGCAGCTTACCCAGTGGGAGTCGATTCTTGACTCCCTCTCAAGTGTTCTTTTACAAGCTCCAAGAGCTCTGTGGTAGCATCGCCTGGGGCTCTTCAACCTTGAGCCAGCCACAGGCTCCTTTTGAAGGAAACCATTCTTGCAAACCCTCAAGAATATGACCCCAGCAAAAAAACACTAAGGAGAGAAGCTGAGAGCTTGGCTATGACAGTGAAGCCCAACTGTAAATGACCACAGCAGCAGAGAAGCCGTGTCTCTCAGACTGGGAGAGCTCACTTGGGGATGGCCATCAACATGAGAATGCAGACTTTAAGAATCCTCACGGCACTCCTGTGTCCCTGCGAATCTGGCCTCAAGAATGTGTCCTCAGATGTCCACAGACCTAGCTTTGAGAAACAGGATTCGAGCCCCAGGGTCTGGTGGGGCCAGCTGGAAACCCCCACTCAGCCCCTTGCTGGGCCTGGCAAGTCACTTAGCATCTATGAGCTTCAGGCCCCTCGTCTGTGAAGTAAAGCTGGCACCTGGGACTAGGCAAGGAGAGTCACACCTGGCGCCTGCACAGCCCCGTGCCCAAGAAGGATCAGCTCTCGACTCCTGCCTGGTTCTGAGGCCAACACACCTCGGCTGAGGAGCTGGGGCTCAGCTCTCCCACACAGGAGGGGCTGGGGCTGGGGGTGGGGGAACTCTGGGGACTGACTCTCAGGCAAATGTGGATGAGCCGCCCCTGCTAACAACTCCCAACGCAGACATCCCTCTCCCCCATTATTCAGCAGCCTCCCTTCAAGGAGCATCTAGCTTTCCACCTTACTAGGTGACAAGGTTTGGCTCTGTGTCCCCACCCCAAATCTCACCTCGAATCATAATCCCCACATGTCAGGGAAGGGACTTGGTGGGAGGTGATTGGATCATGGGGGTGGATTTCCCCCATGCTGTTTTCATGATAGTGAGTTCTCAAGAGATCTGAGGGTTTAAAAGTGTGGCACTTCCCCTCTCGCCTTCTCTCTCCTGTTCCACCATGGTAAGCCGTGCTTGCTTCCTCTTCGCCTTCCACCATGATTGTAAGTTTCCTGAGGCCTCCCAGTCGCGCTTCCTGTACAGCCTGCAGAACTGTGAGCCAATTAAACCTCCTGTCTTCATAAATTACCCAGTCTAAGGTAGTTCTTTATAGCAGCGTGAGAACAACTAACACACTAGGTCTTTCTCTTTAAGGTAGAAATACGAGGTCATTTCTCCGATTTAAGCAAACAAACAAATCCCCTCTCTTGACCCACCCCTCCCCAGCTAGCATCCCCTTTCTCTGTTCCTGCTTACAATGTAGCTCCTCATAAGAGGTGCCTCTGCTCACTGTCATCAGTTTCTCTCCTCTGTCTCCTGACCAACTCCAGTCTGGCTTTTGCACCCACCTCTCTAAGGAGACTGCTTTTGTGGAGGTCACAATCGCCCCCCAGGTGGCTAAATACAATGGCCCCGTCCAGCCCTTGTCTCACTTGGCCCCTGGACAGCATGTGATGGAGACAGTCACTCCCTCCTCCAGTCCTCTCTTTATCGCCGCCGGGACACCACGCTCTGGGCCCTGCTGCCTCCCAGGCTGCCCCTTCTCAGCTTCCATGCTGGCCCCCTTCTCTCTGCCCCCAACACTCCAGCATCCAGGGCTCACTGGGACCTCTTCTCTAGCCACACACACTCCTTGGTGCTCCCAGCCAGCCCCATCTGTACTCTGCCACCTCCCTAGTCACATGGCCACTCCAGCCTCTCCCTGACTCCAGCGCCTACTCCACAAGGCCACGTGGGTCCCAGCAGGCATCCCACTCTCCACATGGTCTCCACCAAAGCCCTGCCTTCCTTCCCAGCCTGCTCCTCCTCCCGCCCACCCCATCGTAGTGCGTGGCCATTTCATCCATCTCCTTGTTCCAGCAGAGAATGCTGAAGCCATCCTTGACTTTCTGTCATCTCTCTCTCACCTTCAATCCTTCCATAAACACCACGGCCACACTGCAAAGTTTACAAAGAATCTGACCCCTTCGCACCACCTCCATGACCACCACCCGCCCCAGGCCCATCATCCCCACCTGGATTACAGCACCAGCCTCCTAACTGGTCTCCCACTCTGCCCTCGCTCCCAGAGAGGAGTGAGCAGTTAGTGGCCCAGTGATCTCATTAGGACATAAATCAGGTAACGTCAATCCTCTTTCAAACCCTGCAATGGCTTGTCCCATTCTGCATAAAAAACTAAATCCTTACAAACTGCCCACAAGGCCCACATGATCTGCACTACCTGCCCGTTGCTCCCCCATGACCCTATCTCCTGCCTGTTGCTCTCTCTGCTTCAGCCACACTGGCCTCCTCATTGCTCCCCCAGGCTTGCCAGGCATGAGCCCACCCCAGGGCCTTTGCACTTGCTGAGCGCTGTGCCTGGTGTGCCCTTTCCTAGGTCTCCACATGGCTCTCTCTCTCACGGCCTTCAGGTGTTTGCTCCAGGATCACCCTGAAATCGTTAGGATGTTTGTCCCCTCCAAATCTCATGTCGAAATGTGATCCCCAGTGTTGAAGGTGGGGCCTGGTGGGATGTGTTTGAATCATGGGGGCGGATTCCTCATGAGTGGCTGGACGCCGTCCTCATGGTAATGAGTGAGTTCTCACTCTATTAGTTACAAGATTTGATTGTTAAAAAGAGCCTGGCTCCTCCTCCTCTCTTTCCCGTCTCCCTCCCACCATGACGGGAAGCCTCCTGAAGCCCTCACCAGAAGCAGATGCAGGTGCCACGCTTCTCGCACAATCTGCAGAAACGTGAGCCAAATAAGCCTCTTTTCTTTATGAATTACCCAGCCTCAGGTATTCCTTTATAGCAGTGCAAACAGACTAGCACACACCTTCTCACTGAGAACTTCTGACTTAAAAGTGCAGCATTCCTGTCCTCCCAGCACTCCCAGTTTCCTCCAAGAGGCCTCCAGGCTCTGCCTTCTCCACCCTCACAGTTAGGCCTTTTCTGGAGCCACAGCACTGACTGCCAGGCCACGCCACCATCCACTATACCTTGTCTGCAAGGCCACTCGCAGGACGGCTCCCCAGGGCAGGTCTGTCCCCCTCACTGAGCCCAACACAGAGCTGGCTGGGCACACAGTCAGGCTCTTCGTCTATGCTGTTGGTTTCTCAGTTGATGAGTGGGAAGCAGCACTGAGTGAAGGGCCAATGGTTTGAACAACTGTGAGTTCCTCTAATGGAGGCACGGCCTGGCACATAAAGGGTGCTTCCAAATGTTGGCCTTTCTTACTTGCCCAAGGAGGGAGGCTTCCTCAGGTTCTCTTCAGGATGCAGAGGTGGGAAGACCTTTCACCGGCAGGGTGGAGAAGCCAGGAGGGGCCTGGGGCTGGGATAGCACCTGGTCTAAGCAAAATGTCTCTGGAGCCAAATGGTCGGATTCAAACCCTAACTCTGTGTGACTCTGGGCAAGTCCCTAACCTCTCTGTGCTTCAGTTGCCTCATCTGTAATGTGGGTTGCTCCAAAAATTAAATGCAAAATACTGGAACAGAGCTTGACAATTAATAAATGCTATATAAATATTAGCTGTGATTATGTTTTCACTATTATTGTTGTCACTGCTGGTAGCACAGGCTGGGTGACTGGCATCTCCCCACACACCCCCAGCCACCATGCAGCTGCCCTCCCTCTCTGAGCTCCCAGCCCCTGTGTGCAGCAGGCAGTAAATTTTTCCTATCTCCTTATAAACCAGGCCTTCCTCCGCTCAGCCGTCACCTGGCTGGCAGCACTGTCAAAAAGACGGATGCCACATCTGCCTTGTTTACGACTTTAATTCCCAAACCCTGTTCTTTGGGCTCCCAGGGAGGGCCTGGGAGGAAAGGAGGAGGCAGGCGCTATCTTCCCGTAGGCTTGACAGCTGCAGAGATGCCCCTCTTGGTGACCCCAGCTCACTGAGGTTGGGGGGATCCACAGGCCATCTGCAAGTGCTTCCTGCAGATAAGCTCCCATCACTTCCTTGGAAGCCATGAGGGAGGTAGCACTCTGCTGGGGATGGAGCTCTTGGGAGAATGGGAGGGGATAATATAATTCCCATTGCACAGGTGAGGAAATCGAGGCCCCCAGAGGTGAGGTAACCTGCCCAAGGCCACGTGGCTGGGAAGTGGCAGCACCAGCATTCACACCCAGGTCTGCAGGACTCTAATAGCCGTATGCTTGAGAAAGAATGAGTGCTCCACCATACATCCAACCCTGACCCCTTCAGCACACACCAGTCCAGCCTCCAGCTGCCAGCATGTGCCACCCTTCTGAGGCTTTCTTGGGCACAGGAGCCCTCTCTGCCCAGGCACTTGGCAGGCTGGAGGTGCCAAGGAATTAATGGCCTCTCGGAGCATCCCTCCACCAATGCCTGATGGGGCACACACACACCCCGGCTCCCTCTCGCTCTCTGTGTGATGACTGAGAGGTCTGTTCCTCTGTCCCAAGAGGATTAAGCTCCAATTGTTCACAGTGGCAACCAGCTTGATCTCACACCCTTCATCTCTGCTTTCTCTCTTCTTTCCTGGAATCCCCTCCTAAATCAGCTACTTGCTATCAAATCCTCTTCTTGGGGGAACTCCACTTCAGACAGCATTGAAGGATGAATGAAATCTTCCCAAGTGTAAGATCCCAGGATAAGGGTCCTTCCCACCCTCTTGGACGGTCACCAGGCCCATCCATCACCTGGGGTGGGAAGGAATGGATTTGGCAAAGGACCCAGGAGTGGCACTTGCTCTCCGTGAGACCTTGAGCAGGGCAGGCCTGTGGGACTGAAACAGAGGCCGACTATGGAATGTGAGCACCCGAGAGAACAGAGTGAGCTGATCCTAAAGAAGTGAGGGGGAAGCTAGACTCTGGAGACAGAGTGGGGGCAGGTGGAGAATAGGTCTCGGAGACCACAGAGCATGCCTGGGCTGGCTGAGGGCAAGAGAGAGGGGCCCTGGAGGAGTGAGAGGGAAGGAGGGGAAGGGCAGGGGTGGGCACTGGCTTGACAGCCAGGCTGCCTGGGTGTGAATCAGCTCTGACAACTCTCTAGCTCTGTGATAGTCACAAGTTGCCTCAGTTTCCTCTTCTGTAAAATGGGAGTTGCATCTGTGACCATCTATACTACCCACCTTCAGGATGGCACATTCTTTCCTCCGGGATTTTACAGCAGACAGACAGAATTGGTACCAACAGACTTGGACTATTAGATTACCCAATTGCCTGTCTAAATCCCAACTCTCCCACTTCCTCTCTGTATCAGCAATAACAATCATTTTATCAGCACCTATCATACACATCATTCTCAGCCAGCCTCCTCACACGCTTATCTCTAAACCTCACAGCTCACTGAGATAGCTGTTGCCTTCCCTGATCTACTGACAGCAGCTGAGACTCAGAGAAGTTAGATAACTTGTCCAAGGTCACACAGCAGGGAGGAGGCAGAGCCAGACTCAGACCCAGGGGTGGGTCCTTCCCCTGCCCCTGCTCCCAGCTCTCTGTGGGTGTCACTCCAGCCCTCCTGGCCTAAGGCCTTCTCCTGTGGGACAGGCTCAGCTCAGGGGCAGGACCATGGGGAAACCAGAGCTGCCTGCCCCTCCCCCCAGGGTCTCAGGTCCCACAAACATTCCCAGCAGCCCCCTCACCCGCCCCTCACCTCACCCAGAGATAGACAGAGAGGCTCACAGCGCCTGGCCTGGGGCCACACAGGGACTCTGACCTGTCTCTGCTGGGGCTCCCAGTGCAGCAGGAAGGATTCGGGTCAGCTGAGACATACCGCGTCTAGAGCCCCTGCCCTTTTGCTCATGCCTCCTCACCTGTTTAGGGCGCACGCCTGATTTAGGGCACCCTCCTGATTTAGGAGGGGCGTCACCCACCCTTCCCTCCAAGCCAGAGGCTCGCAAACTTTGCTGCATAGTAGAACCACCTGGGGCACTTCAAAAAATCCTGACGCTCAGGTTGCATCCAGTGCAAATTAAACCGGAATGTCTAGGGTAACCGTATTTTTAAAAGATCCCCAGGTGATTCATTGTGAACAAAGCTTGGAAACCACTGCTCCAGCCCTAAACACACATTAAAATCACCTAGGGAGCTTTGTAAAAATCCACGGCCTAGGCCCCACCCCTAAGGTTCTGATCTAGTTGGTCTGGGGGTGGCGCCCTGGTATGGTGTTAAAAGCTCCCAGGTGACTCTAACGCACCTCCAGGCTTTACAGCTGCCACTTACAGATCAGGAAGTGCCTCCATTAACGCTTCACTTCCTTCTGGAGACACCCTCTGGGCTGGCTCATCAATCCCGTTGCTCAGATGAGAAAGCAAAGGCCCAGAAAGGTTGTAGAGCTTGCCTCAGGCTCATGGGAAAGCTCTGTGCTCTTTTTTTTTTTTTTTTTTTGAGACAGAATATCACTCTGTTGCCCAGGCTGGAGTGCACTGGCACAATCTCGGCTCACTGCAACCTCCACTTCCCCAGGCTCAAGCAATTCTCGTACCTCGGCCCCCCGAGTAGCTGGGATTACAGGTGCCCACCACTAAACCCGGCTAATTTTTGTATTTTTAGTAGAGACGGGGTTTCAGCATGTTGACCAAGCTGGTCTTGAACTCCTGACCTCAGATGAACTCCGCCCGCCTCGGCCCCCCAAAGTGCTGGGATTACAGGCATGTGCCACCACGCCCAGCCGAGCTCTGTGCTCTTCTGAACCCTGCTCCAGTCCTCCTTCCCCACCTGAGCTGACAATCAGACCAAACGCCTCCCTTAGGACTGCTGGAGAGTTTCTTGAATCCTGCCCCAAGGACTAGGAGTCTGGACAGAGCCTACAGGAACTGACCAAAGCCTTCTCCCCTCCTGTCCCTCTCAAAGAGAAGATTCCAGAAAGCCCTTCCCCTTGACAACCCAGACCCCTCGACAGCCTAGGCACTGGGTCCAGGAGGCACCAGCTGTCCATCTTGCCACCACTTCCAGTCTTTCCACCCCATCCCCACCTCATCCATCCCCACCCTCACCCCTGATCTGATCTAGGTCTGCTGATCTAAATCAGGGTGCCCATACAATTTTCCATCCCGCCTGGGCACTTCCAAGAACCGAAGGGGATGCTCTCAATAATTACACCAGAACACGGGAGACAGGATGCACGGTCACCCCACCCATGAGGGCTCAGCCTCCACACCCAGGCATCTTTTCACTTCTCACACCTCTATTGTGATTACTGCCTGATGCAGGCATTTGCTGAGCAGCCTCGGGCAAGTCACTTGGTCTCTCTGACTCTCCATATCCTCGTCTAGAGTGCAGGAATCTTAAGAGTTCCTAGAGTTGCTGTGAGAGTGAAATGTCTTTCACATTTTAAAGATGATGTCTTTAAAGTGTCTGAACACAGTGGATACATAGTAAACAGCAATGTTTATGTTTAGCTCACCCAGGAATACATAAGCCCCACATAAGACACAGGCACACACATCCCTTCTCTCTCAGGAACACCAGCTCACACACATGCAAAGTCATGTGCCACAGGTGTATACACAAACACTGCCACACTGGGCACACTCACACACTAGCACTCACTCTGCAGATCAGGTGGGTTTGGCTGTGAGCTTCTCTGGGTCCCCAGTGGTCCAGTGGCTGCAAGTCCCCGTGGGCTCTGGCCACCAGAGGGCAGCATGCTCCCCACCCACCCTCATCACACTCACTTCTCCCCTGGCTCTGGAGGAGCTAAGACTCCATGCAGCGCGTCCCCCGCCCTTTGCCCAAACTGCACGATCAAGTCTGAGAGAATACAGGAGATAACTCATCATCCTCGATTAGGCACCACTCAGGCTGAGAGGCACCAGAGCACCCCAATGTTATTGAGTCTGGGTCCTGCCGCAGAGCCACCCAGACCCAGGGCGCGCAAAGACCCCTGTCCGGATGTATCTGAAGTGGACACGCCATGATGGCTACCTAGGGGGCGGGGGCCCTAGGGCTCAGACCCAGGAGCAAGTCATGCTCTACCGCCCTCTATCTATGGGAATTCAAGTCCCTCTACTCACCTCCTCTAAGCCTCGGTTCTCCCATCTGTAAAATGGCCCGATCACTGCCCCTCCCCTGTGCGGCCTATCCCTCTCATGTGAGGGCTCAGATGTCACCTGCGCAAGCAGGCCGTCCCTGGCCACTTCACAGTTGCAGTTTCCCTTCCCCTCACACTTTCCGTTCTTTTTATTGTCTGTTTTGTTTCTTCTGCACATTTCTGTTCTGACATATTCTATCATTCACTCGTCTTGTTGATCGTCTGTCTCCCCATTAGAATAAAAACTCCAAGCGCCATTGGACTCTTTCTTCACTGCTATATATCCACCATGCTTAGAACAGGGCAAGGCACGGCCTAGGAGCCAAACTGGTGCTTGCTGAGTGACTGAGGGAACCCTGGAGGTTAGAGGTAGTTTCTGGAAAGTGCCCAGCCTGGTGTGCATCAAGACTGGATACAGGTTAGGAGGGGTCAGTTCAGTGCTGTGGGCTGGCCCTAGGGCCGTCCACATCAACCCCGAGGCGGCCAGAGGCCTTACCACTCCCAAGGATCTCAAGGCCACACCCCAAATCTGCTGTGGCCCCGCCCCTCAAGGCCCCGCCCCAGGCCTCCCAACTCCACCCCAGGTGCAGGCCCAACTGCACGTCCTGCCACGGCCGGCCGACGACAGACAAAGGGAGACTCTCGGCCTCAGGCCCCCAGGCTCGGCCCTCCCCGGCTCCTCCTAGAGCCCGCCCGGCCCTGCCCGGCCCGCGTGCTCACTGGTGCACTTCTTGACGTGGCTGCCCTTCTTGAGGGCGTGGCGGCTCAGCTTGCAGTGGAAGTTGTCCTCCCAGAACTCGGCAAACCAGATGTTGCGCCGGTTGTTGTCCAGCGTGCGGCTGGAGAAGTAGCGGTCGAAGCCTGGCAGGGAACCAGGACGTCAGGGCCTCACTGGCCTTCTTCCCCACCAGCCCCAGCCCTCCCCGCCTCCCCCAGGATAAGAGATGGTCCAGGCGGAGGGAGAGAGACCAGGAGGAGCACATCCTCTGATCCAGGAGAAAACAAAATGTGGAGCATTTCGTTTCTTTCAAAATGAAAAGAGCTGTATTAGGTCCCAGGGGGATCGTGTGTAATCTACAACTGCTGCCTTTATGGAAGAGAAGCACACCGATGAGGATGTTTCCACGGCCTTTAACCGCTGCAATGCTAACAGCGGGCTTTGAGAAGGAGCCGCCTGGGAGTCCTGAGATTACAGCACAGAGGCTGGTGGGGCTGCCCAACCCGGGGAGCACCTGAAGAGGAGACCAGGCCAGACAAGGAGGGAGGGAACCACCCAGATCACACAGCAAGACCAGGACCTGGACCTTCTTCCTTCACATCCAGGACGTCCCCATCACTGACAGAGGCTGCCTGCCTCCTCCACATGCTCTGCGTGGCTCACACTTCTGCTCTCAGCCTTGGAAAGCCTGTCCTAGGGTGGGCAGGCTGGCGGTGAACAACACCCCCTCCTCCTCCCAGACGCCCCCCTGCCATACTGACTGTTCTAGGCACTGTGGACTGAGCTGCTCTGTATGGGCCAGAGGCCTGAAAGCTCAGCGGGGCCACGTGGAGCTTCCTGCCCATGGAAGCGTCCAAGTGGAAGCAAAATGACCGGCCACGTGGCAGGAGACGCACTGGCATCGAGCAGGAGGTTTGGCCTGCAGTAGGATTTCTCAGCCTCGGCACTGTGGACGCTCTGGGCGGGATAATTCCTGTGGGGGGCCATCCTGTGCACCGTACGATACTGAGCAGTACCCCGACCTCTACCCACTGGAGGCCAGCAGCAGCATCCCCCAACTGTGACAACCAAAAATGGCTCCAGAAATTGCCAAATATCCCCTTGGGGGGCAAAATCGCCCCCAGATAAGGACCATTGTTCTAAAAGTTTCTCTAATGTTCCTGAGAGAAAAAGTACTTGTCAGGCAAGTCCTGGATTCTGGTCCCAACTCTGCCACTCGCTGTACTGTGTGTGTCTCAAGCTCTCTGAGCCCTGTGTATCCATCTACTAAATGCGGGGAAGAGTGCATCACAGGGATGCTGGGGAGGCTAAAGGAGATGTCTGTAAGGGGCCTGGCACTGGTAAGCACCATAGCAGTTATTGTTATGTTGTGTTTATTGTGGCTGGGGCTGGTATGGAAACTCTCGCTATGTGTGTGTGGTGGGTGGGTGGAGGCGTGTTGAATGTGTGATGGGGTAAGAGCTGTGGGGATGGATGAGCCAGGAAGGCATGAGTCTGAGAGGACCGGGGCTGGGCAGAGGTGGTTCCAGAGCCTGAGTCAGACATGGGGCAGGTGTGGATGTGGGGGGACAGATGTGGTCTTTGCAGGGACAGGCATGGGCCTGGGGGATCACACTGGGCCTGTAGGCAGACGTAGACCCGGGGGGCAGGTTTGGATGACATGGTAGCCATGGGCCTCTGGACAGGTATGGGCCAGGGCTAGAAGGCGCCATGGGCCAGGGAGCTCCCTCTGCCTCAGTATGAAGAGAGGACACTGCTGTGTGACTTTGAGCAAGTCCCTCCCCTCCTCAGGCCTCCGTGTCTTGGGAAGTACCTTGGAGAGGCAGATGTCTGCAGTCCCTCCCAGCTCCATTAATGCTGGATTCTATTGAAGGGAGGGAGGGCAGGGAAGGAGAGGGCCCAGGGAGCCTTCTCCCCATGGTGAGGACTGCCAGGTCCCTGCCAAATCAGGCCATTAACGAGAACGTCACACCTCACTCTCTGTGAGGTTCTGGCCAGAGAAGTTCGTTCCTGCCCAGGTGACTGTGGGTTCTGCCCTGAGAGGAGGGGATTCAGGGTGAGGCAGGCCCAACCTCAGCACCATCCTGGGGCCTGTCAACCCCAGGCAGACTCTTCAGGAAAGGCCTGTCCTGTAGCCCCGGCAGGGCGGCTCCCAGCCTCTTTCAGCAGCGGACTCTCCACACACCTTCCACCCCAAAAATGTCTGAGAAGAGAGGAGGGAAGGTCTT
The DNA here is from genome assembly GCF_000001405.40 of Homo sapiens. Classification (NCBI taxonomy): domain Eukaryota; kingdom Metazoa; phylum Chordata; class Mammalia; order Primates; family Hominidae; genus Homo; species Homo sapiens. Next base: position 34,058,770 of record NC_000006.12, read on the forward strand.
GAATCTGGATTCAAATTCTGCTTTGTTGCACGTGGCCTAAAAGAACTCCCAGCCCAAAACCTCAGAACATAAGAGGCTGTGGGCCAAGGAAGAGAAAAGGAAGGATATGGAAAGAGGCGGAGCAGAAGGGGAAGGAAGCCGAGGAGGGATGGCAGGAGGAGCAGTCCAGGATGGTGCCGACCACCTGCACCCGCCCAGCCTTACCTCGTACGGACATCCTCTTGGGGAGGATCGTGACAGCACCCTCAGCCACCTCCTCCAGGTGCAGCACAGGTGCAATCTTGGAGCCCCAGCTGTCAGAGCCCATCCAGAAGAAATGGCCTGTCTGGTTGGCCCTTCGTGCTGCCTCCAGCACACGCCTGTAGGAACATACACCAGCCCAGCCCAGCCGCGTCTGTCCACGAAACTGCCCCCACTCCTGGCCACACTTGCTTTGGGCCCACGTCCCTCACCCCCAGAAGCCCAGGGTCCACAACTGTCCCAGCACCGATGCTTTCACCCCAAGCCATGGATTCCCCCTACCCGCTGCCCTCACCTGCTCATAGACCCATGGCTACCGCCTCATCCAACCTGCCTGCCCCTGGGCCCACGCCTGCTGCAGGCCCAGCGTGATTCTCCAGGCCTACATCTGTCCCTGCAAAGACCACACCTCTCCCCTCCAGATCCACACCCGCCCCACGTCTGACTCAGGCCCCACAACCACCTCTGCCCAGCCCCGGTCCCCTGAGACGCATGCCTTCCTGGCTCATCCACCCCCACATTCCTTGCCCATTCTCACACGCATCCACCATCACACAACCGCCGCCCTCACCCCTCTGCACATGCTGCCTTCTGCCCACAGCTCCCTCTTCATTCACCGCCCTCTGTGCCAAAATTCCAGGTCCTTCAGAGAGCTGCTCCCCACACCCTGAGTGGGAGTGGGTGATGGAGGGAGATGGGTGTGGAGCCAGCTGCCCAGTGCTCACACACAGCCCAGTCTGCCTGTGATGGTAATATAAATCAAACCAGGGACCCAAGAGCCCAGCCCGGGGCTGAGGAGCCCACAGCAAGCGCTCAGCCAGGGCTTCATGGAGGCATGAATTAAGTGGCCCCTCAAAGACATCTCAGAGGGGAAAAACAAGGAGGAATGGGCAGAATTCCCCTAACCCAGCTCCCACAAAAAGAGACTGAGGTAGGGAGGAGGCAAGGAACTTGCTCACAGTCACACAGCAAGTGAGAGGCTGTGATACTACAAACTGTCCAGGCCCTTCCGTTGGTGAGGACCAGGGCACAGACTCCAGGGCTGGGGGGTGGCTGCTGGGCCTGTGCAGGAGGCGGCCAGCTGGGACTGGAGGGCCTGGGCTTCCAGGGAGAAACAAATGTTTCCAGGCCCCAGAGCTTTCACCTGAGCTGGCCTTGTCCATCTCATCCCACCCCACCCTCCATCATCTCCCAACTCCTGAGGCTTTCCAGCTCTGCTCACTGGTGTAGCCCCCCCGCACCCTAGGTCACCACTAATGGCAGGTAAGGCTGCTCTCAGAACCCACACCCACACCCTATTAATACCCGTCTGCATCCGGCCAGCCTGAGATGGCCAGAGCTCCCGATCATCCAGCCCTGCAGAGTCACCTGGGTTTATTTTTACTTCTGTTTGCTTCTGAAAATGCGTGTGGATTTCCAGAAATGACCCCCGCCTCCTACCCCACTTCCCGCAGCCTGCTCTGGAAGTCAGTCTAGCTCCCTTCCAGCCCTCCCCTAGGGGCTTCTTCGCTGGGACAAAAGGCCAAGTGCTTTCAGTCCCCCTCCCAGAATGTGGGTCCATCTGAGCTGAAGGTGTCCTCAAAAACAGCAGGCCTGGAGTGAGGCACATAGCTGGGTGCGGTGTGGGAGCCTAATCTTACCAGGCTTTGGGATGGGAGTAGGGGGCAGGAAGTCAGGGAGTGGGGCCCGGTGGCTCAGAAGCTTCCCCAGGAGCTGGCTGAGCGGTGGCCATCATACACGTTCAGAGCCAGAACTCAGGGGACCTGCACACCTCAAGGGACTGGGTGCCGCCTCTGTGCAGCTCTGAGGGTGTCAGGATGGGGCTTGAGGGCCTCCCCTCCCTGGCCTTTCGCTGCCTGAGACAACCATTGCAGTTTGTCCTTTTGGCTTTTGAGGCCGTGATGATCTTCCAGAAGCCCTCCTCCATCCCTCCAGGGACCCACCAATGGCCTGGGAGGGTATCTGTTTTGCAGCAACTCTGGAGTCCAGGTTAGAACATGAGAAATGGCTTGGGAGCACTGGTGAGGAATAGGAGGAAGCCTCCTGGGAAGGACTGGGTACACGGAGCAGCCTTGGCTGGTCCAGTGAGGGGGAGTCTGAGGGCACAGCAGGCTCTGCCAGCCCGGGCCAGATATCTGAGGAGACCTGGCAGGGGCCACATCTGCTCTCAGCCTCCTCTCTGAAGGAGAGGTGACCAGCAGGGACTAGAGGGCCCTGCCAGATTCTAGGCAGGGCTGTATCTCCCCTTATCCTGGGGCTCCGTGAGGACAGAGCTGTGTCTCCCCTCAGGTTGGGCTCTCTGAGCCTAAGCCAAGACTAGAACCAAACACAGCCCAGAGCTCTTCTCTGTACTCTGAGCTCACCACAGAAAGGAGGGAGGGGCTGAGGTGGCCCACATTTACTGGGTGCCTATTTCACGCCAGACCTTACTCTAAGCCTTTTATGCACATTCCTGCATTGAATTCTCAAACACTATCAGGCAGGTATCATTAACTCATTTGTTTTTTAGCAGCAGAGGCCCAGAGAGGTTAAGAAATTCACCTGGGGTCACACAGCTAGTAGGTGGGAGAACAGCATTAGAACCTAAGTGGTCCGGCCCCAAGCTCACGGCCTCAGCCCTCTGTTAAAGCACCCAGGTAGCCATCCCTAGCAGGTGGAATGGATGCAGGAAATGGAGAGGGGAGGGAAGGAGTGCCCCATAGCAGTAGCTTGTGCTCTAGCCTGTGGGTCTCCCTGCCCACATACCCACTCACCAGCACCCACCTCTCTGGATCCCAGGGTGGGGTCAGGCTCGCCTGGGAAGGTCTCCAGCAGGACAGGACCCGTGGCTTTGCCCACACCTGCATGGCTCCCGGTGCCCACCCTGCTGCCACCTGCCCTCACCTGATGTCATCCTCGTTGGCAAAGATGATGACTGCCCTGGCGTTCGAAGTCTCCAGGAGGCGGCGGATGATCTTGTCGAACTCGCCTGCCTTGGGCTCCCGTGGTATCTTCACCGACTGGGCGATGCACACGCCCCCTGCAGGAGGGGCACCAGTTAGTTGGGGTGGGCAGGGGAACCTGAGTCTCCCCACCACTCTCCCAACATACACTCCGGGAGATGGGGGCTGGGTGCTGCCCAGGCTCCCCAGCCTGACTCCCAGCCCTGGGATCCCAGCCTCTGGATATGGGCTGTGCAGTCAGGACAGCTTCAGTGCCAGTCTTGGCTCCACTTACCAGCTGGTGACCCTGGATATGTCACTTAAGTACTCTGAGCCTCAGTTTCCCCATATAGCAGCTAGAAGCAGCACGGCATCATGCTTAGGAGCTAGACTGCCTGGGTTCAAATCTCAGCTCTGCCACTTACTGCTGTGTGACCTTAGGTCAGTTACTGGACCTCTCTGTGATGAACATACATCACCTATAAAGTGGAAATAATGGTATTACCTATTTCATAGAACTGTTATAAAACAAGTGAGGTAATGCATATAAAGACAACATCCGGTACCTAGTGCTTAGTAAATGTTGATTATTTTTATTGTAACCCGCTCACAATGTTTCTTGGAGGGTTAAAGCTGGGAATAGAGCCCACCCTGAGGCATCAGTCCCTGCTACACCCATATCCATGTGCTTCTCAGGACTCCTGTCCCTGGGCCCCATGCCCATCACCAGGCCCTTGGTAGGAGCAGCGTGCATGGCCACTGGCTGGAACCATCAGGAGAGGGTCAGTACTTGATGTTGTCAGGATTCACGACCAGGCTGGGTGGCCATCAGAGACCCTGGGAGCACTTTGTCCCAGCCATCCCCAGCCCCAGATGTGCCTCTCAAGTGCTGGCAGGGGACAGATGTCATTCACGTATTTAAATCTCACCCGACCTCGTGGTACAGAGCATCTGTGGGCCATGCTTGTGTCAGCCACTGCCTTTGACGGATGAGGAAACTGAAGCTCAGAGAAGAGAAGTGGCTTACCCAAAGCCACACAGTTACCTGCCCTACTGGAGTCCAGGAGCTGGAGACCCCCAGAGAATAAGACCCCAGAAGCCCCTGGTGGCAGTCGATGGAAAAGCATGAGGGATTAATCTTGAAGCCGGTCTTGGTATCTAAGGGCTGCCCTCCTCTGGGTCCCACTCAACTCAACACAATGCCTCAAACCAAACACCTAGGCTGGGCACCGCTGGGCTTCCAAATGACCTGGAGGTCCAGGCTGGGGCCACCTGAGCCTTCTACACAGACTTGCCCCATTACATCAGAAAACTCTGGGTGGAGCTGCCAGGGGCTCAGAGTGCCGGGGACACGACTACCACCAGCCCCACAGGGCAGTGCCAGCACCCAGCTCCACCCATGGAGGGGTCCCTACCTGTGGGCAGGGAGATGGCCGCCAGGGAAGGCTGCCCAAAGGCAGTGACACTGGGCTGAGTCCTCAGAGGATGCAAGTGGCCAGGCGGCAGGCATTCTGGAGAGAACAGGGTACGCTCTGGAAGGAGTGGCTGCTCTGTGCCAGGCACCCTGCTGGCCTGGGGCCACAGGACACAACACACACACACGCATGCACACACACGCACATGTGCGTGCACACACACACACAGCTCCTCAGGTCTCTCCTAAGACACCAAGAAGTCCCAAGTGCTAGAGAAGAGCATGTTTACTAGGAGCTCATGGGGAGGGGGGAGAAGGAGCAAGGTGCTTGGGCAGGACTGGGGCCCCTGTCAGTCTGGGGTCACAGAGGGAGCCAAGGGAGGCAGCCACTGGCTGCACCACTGGCCGGGCCGGCTCTCAGTTCCCAGCTAAACCCTCCATATGGTTTCTTTCCACTTAGAAAGTGGGCCAATTGCGACATTCCTCCCCCCATCTGGGGAGACAGATGGACAGAGGAAGAGGCTGGACTGGGAGGAGAGGGAAGGGAAGGATGAGCCACCTGGCTCCAGGAGCGGGAAGGAAGGCAGGAGAAGGGAGTTAATTGCTCTCAAACAGGGAGAAACTGTTAGGTTAAGTCATATTTCTGAGATGCTCCTCTAAGAGGATCCGCGTGATGGTCTTGCCTGGCACCTCAGGGCATATCTTGCAAGCTTCGTTTTGCTGGTGAAGGAAGGATTAGGTGACCACGGCTCAGTCAGCGGGAGTGTGAGTGAGCCACAAGCAACTTGAGATGCAAGTGCAGTCTGAGGAGGGTTTGATATTCTTGCAACTGCAAGAGATTCAGACCAGAAGGGAGTGCGGGGGGCGGGGGTGTGCAGAGCTCCGTAATACTAATGAACATTTATGGAGTGTCCAATGCATGGGAAATGCTATTCTGCAAATTTTACATGGATTCACTCATCTGAGGCCAGTGTAATCACCATATCTCCAATTTATAAATGAAGAAATTGAGGCACAGAGAGGTTAAGTAGCTTCCCCAGGATCACAAAGATAGTCAGGGGAAGAGGTGGGGTTTGAACTTGGGCCATCTGGCTCCAGCGGCCACCTTTCATCCAGTCATGTAGTGAATGGATAGGATTGTGGAGTTGAGGGGGCTTGTGGGCCCATGGGCATGATGGGGCATGGTGCCCATGCTGGGGTGAGTGCCCACTGGTGTTGCTGCCCCCAGGATGAGAAACCAAGTGCCCGTGGGTTCCCTCTGTTTCACAGCCCTATTGTCAGCATGTCCGCTCAGGGGAGTGGGTAAAGGAACTGGCTCACAAGCCAGGCCCTCTCCTGGGATGACACAAGCTCCTGGCAGTGGCACAATCTCTGCCTCAACTGCTCTCTTGGTGCCTGCTGCAGCCAGAGAAGACCAGAGCGGCCCGAGAGGCCACTGAGCACCCCCTGCATGCCTGGCACCATGCGAGGCCCAGTCTCAATGAATCCTTACACATTAGCCGGTGCTAATATCCCCATCTCACAGATGAGGAAACTGAGGCTCAGGTTGCTAAATAGCCTAACCAAGGTCACACAGCCAGTCAGTGGGACTGCAATCCTGGTCTGTGTCCAGAGCCTCCCTGAGGCGGAGAGGCCCCCATTTCCTGCAGCCGCTCCTGGACAGTTCCCTTTCCTTGCAAAGCAATGACTCCGCAGCAGCCACTGAGAATAAAGGGGCAGTGTTTCATGTGCCGGAGCCTCTTCTGCAGCCCCTGTTGTTTAGGTGGGTTCATGTACATGTGTGCACACATGTGTCCACACACAGTCACAGAATGCACGCACTGGCACAGATCAACATCCACCATCACCACAGCCCACCCTGTGCATTCCAGGCCACGCTGCTACAGACCCAAAGTCACACCAAGCCCACCAGCCATCCCTGTGCCCAGCCCCTGGGCCACACGACTAACACTCCCGCAGACGCCTGCTTCTAACCTCTCCCCTAGGGAGGGGCACGCCTCCTCACCCTGTGCCCCAAGTCTCTCTCGTTGAATAAAGTAAGAATCCATGGGTCCATACTGAGAGTAGATAGAATCAAATGAAAGCCCACAAAGCCCTCAGGGAACAAGCCCACTCCGTATCTCAGGGCAGAGGCTGGAGCCCTCCACTCCCCAGGCTCCAGGCACAGGACCATACGGGGAGGGGGACACACATGAAGAAGTCTGGGGGTCCCCATGGCCTCCTTGGCTTTCCTGGGTCTCCCTTGGCAAGCCCCTGCCCAGCCTCCTGCCAGGACCCCAGCCGCCCAGGCTCCTGACAAACACCCGAATGCCACTTGCCAGCTGCAAGCTCTGCCATCCCGGCCAAGCTGGTGCGTCTGCTCGCCGGCCAGGGGCAGGAAGCCACAGCCTCTTGCCAAGAAAATCTGAGCATATCAAGTCCGTGGGGACCTTGGAGACCTCCTGGCCCAAGTTGGATGGAGAGTGAGGAGACAGAGGCCAGAGAGGCCTTGCCCAGGGGCACACAGTAGCAGGAGCAGAGCCACCTTCAGACGAGGCTCTCACCACTGCGCTGGGAAGTTTGGGATCCAGGCCAGCCCCTGACTGCTTTCCAGCAGGAACCGCTATCTCTCCCAGCTCTGCGCCTCCTCCCCAGCCCGCCCAGGTTCCACACCTCCCCTCCTCCCTGGGCTACCCCACCCATCAAAACCGACTTATGCTTGGCCCCATCCCTCGGGGCCCGCCTTTACTACAAGACAGCTGGACACCTGATCAAGGCGTGTCCATTGGAACCCTCTGCAGAACCACACGGCAGCGTCTAGTAAAGCTGAACGTGCCGGCTGCCTCCAAGCCAGTGCTTCCCCGTCCACACTCGTCCCCAGGGAAACCCCGGCACGTGGGCACAGGAGACCCACACAGAGTCGCTCAACACAGCACTGTCTGAAACTGCAAAAAAATGGAAACAACCTAAATGTTTTACAACAGAAGAATGAATAAACTGTGGTGTGTTTGCCCAATGGGATATTATGGAGTTAAGATGAATAACAGTTCTCATGTGTCAACATGACAAATCCTGAAATCATAAAATTGACGGACAAAAGCAAGTTGCAGCAGGATTTAGATTTTATGTAAAATCTAAAGACCACATACAATATTTATGAAGATGCATATATATGTACTATACATATATGAGTGAAGGCTGCATGAGGGCGGGAGACTTTGTCCGTTGTTTTCATCACACTCTTCCCCAGTGCCTAGAACACTGCCTGGCCCATAGTAGGTGCTCTCAAGTGTTCGCTGAGTGACTAAACAAGGACAGGAAGGGAACCTGCCACCTCTCAAAATCATGGTTACCTCAAGGGAGAAGAGAGGAACAGGACTGAAGAAGGTTCCGACTCAATCCATGTTTTATTTCTTTAAAAAAATAATCAGAATCAAGCAGATGTGGCAACATGGGACTACTCAGCAAATCTGGGCCACAGAACCCCAGCTGGACAAAACTTTTAGATATGGGTGACAGCAAGGGTGCCGCGGTCCTCACGTGGTGCCGCCTGACAGAGAACACAGCAGGGCACACCAGAGCCTCCTTGTGTTCATCTGTGAAATGGGCTGCATAGCCGCAGCTAGCCCAGGGGCTTCCATAGGGAAGCTGCCTGCCTTCCTCCACCTTCCTCCATGCCCACCTGCCTGGGGCTGCCCCTGTCCTCCCAGCCGTGTGGTTCCTGAAATCCCATCGTCCCGTGAGAGCAGGCTCTCACCTGGCCAGCCCTCCGCTGGTGTGAGCTGGAACCGTCACCACCCCAGGCTTCAGGCATCCCCACGTGAACATGACATAGACACTTCGTGGATGAAACTTGGTATCAGTTTCCTGTCGTATTTTTCAGTCTCTCCGTCCTTTCCATCTGTGGTCTGGTGACCTTTCCTGGTGGTCTCCAGGCCCAGCTGACATAACTGTGTCAATGTCCACCTCCCGCTGCACTTCCCAAGGTCAGGGTCAGGTCTATGTCCTTTCTTCCTTTCTTCCTCTCTTCCTTCCTCCTTCCTTCGCTCCCTCCCTCCGTCCTTCCCTCCCTCCCTCCGTCCTTCCCTCCCTCCCTCCGTCCTTCCCTCCCTCCGTCCTTCCTTCCCTCCCTCCCTCCGTCCTTCCCTCCCTCCCTCTCTTCCTTCCTTTCTTCCTTCTTTCCTTCCTTCCTCCATCCCTCCCTCCCTTTCTTCCTCCCTCCCTCTGTCCCTTCCTCCCTTCCTTCCTCTCTCCCTCCTTTCCTCCCTCCCTTTCTTCCTCCCTTCATGCCTTCCTCCCTCCCTTCCTCCTTCCTTCCACTGCCCTGCTCAGTTCCTGGTATAGTCAGTCCCTAAGAAATGATATTGAGTAAGACTCCTTCCTCAGGAGCTCTCAGTCTAGCTGGGGAAGCAAGACCAGAAGGAAAAGCCATCATCCTGAGCAGAAGCACAAGGAGACAGTGCTCCGGGTCAGCCTGAGCATGCAGGTGGCAGAGGAAGGGCCCCCTGGAGCCACACCCCCACCGCACAACCCCTAAGCACCATTCTTCAGCAGCCCACATTTACTGAGCATCTGCAGGCACATCTTCAGGGAAGTACAGGCCCCTCTCACATCACCTGCCTGCCTGCTGCCACCACTTTCCCTTCGTGGAGCCCGCAGACGTGTACTGAGCGCCTCCTATGTGCCAGGCATGGCGTGAGACACTGGGATGCAGCCATGCAGAGGACAGAAGCCCGGCGCCATGCAGCCTGCGTCCCAGGGTGGGAAGGAACCGTAAACATCCTGGAATCGGTGCAGAGGAGGACAGCAGCAGCATGACGTGCTGGAGGGAGACGGGGGGGCTGCATCCCCTCAGCCCACCTGGATTCACCCTGGAGAACAGGGAGGCTTGGGCTGGGCCACGCAGCTGGAGAGGCAGAGGCTGGATCTGAACTCGGGTCTGACTATTCTCTAGGAGCTGCTGCCTTGCCCGAGACCCCAGGAATTGAGAACACTCTGGACTTGTAAATCCCACTTACCTTCAAGTGAGGCGGGACGTGCTGCTAAATGAATTCACATTTCTGTCCTGCACGACCTGGGGTTGTCTGAGCCTGAGGTGAGCTTAGGTTTACAGGAGGTCTGACCGTGGCAGGACCCTCTGAGCCCCCACTGTGCCTGGGATGCTCTCCTTGCAGCACTTCCCCATCCTCCCTGGCATGGCTCTCCCCACCCCACCTGTCTCAAAAAGTCCCCCCTCCATCCTGCAAGGCCAGCCCTCCAGCAGCCTCCAGATCACCTGCCTTCAAAGACCCATCCCCCCGCACCACCACTTGTGGGATGTGCCTATCTCATGCAGTCAGCCTGGGCGGGCTGAAAGGAAAGGCCTCCCGTAAGAGGAGCCGGCTTGTGCCCTGCCTCACCCACTCCCTGCTGTGGGGAGACAGTCAGGGGTCCCCCAGGCTGTCACCTTGGACACTGGGCTCCAGACAAGGAAGGAGAAAAATCCTCCTCCAGACCCCTGAGCCAGCTCGCTCTGGTGGTCTCCAGGCCCGGCCTCTCGGGGCCCAGCCAGCTGGTCCTGAGGCCAGCAGAGACATAGGCACATCCTCGCTTTCTCCCTTCCTTTAAAAAGAATTTTTTTTTAATTTAAAAAGAGAGGAAAATAATGAAAAGACAAACCCTAGGAATTCAAGTGGAAAAATCTACCTTATGGCAAAATGTGAAGGCAGCAATTTCCAGTGGGGTAGGGGGTGGGGAGTTACACACAGGGACAGGGGCAGGAGAGCAGGTCCCCCCGGCTCCCATAGGGGAGGACAGAGGGGAGGACAGGGGCTGGAAGCTACCCCTGGACCCTCATGGGCGTATACACACACACACACACACACACACACACACACACACACGCACGCACACACGGCTCCTTCCTTCTGACTTCCAAAGCCAGGCCCTTCCCCAAAACAGCTCTCAGGAAGGGGACCAGAAATAGCTGCTCAGAGGGCTTGGTGACTGGTGACTGCTACTTTTATTTTCAGCTGGGGGCGAAGCCTGAATGTAAATAATGGAGCCCAGGCAGCAGTGTTGTGGCCAGAGGGGGTTTCAAGGTAAGAAGGACACCAGGCCCCAGCAAAGGCCCTCCCCATGCGGCTGCTCCAGAGTGAGCTGGGTGCGGGACACACGAGGGCTGGGCTGGCTCCAGCTGGATCTGGGACTGCACAGAGGGCCAGGCCTAGTTCCCGTCACCTGTCACCCCTGCCCCATCTGCTCCTGCGTGTGACCCCGCTCCCCAGCTCATCAGTCTCCAGCCCCTCAACACACTCCCGGCTTTACAACCCTTGGCAGCCCCCAGTGTGTGTGTGTGTGTGTGTGTGTGTGTGTGTGTGTGTGTGACCCTGAGCGCCTGCCTCTTCTCCCAGGAGGGTCTCCCTGATGCACCCAGTGAATTTGGATTTACTGCAACATCCAGGACTGCCCCAGTCCCCACCAGGATCCACCCATCTGGCCACGTCTGTGCCCCCAACAGGCCTCTGCACATGCTGCTCCCTCTGCCAGGAGCACCCCCACCTCAGCTGCTCAGCCACCCTCTAGCTCCCCACCCAGTTCTTCCCTGGCTGGACTGCATTTATCTCCCTGGGGTCTTTCTGCCTGGGGCCTTACAGAGCCCAGGACACGTGCGGGGCCTGCCCAGGACGGCGGTAATCCACACTTGCTGGACGAATGGAGAACTGAGTTCCTGACTGACGGGGTTTTGAAGGGACAGCTCGGCAGGAGCTGCCAGCATGGGCGTGAGGGCAGAGGCTCTGTAGGAGTTGGAGGTGAACACTCGCACCTGCTCACACGCTCCCATCCCCTCGGTGACCTCCCCTCTGAGCTGCCACCTCCTTACATGCACAGCCACTGGACACCCCATTTGAGCCTGGCATCTACTTTGCTCTGGTCCACAGTGATACTCTGTGCTCAGCGTCCACACGCGTGGGGTGGGTACCCACGTGCACCTGGACGTCTCCCTCCGTCCTGCCTTCTGCTGGGATTTTACTTTCTCCACCAAGACATCAATTCCTTATCATGAGTGCTCAGGAAATCGGCCTGCAAAGGATGAGCAAGTGAAGAAAGGTGCATGCTGGCTGTGCAAAGGCACCGGGTCACAAGGGCCCTGCCTGAAGACAGGTGACTCAGTTGATAGTTTAAACTCCACCCGATAGGGCTAGTGTGAGGGCCCAGTGTAGTGGTGTTTGTGCAGGTCTGCCCCCTGGAGCCAACACCTCTGGGGAGCGGGTAAGGCCTAGTGGGGTGGGGCTGCTGAGGCAGGAGGGCAGGAGCTCGGAGGACAGGGGCCTCATCACTTAGCCAGGCCAGGACCCAGGACCCAGGGCTGGGGAGGTCTACAGCTGGGCGGGGGGACCAGGGCACCAGGATTATCCAAGGCAGCACACACATCCTTTCCCTCCTGAAGGCTCTCAGCACCCCCACCACACCCCCGCCACACCCCCAGCCACACACACACACACACACACACACACGGCAATGCACACCCTTACAAAATCACATACTACACACCACCACAAGCTCACAAAGTTTCACGGTCACACACGCTCACCAGGGACACAGCTCCCATCACACTTATGGACCCACTAAGAACCTCGTACAGCCTCATAGCCACAAAGATGGGCACAGGGCCATACGCACACACTGACAGAGTCACAGATCCCATAGTCCCACAGCCACACAGGCTCACCCAGTCATCACACAGCCTCGCACAAACACACACACTACACCCAATCCCATCACATCCTCCACATACACACCCACAAACCCGGGCACGCAAGTCATGTAAATCCCCAACCTCACACATATTTGCATCCAATTATAATTTCAGACAACCCCTAGCCACACACAGACACACACCTATACATCACCACACAGATACACACCACACATACCCACACATCACCACACACATACACACACATCACCACAGAGATACACACCACACACACACATCACCACAGAGATACACACCACACACACACATCACACAGATAAACACCGCACCACACACACACATCACCACACACATACACACCACACACATCACATGGATAAACACCACACAGACACACACATCACCACACAGATACACACCACACACACACATCACCACAGAGATACACACCACAAACACACACACATCACCACACACATACACACCACACATACCCACACATCACCACACGGATACACACCATACACACATCACACAGATAAACACCACACACACACACACATCACCACACAGATACATACCACACACACCCATACATCACCACACAGATACACACCACACACACCCATTCATCAGCACACAGACGCACACCACACACAATCACCACACACCACACAGATACACACCATGCACACACATCACCACACAGATATAAACCACACACAACCATACATCACCACACAGATATACAGCACACATAGACACACAATCACCACTCACCACACAGATACACACCACACACAGACAGCACCACACAGATACAAACCACACACACAACCATACATCAACACACAGCTACACAGCACACACAGACACACAATCACCACACACCACACAGATACACAGCACACACAGACACACACATATCACCACACAGATACACACCACACACACACTCCCACACATCACCACAAAAATACACACCACACAGAGACACACACACCTATCACCACAGATACATGCCACACACACACCCATACATCACCACAGATACCACACACAGACACACAATCACCACCCACCACAGATACACACCACACATAGACACACATCACCACACAGATACACACCACACACACCCATACATCACCACACAGATACACACCACACACAGACACACAATCACCACAAACCACACAGATGCACACCACACACACATCACACAGATACACAGCACACACAGACACACGATCACCACACATCACACAGATACCACACACACATCACACAGATACACACCACACACACATCACCACATGGATGCACACCACACACACATCCTTACATCACCACACAGATACACAGCACACACACACACACCCTTACATCACCACACAGATACACAGCACACACACACTCACCACACGCCACACACATACCACCATACAGATACACACCCACACACATCACACAGATACAAACCACACACACACATCACCACATAGATACCCCACACACAGACTCACACATCACCACACAGATACACAACACACACACATATCACACAGATACAGACCACACACACACACACACACATCACCGCATAGATACACACCACACACACACACATCACCACATAGATACACACCACACACACACACATCACCATACAGATACGCACCACACACACATATCACCACAGATTACACACCACACCCACACAATCACCACACACCACACAGATACACACCACACACAGACCCAAACACATCACCACACATATACACACCACACACAACCACACATCACCACACAGATACACACCACACACACAATCACCACACAGATGCACACCCACACATCATCACACAGATACCACACACACATCACCACACAGATACATACACACAATCACCACACAGATACACACCACACACATGCATCACCACACAGATACATACCACACACACACATCACACAGATACACACCACACACACACATCACCACAGATACACACCACACACACACATCACCACACAGATACACACCACACACATGACCATACAGATACACACCACACACACACATCACCACACAGATACACACCACACACACACACACACATCACCACAGACACACACCCACACACCACCACACAAATACACATTACACAAACACCCACACATCACACAAACACACATCACCAAATACATGCCACACACACACATCACCACATAGATACCACGTCACCACACAGATACCACACACACATCCACACATCACCACACAGATACACACCACACACACACACTCACACTTCACCAGATTCACACCCCCACACAGATAACACCATACACATCACTACACACAGATACACACACAGTCACATACACACCACACACACACACACACCATCATACCACACACAGAAACACATCCACACATCACCATACACAGTCAGATACGCACCACACACAAATACACATAACCACACACAGAGTCACAAATACACCACACACAGACACAGGTAACCCTGGACAGTCACATATAACAAGCCTGCCTGACCATGGCCAACCCTGCTCCATTAAGCACAAGCAGGCGGTGCCCACCGTGAAGCATCCACACCCCCACCCTCACACTGCCTGGTGGCTCTCACACAGTCACCGCACGTGAACAAAGCACCCCTCCAGCCCATCTCTTCTTAACTGAGAAACGCCTCCTTGCTGAGTCTCCCCAGTGAATGCCCCAATTAGCCTGAATCCTTTCCCACGGAGGCCCTGCGAGGCCCTAGCATGCACCAGGGGCTGGCAGAAGCTCACACCCCTCACACTGCTTGGGGGCCCAGCCACACCTCAGCACCATTAGCACCTCCTCCCTTGGCCTGGTCCTCACTGGCTGGGGTGACCATGGAGGGGCCTATGGTCCAGCAACTGGATGGAGGGGATGGCACGGCTATTCATGGAGCGGCTCTGTGGCCAGAACATTAAGGCAAAGCCCTCCTCTTGCCTCTGAAACCCCACCTCTGCCACCAGGCTCTCCATTCCTGCCCATCCCTTCCCCTGCCAGGAGAACGGGGCTGGATCTCGAGGTGCAGGGGCGCCGATGGGGAAGAAGAGGGGGACACAGACATACGACAGCCAGACTAGTGTGATATGAGGAAGCGGAGTCTGGGCACAGACAGGGGCATGTCCCATCTCAACCACCTACTGCTTCGTGATGAAAGCCACGTTGCCCACTCTCCAACCCTCCATTTCCCCATCTGTGAAATGGGATGGTATGAACCCTGTCCCCGAGACATAGCAGGGTTGCGGTGAGGATTAGAGCGGATTGCCCGTGGACAGGGTCAGCCCCTAGGGGATATTTTGGGGTGTGGAGGAGGATGCAGGCCTTGGAGGACCTGCCAGGGCAGCTGTGAGGCTCAACATCTCAGAGCTGAGCCCTTCCGCCCCCTACCAGGAGGCTGCTGGGCAGCGCAGGCAGTGTGGCTCAGAGCTGAGCCCTGCCGTCCCCTGCCAGGAGAGGAGGCTGCTGGGCGGCGCAGGCAGTGTGGCTCAGAGCTGAGCCCTGCCGTCCCCTGCCAGGAGAGGAGGCCGCTGGGCAGCGCAAGCAGTGTGGCTCACAGCTGCATTATTCATGGCGCTAGGCTCTGAGCAGAGGGAAATTTGCTGAGTGATCGACTTAATATCTCAACACAAACCCACTTAGGCAAAACACCTTTGAAGCGAGAAAGGCGGAAAAATAATAGAAAAGGGAAGCCGTGGTGTTTGGAGGCAGATGGTGGCAGGAGGGGCCTGGATGGGGCAGGACACAAAGAGATGGCTGGTTCCTGGCCCCCACCAAAAGCCCCCCAGAGGTCCCTACCCCAGGTCAACCCACCCAGGCCCTACTGTCCCCCACCCTCAGTGGCTGTACCCAGCATTCACTGATGAGGGAATCCCACCCATTTCTTGGGTTCAGTTCATGAAGGGAAGGGAGTCTGCTCAAGGCTTGCACAGCGTCAGAGGCCAACCAGGAGCCAGACCCAAGACTGCTGAGTGTGGGACAGGGTCCCTACCGAGGTCATGCCCTGGTCTGACCCGCGGGCAGTGCAGTGGGGCTGTGGCGAGCAGGGCCCTCAGCCTGACTGCATGGCTCTGTCCCCGCCTCAGGCCACGGTCAAGGCCGGGACACTGTGGAGTGTGGCTGAGGATACTGGAGGAGCCACTCACAGGACAAGGCCCCCAAGTTTCTTCCCACCTTCCCCAACTCCAGTGACACCCTGGTGGAGGAGGTCATAAATCGCTTTCCAGTCCTCTCCTCCGCCTCACTTCACCTCTACCACAGCAGGACCACTTTCTCCAACTCAGCCAGAACGTTCCCCTCTAGACCTTTCCCAGTACTGGTCCCTCTGCCAGAAATGCCCTTCTCACGTCTCTATCTGCCCAACCCCATCCAGCCCTAGGGCCCCACTTCTCTGCCTCTTCCCCCATGAAATATCCCAGCCCTTTCCTGCAGTGGAAGCTCATCGTGCCCGTCTGCTCCTCTCCACTGGCACTTGCCATCCTCCACTTTGTGCTGTGGTCAGTTTTGGAACTGGCCTGCTTCAGGTTCAAATCCCAGCTCTGCTACTTCTTAGCTGTGTGACTTTGGACAAGTTCCTTAATCTCTCTGAGCCTTATCTCCACATAACAAAGTGTGAAGAATAAGCAAGTTAATATACATAAGGTGCTTAGAACAGTTCCTGGCACATTAGTGCTCAGGAAGTGTTTATTATTATTATACTCTTATTGTTGGTTTCCTCCATCAGCCCATGAGCCGCTTCAAGGGCAGACTGTGTCTTTCCCATTTCTAACCACCCCGTTTCCATGCTCAACCGACGATAGCGGAAATGAACCTAGTTTCTGACAATGTTGTCTCCCCAGCCTATTCACCCCAGATACCCTGGGAATGGGAGCCAGCGCTGGGCTAGTGGCAGAGACCCTGTGTTGGGGCAGAGAGAGGCATGGGGAAGATGACCTCGTCAGCTCCACTCCATGGCAGGAGCCGAGGCACAGTCAGGCCAGCAGTTGGGCCTGGCCAGGGTTATAGGCCAGCAGCTGGGCATGTGGCTTGGCCAGAGAAGAACAGACAGTGCAGGCTGGGATGAAATATTTAGGAGCCCACATCCCTTGGAAGTGGAAACTGAAAAGCAAAATGAAATGCTGAGATGTAATTACCCAGGCAGGCCAAGCATGTCTCCCTGCCAGAGGCAGGCTCGATGCCCCCTCCCACCCACCCCACCGCCACAAGTAGGCGTTGGGTAATGAAGTCCCCCTGGACCCTTCTCCTGAGCTAGCCCTTGCCCCTCCTCTTCAGGCCAGGCTAGGAGCAAGGGGTGGCAAAGAGCCCGGCTCTGGCTCCCGCAGGCCACTCCTTTTGGTGGCAGAACAGCAAGAAATACAGAAAACCGGGGGGCTGGGTCAAGCCCCAGCACTGGATATAACCAGACAATCCCTTCACTCCACCAAGCTTCCTCAGCTGGAAAATGGGGCTGCTGGCCCACACCGGGGAGGAGGGACCAAGAAGATGGATGTGAGAGCTCCGTCAGCTGGCCTTGGTGGAGGGGGTGGTAACAGGATGCCTTCCCAAAGTGAGCACGGCAGCAGGGACCAGCCTCACCCAGGGCAGCAGGAGAGGCCTTCTTGAGACACAGGCCTGTGGGGACTCAGGTTGGCGAAGCTGATGGACAGATGCTGGGGGCTGGGGCCCAGGGCCCAGATGTGAGCCTTGAGCTGAAGAAGTCCCCACCCCACCCCAGAAAACTTCCCCAGGCTCTTAGCACTGTTGGGAAAAGGCTTGGAGCCTCAACGCTTGGGGGCTTGCTTGGCTAGATGGGGGACATGGGGGGTGGAAGACAGGAACCAGGTAGGGAGGGAAAGGGGATTCCAGGCTTGGATCCTGGGAGCAGCCTTGAGTAGGGTCAGGAGAGCCTTGGGGAGCAAGGGCAAGGGGCAGGGCCTCTTCCTGTATGCTGGAGCTGGAGCTGGGGGAGGGGTGGGTAGCCTCTGCAAGTTTTTCTCAACAGACATTTGGAGTGGGACAGCTTTTCACAGTGTGGGACTGTCCCGTGTTACAGTGCAAGGGACTAGACGCTCAAGTAATTGTGATAATCCAAAGTGCCCCACATATTTCCCCACATGTCCCACATGTCCCCAGAGGTAGGGTGCAGCTGTCCAGAGTTGAAAGCTCCTTTCTGATCTAAACCAGAGAGGGGCCAGGATTTGCCCGAGGCTGACCAGCACATGCCGCTCTCACACATTCTGCCCAGGCCCCTCTCAGGCTGGCTCTGGAGCCCCAGATAGCTCAGCGTCCCTGGGGCAGGTCCAGCCACACCTGGTAGCAGCCAGCTGACCCCTCAGGCCCTAATTCACGGCGCACCTCCACTCCTGTCGACACCATCTTTCCAGACCACAGCCCCACACCTGCCACACAAACCTCAGCCTACCCAGCCTGGCCCTTACAACTTTCCACCAAAACTCTAGTCCCACCTGGTCACTCCCATCCCTCACACCTTCAGTGGCTCTCACCTCCCTCAGGGCCAAGTCCAATCCTCAGCCCTGTCCTGAGGCCCTGCAGGACTGACTTCATCCACCCCCAGCCTCCTCTCCCACCCCCAACTCTAACAGCACCTGCAGTTTCCAACATACATCAGAGCCTTTAGTCAGACTCTTTGCTCTGCCTTTGATGTCTGATTCACCTTCCCAGACTCTTTTCTTCAAGTCAGCTCCATCTGTTCTTAAGGATTCAGCTCGGGCCTCCTCCTCCAGGAAGCCTTTATGGGTATCCCCAAGCTCCTCCTCCCCTGGGCACCTATAACAATCTCAATGTCTCAATCACTGCACTTCGCACAGTGAATGAAAGTTACGGGACTAGATGCCTCTGTGCCCACCAGCCTCTGACTCCAGCAGTGGCCACTGCTGGGCCCTGGATCCACACACTGCCAGGCACAGAGCAGTCACTGTCACTGACTCAGCAACCTCCAGTGCCAGGAGCTGTCCTAGATTCTGTGGGTACAGCCTGGAATAGGACAGATAAGCCTGCCCTCGTGGAGCTGACATCCATCTATGAAGCCAACAATAGGGATGAAAGAATGAACAAATGAATGAACATGCTAGGTGGTTAATTAACTAACATTTGACCTATTGTCCGGAAGGCTCCCGGACCCATCTCCAGCTCCTGTTCCTCTGCGCTTCCTGTCTTCCCCTACTCTCTCCTGCCCACCTTCTGCTTCTTCTCTGTCTCCCCCCAAATACACACTCTCTTCGATCATTGCACAGCCCCTCATGTTCACACAGCACTCCCAGTAGAGTAACCTTTCTACGTGTTGTCTCCTGAGCTCCTTCCAGTCCACCCAGGTCCTAGGTATGATGACCATTTTACAGATAAGGAAACCAAGCCCCACCAGCCAGAGCCCAGTGCTGCGGTCCACACCTTCCCTTCTTCCACCCCGTCTTCTTCCCCACCTCCACCTTTCTATCTCACCGTCCTCTCTGCTTCCTGCCTTCTGGGTTGACCTGACAAGTGGCCTCTGCTCTCTCAGCCTGTTTCCTACCTGTGAAATGGGGTGGGCATGGAGGCTCAGGGAGATGGTCACAGGGCCTCCACTGTCCCCTGTCCCGCACCCCTCCGCAGCCCCTACTGCGTGGCCCTCTGTTCACTCTCCGCCCTCCCTCCCTCCTCTCCTCTTACTTGTCACTTTGTCCTGCTTCCTCTCCTCCCCATATCCCAAGGCCTCCCTGGGGCCCCAAGCCGTCTGCAAGAGTCGTTAGCTTTCCTTCTGGCTCATTAAAAAGCAGAATTTGCATAGAATATCCATATGATCATTCTGTCTACCGCAAAATGGGGCACAGATATAATGGGGCAGCATGTAAGTGAGGGAGAGAGGAAAGGACGGTCACAACGGGAGGCTGAGAGAGGCCCAGGCGCACCCCCAGGTCTGAGGCCTCAGAGGCAGCCCCTCACTCCCTCCAGCTCTCACTAGGCCTTTCTGTTGGCTAATTCCTATCTCTGTAATTCTTACAATAACCAGCAAAGTCGGAATACAGTTGTCCCCATACTACAGGTGGAGAAACCAAGAGCCAGTGAGGAACAGTGGCTCATCCATGGACACAAGGCAAGTCCAGCAGGCCGGGGAAAGCGCTCTCTGCCAGGGCCAGCCCACCCGCCTCACGTCACCTGCTGCTCTTTCAGGAAGGCTGCCCCTCCTTACTCTCAGAAGGCAGGCATGCAGCCAGGACACCCTCCCACCACCCTGAGATAGGACCACCTCCCCTGGAGGTCTCTCCCATCACTGCTCCTCAAGGCAGCCTCCCTTCCCCGACTCCTGCCTGGCCTTCCCATCCCTGCAACAACAGTTTAGCCAGAGACACAAGAGATTTTTGGAGACAACTGCTTCAAACCTCTCGTCCCAGCTTCATCGTTGCATTCAGACCTGCCTTGTCCCAAAAAGAATTTGCAGCAGTGCCCAGAAATAAACATGTATATAGCTAAAAAAGAAACTGGTAACAAAACCAAGGGGAAGAGACTGCACTTCACAGATGAGGCCCCACTCAGCATCCATAAGACTTGCCCAGAAAGGAGCCCTTGGTTGGGCTGGAGCCAACCAGGACTTCCCAGAGCAGCTGACCTTGGGGCAGACTCACCGTCCATGGTATTGAAGCCAGGAGTGCCGTGCCTGGCCCCGCAACCCCTCATCCTCCAGCCCTCTGGCCACAGGCAACCCAGAAGCAAGGCTGGTGGGCCCAGACTTCAAATAAACCCCAAATCTGTCCCTTCTTACCACCCCCACCCTTGGTCCAGGCCATTGTCACCTCTTGCCTGGACTACAGTGGCCTCCACACTGGCCCAGGGCCCCACTCTATTCCCTGCACAACAGCCAGAGGGATCTCGACCCTCCTCTGCTCCTGACCCTCCAACGGCTCCCAGCTCACCCAGAACAAAAGCCAAAGTCCCCACAGGCCCCCCCAGGGCCCCATGCAATTTGCCCTCCTCCGGCCGTATGTCTCCCTGCCTCACTCATTCTGCCCCTGCCTCCTGGTTATTCTCCAAATGCCGGGCAGGCACCACCTCAGGGCCTTTGCACATGCCAGTTCCCCTGCCTGGGGCCCTCTTCCCACAGATCTCCACCTGGCTAATGCCCTCGCTGCAGCTGGGGATCTGCCAAAAGTCACCCCTGCAGAAAGCCAGGGTGAGGACCGAAAGGCCGTCAACCTTGCAGGGAAGAGTCTCCCTTACTTGCCCCTCTCTGTCCACTTACACTGCTTTGTTCCTCTTCAGAGCAGCATCTTTCACAGCTGGTATCTCAAATTATAATTATACAGTGATGTGTTTGCTTATTCACTGGAAGCTCCTCCTGCCCTTTCCCCAAGTGTGAGCCCCACAAGGCCAGGAGCTTCATCTGCTTAGTCCACGGCCGTACCCCAGTGTCCTGGTCCAATGCCTGGCACATAGTCAGTGCTCAATAAATATTCATTCTGCAGATGAATAAATTACTGTGGAGGAAAGGGATGCAAAGGCTGGAGGGCAGAAGGAAAAAAATGGCCACGCCCCTCCTCACCAGCCATACCCCTGGGGCAAGTCTGTGGGATTGGGAGGCCCGGGTCCCACCTTCTGAGTCCCTGAAAGTCCCAGAAGCATGAGGGGAGCCAGCACCAGAGCAGTGGCTGCCAGGGGATTCAGCCCTCCCAGACCACTTTCAGAAAGGGGCCGTCACAGCTCATACTTGGTCACGCAGGAGTCACACGTGACTTGAGGGATCCTGATCCACTTCTCTCTTCTCTCTCTCTCTCTCACACACACACACACATACACACACACATACACATACATATACACACACACACACACACAACCCTTACCATGCCAAGGTCTTCCAAGCCTCAGACCAGGTGGCGAAACCAGGGACCCTTTGAGATTACCCTGCCCCCATCCCTACCTCTTTCCTCCCTAGCCCTAGAACTGCTGGCCTCTGTGGGGCAGGGCCTTCTGAGGCCTGCCCATCTGACAAGCCCACCAATGCTTCCCTGGGGAAGGCCAGATGAAGGGAACCAAATTCTCCACTTAAAAGGAGGACTCAGTCTTCCCACCTTCGAGCTCCAGAGCAAGGGCCAGTTTCGGAGTCATGCAGAACTGGCTACAAAGCCCAGCTCTGCCCTGACAAGCTGGGAGGGCCCAGGCAAGCTCCTGGGCACCCTGGGCTGCAGTCACCTCCTCTAAAGTGGGGACAATGCTCAGGACTTCTGTGCAGGGGCTGAGGCTGGGGCCGGGGAGCAGCATCTGTCATGACAGTTCATGAACATGGCCTCAAAATGTGTGTATTACACACAAGGAGTCTCAGGGGTCTGTACACAGGCCAGGCCAGGCTGGCTGTGTGGCTGGCATGGGAGGCCGAGTCTCTTCAGGCTCAAGGGCTCTGGGAAGAAGGAAGAGGGACCAGGTTGGGGAACATGGAATATCAAGGCAGAAATGTCCGCATGCACCATTCGTGCCCAAATACATGAGCTCACTGAGGAAGGCACACAGTCCCTTTTTGGTCTTAGAAATGAAAAACCGGAGGCTCAGGGAGAAGTGAATCATGTACGGCCATACAGTGGTAGAGGGTGGGGCTGAGAGTGGGACGCAGGCTGCTGGACATCCCCGCCCCAGGGCACTTGGTGGGCCCATGTAGGCCTGAGGTGGGAAGCGCTGGGTGGTGAATGTGAGACAAGGAAGGAAACGGTGGGTTCACAGCGTCCCTCCAGGGATGCAGAGAAAAAGGCAGCTGGGGCTTATCTCAGCCACATCCCCAAGGAGCTCAGAGTGGGGGACTTGGAGTGCCAGGAACCCCACCCCAGCCAGGAAAGCAGGCAGAAGTCCAGGGTCAGCAAACAGGTGAAGACGCTTTCCTGAAGGTCAAGGCCCAAACCCGAGCTGGGGTGAGCAGGGCCGCAGGCTTCACCACTTGCCCTTTAGCCAAGGGAAGAAACTGGAAGGATCCCTGTCCAATGGGAGCCTGCGGGACAGATCCCTGTCCAATGGGAGCCTGCGGGACAGATCCCTGTCCAGTGGGAGCCTGCGGGACAGATCCCTGTCCAGTGGGAGCCTGCGGGACAGATCCCTGTCCAGTGGGAGCCTGGGGGACAGATCCCTGTGTGCTCTGAGTGAAGAGGCTCAGTAAGGAGGAGAAAGAAACAACAGAAGAAAATGAGCTTGAAGAAATGGGATTCCAGTTTAGAGATTTGTCAAATATATCAAAATAAATAAATAAATAAATAAACAGAGGCCAGAGAAGTTAGGGGGCAGACCGCTGTGGAAGTAGCTACTCTGTGGGCTCCCCACTGGGCCCAAGAACAAGACACACAGGAAGCCAGAGACCAACTGTGGTGCTTGACCCTCCATGTGGCAAAGTGAGACAGGAAAGCCACGAGAAGTCAGTGAGGGATGTGAAGACCTGTGTTGTGGGGGACTCAGAGGTCCCCTGATGTGTTGGCTGCATGCTGTCGATAAAGCTGAGGCTCAGAGAGGGAAGGTTACCAGCCTGAAGTCACACAGCCGCCCAGGGACAAGAGCCAGGACCAGAACTCAGCCCGCCTCCCAGCCCAGGGCCCGCTGCCCTGCTCCTATTCTCTGGTTAAGAAGGAAAACAACTAATGCCTTTGAGAGCACCAGTGCTCGGTGCAGTGCCCGGCCCACCCGGCAAGCACCGTATAGGTATTCACGCACTTAACCTCACAACAAGCTGTAAGTGAAGGACTATTACTATCCCTGTTTGACAAAGGTGGAAACTGAGGCACAGAGCCCCTCGGTAACTGTTCAGGGCAGCACAACTCATGATGGCAGAGCCAGATTTGAAGCCAGGCCGTCTGCCCCAGTGTCTGGGCTCTTGGCCACTCTATTCTCCTGCATCACTGGGGAAAAGGACCGGATTCAGAACGCCAAAGCCACAAAGGGGCTGCCACCAGCAAAGGGAATTTTTTCAAACCCCAAAGGAATCTTCAAACACATTCCACAAAGGAGGCTGTGAAAGAAAATGTTGCTTCCTGTCAGGAGGGAAGAGATGCAAATTCAGAGCAAAAAGGGCTCAGCATCTGACGTTTTCCTCCTGTCATTCCCATCAAGCTCAGAGGCGAATGCAGACGGGAGCATGTCCCCGTCTGGACGAGCGCATCAGGCAGAGGGAGCCAGGAAAAGTGGCCGCACTGAAAGAAAAGCAGCAGGCCCGGCGACACCAACCTGGGGACTTACAAAATGCAGAGGTGTCAGGCCCTGCACAGGTCAGAATGGCAGAGGAATCCAAGCCGACAGGCGCAGTCCCGGAGGCGCACCAAACAAGCGCGTGGTTCATCTTCACAACAGAACAGAGACTGACCTGGCAATCATGAGCAGTCACATTAACACCAACACCTTGCCAATCTCCAAGCCCTGGCAAGGAGACCCAGCTGGCGCGTGGTGGGTCTCGTGGCTTGGCAGGGGGCACACGTGCCAGGTCCACTTAATTTCCACCCGCAGCAGAGTGACAGGTGGCGTACAAGGGCAGCGGAAGGCAAGATGGGTCTTGGGTCTAGAAAGCCCTGGTTGATAGGTTAGAATGGGAGGTTCTGGCTGCAGGGTGGGGCCCACTCCCCTGCGTCCTGGGAAAACACAACGTCAGAGGGCAGAGTGCTCAGCCTTGGGCCGCAGGGTCCCTGGGTCCCAGGAGGCAGCTGGTGGAACAGTACAGAGGCCTCCCGCTTTGAAGCTGCTAAAAGTCACCTGATACTTGGATACAAGCTAAAGCCAGCGGCAGCACCCCTGCCTGCTTCTACCCACCTCAAACCCCCGCTCCCTGCTCATTTCAACCATGGGTCATCTGATGAGGTGGGAGGGTTGCATGCTCCAGGCACTGCCACCATGCAATTGGCCCCAATCATTCCTGAACCGAAACGCCAAGCCCTGAGGGGTCACCCCTGACATCCACTCCTTTAGGCCTTGCCGGACGCTTCCTTTCCAGCACTCCTCTGAGAGACACATTCTAAACAAGTAGTTTTCAGTGGGTGTCTGAGGGTGTCTTCAGGATGGGTCCAAATTGTGGGGAACAGGTCTTTGCTCTCATGAAGGATGCCTAGAGCCAAGGCCATGGAGGGCGAGGATGCAGCCTGTCCGTGCCAGCTGGACCTCAGAGGCGGGCTGCTGTACCCACTCCCATCACAGGTGAGAGGAGGAAGCCCAGGGAAGAGGGCTGGTCATCTGCTCACTCACTCTTCACTCTGCAGCGTGTGCTGAGGCCCTGCTATGTGCGAGGGAGGGCAGGGGGCACAGAGCTAGGTGGGGTCCTGTCCCTCCCTGGCCTCAGGAGCCATCAGTGGGGCAGGGGCAGAGGGAAGGGTCAGCAGGCGCTGTAGCCCACCTGAAGGGGCTTCCCAGGGAGCCTGGGGGGGAAAACTCCACCCCCGCCTGCTCCACCAAGGAGCACAGCTCTGTTTGGGACAGGGCAGGTGAGGGGCACCTGCAGGGAGGAGGGGCCTTGGCTCTGAGCCTCAATGGCAAGGGGACCCCTCAGGGCCCTGAGCAAGTTAGGCACGACAAGTGGAGATGGTCAGCCAAGCCAGCGCGACCCCAGCACGACCCCAAGTGCCAAAACATTTCAACATGCGGCATTGGCCTAAAAGAAACTCTCCTCAGCCCCACCTCACATGGCTCCCCACCCCACGGCCACAGGAGCTCCAACCCAGGCCTCTCATCGCTTCCATCTGCCTGTTCATTCACACCTCCAGGCTTTTGTTCCTACTGTTCTCCCACCTGGCGTGCCCTTTCCTTCCTCCTCTTGTCCAAATACACCTCCTCCAAGCCCTGCTTGCCTGCCCAGCCTGGCTAGGCTGGAGCCCCCGCAGTCCTGGGATTTGTGTCTTCACTTCAATGGACACATCACCACATCCCTTTTTTTACTTATTCAGGCGGGCTCTGCTGAGCACCTACTGTGTGCAGGGCAGGTGCTAGGGCTGGCTGTGCATGGCTCCTCTCATGCCCACCAAAAGGGCCTGAGAGCAGGGCCTGCAGCCTGTCTCTGTCTCACGCTGGGGCTGGGAACGTGCCCAGGGAACAGGGCTGGTCGTCTGTTCACTCACACTTCACTCTACAGAGTCATATGCTATGCTGAGGCCCTCTATATGCAAAGGAGGGCAGGGGGCACAGCACAGGGGCGAAATAAATCTAGGAAGTCCCAGCCAACTGGAGACTCAAGCTGGTGGAGGACTGAGCCTCTTTCCCTTCCTGTCCCCCAGGGCAGCAGCACTGCAGGATGAAGCACCCAAGGCCAGCAGTGAGGAATGGCAGGAGGCGCACCCCACAGTTCACCTGACGCAGCTGCTGACAGGCCCCAAGTTCCTGCTCCCTACCTTATGCCTCCAGGAATGGATTTCTGTCCTCAGTGAGTCAGTAGAGAGAGGAAGGGGAACAGCCAGGGAGCTCAGTAGGGCAGGAGGTGGAGGTCCCAGGGTAGCCTGGCCTCACCCCCAATGCCTACACCCCGTCAGCCTCAGTTTGCCCCTCTGTAGGCTGAGAGAGCAACCTCTCAGGTCTAGGGGTGGGAAGAGAGCTAAAGAAGAAGTGAGTAGTTGGGGGCTGGATTTTGCAATTAACCATTCATTCAACAAACATTTATTGAGCAACTACTATGTGCCAGGGCTGTGTTAGATGCTGGAGATGCAGCGGAGAACAAAACAGATTAAAATCTCTGCCTTGGTGGACCATATACAAACAAATAAAAATGTATTAGTCTGGTGCTATAAAGAAAAACAGAGCAGGGTACGGGGACTGGAGAGTAGGACGGAGGCAGGGGCTGTTTCAGATAGGCTGGTCAGAGGCCTCTCTGAAGGGAGACATCCGAGAAGATACCTGAAGACACCAAGAATGCAGGCCGTGTGGACATGCAGGAGAAGCTTTCCCACAGGAGGACCAGCCCGTGCAAAGGCCCTGAGGCGAGCTGGTGCCTGGAACATTTGAGGAGCTGCAAGATAGCTGCTGTGGCAAGAGCGAGGGAGAGGCACGGAAGGAGGCAAGGCCAGAGAGTGAGGAGAGGCAGCGGAACAGGCACCCTTAATGTGAGTGGGGCCAGCCCCCTTGGCTCTGGCCGTACAGATCTCCACCTCATCCCCGTGGAGCCTCCGTAGATGGGGTGCTCCATTTACAGCCAGGGACGCCACATGCCGAGAGTCTCACAGCCCACTGGATGAGGAGCTGCCCAGCCTGGGCCTCCTGCTGCCCAAGCACTGTCTCCTCAGCGGGCTGCCAGCCATGCCATGCCACTGTGCTGACAGAGGCCATCTACATGCAAGTCTGATGCTCAGCCCTGGGAGTCGGAGCAGGAGGTCAGACCCAGCAACAGCTTGACTCACCCGCATCTCTGGAATATCAATGGAGGGCACAGCAACACAGCCAAGAGGTAGGGCCTCAGAATTTCCTGCTGTTCAAGGAACGAGACATCCTCCAAGGAGCAGGCCAAGCCCCCCACACTCCTTCCTGCCACACTCAGAGAGGCCATCTTGTTTCCACCCTTAAGGCACAGATGTGCCCAGACATGCTAGATGCACTTACCTGAGAGGACTAGAGACAAACTCTCAGGTGACCCCGTGGATAGGACTTCCTGCCCCATGCACCACAGAGGGTAAGTTCAGTGGCTGGGGAGAGTATCTGCAGGATTCAAATCCTGCCCCTGCCACTTCCTAGCTGTGTGGCCTCATGGGAGTTACTTAACCTCTCTGAGCCTCTGTTTAGCCATTGGTATAATGAGCTGTCTTGAGAGCTAAATGAGGTAATATGTACAAAGCACTTAAAACAGGCCTGGGCCAGGTGCAGTGGTTCATGCCTATAATCCCAGCACTTTGGGAGACCAAAGTGGGAGCATCACTTGAGCCCAGAAGTTTGAGGCCAGCCCGGGCAACATGGTGAGACCCCATCCCTACAAAAAATGAAAACAAAATTAGCCGAGCATGGTGGTATATGCCTGTGGTTCCAGCTACTCGGGAGGCTGAGGCAGGAGGATTGCTTGAGCCTGAGAGGTTGAGGCTCCAATGAGCTGTGATTGTACTACTGCACTCCAGCCTGGGCAAGAGAGTGAGACCCAATCTCCAAAAAAAAAAAGGCCAGGCATGGTGGCTCACGCCTGTAATCCCAGCACTTTGGGAGGCCAAGGCGGGTGGATCACCTGAAGTCAGGGATTCGAGACCAACCGGGCCAACATTGTGAAACCCCGTCTCTACTAAATATACAAAAATTAGCCAGGCATGGTGGTGCATGCCTGTAGTCCCAGCTACTTGGGAGGCTGAGGCAGGAGAATCGTTTGAATCCGGGAGGTGGAGGTTGCAGTGAGCTGAGATCACGCCACTGCACTCCAGCCTGGGTGACAGAGCGAGACTCCATCTCAAAAAAAAAAAAAAAAAGCCTGCC
Source organism: Homo sapiens (assembly GCF_000001405.40). Taxonomy (NCBI): domain Eukaryota; kingdom Metazoa; phylum Chordata; class Mammalia; order Primates; family Hominidae; genus Homo; species Homo sapiens. The sequence goes on from NC_000006.12 coordinate 34,087,443, forward strand.
ACATCTGTGCCCACGTCTGTGCCACCCGCTTGCCACCGCCTGCCTTTCTCCCTCCTCAGTGACTCACTGGCATTATCTCCAGAGCCCAGGCGAGGCCTGCTCTGCATGTCTAATCCAGCCCTGGTGATGCTGCAGAGGAGCCCGGGAGGGAAGGGCAGCCTCCTTGCCTTTCCCTGGTGCAGCCTCAGCCTTGACAGGGAGGAAGAAGTCCTGGCTGCAACCAGAAGGTCCACACGTGCCCGCACACACACACACAACCCCCCCCCCACACACACACACACAGGCCCAGTCTACAGATATCCCCACCAAGGCAGGCCTACCAGTCACATGACCAGAACTTCCCAGACATGCACCCCTACACACACACACACACACACACACACACACACACACACACACGTCCTGGCCTAGCTGCCTTTGGAGTTCACCTTGCTGCCCTCTCCCCACCAGACCAGCCATACCCTAAGAACCAGGCTAGCCTGGGCTCCTGTAGTTTTGTCTCTAGCCCCATCCCTGGACACACCTGTATCTCCATTTACGGCACAGCACGGGGCCCAGCACTTCCCAGGCCTCCCCAGGACTAGCCAGGCCCCAGGTAGGGCTGGGACCCAGGCAGCCAGACCCTGACAAACCCTCCAGTGCGCATTCCTGAGCTCCCGCCTGTATGTGCCAGGAGCACGTTTCACTCCTTTTTTTTTAAGACAGATTCTTGCTCTGTCACCCAGGTTGGAGTGCAATGGCGCAATCTCGGCTCACTGCAACCTCCACCTCCCAGGTTCAAGCGATTCTCTTGCCTCAGCCTCCCAAGTAGCTTGGGATTACAGGCTCGTGCCACCAGTCCCAGCTAATTTTTGTATTTTTAGTAGAGACGGCGTTTCACCATGTTGGCCAAGCTGGTCTCAAACTCCTGACCTCGTGATCCGCCTGCCTCGGCCTCCCAAAGTGCTGGGATTACAGGTGTGAGCCACCGTACCCGACCACACATTTTACTCTTATACCTTGCTTTATTCCCATTTCACAGATAAGAAACTGAGCCCAGAAAGACGAAATGATTTTCCCAAGACCGCACAGCCAATCAGCATCCGAGACAGGGCACAGGTCTGCCCGAAGGAGCCTGACCTCTTAAGCACCTGCCGCCGCTTCTGCAATGCAAGCTGGAGGAGACAGGGTGTATAGGTAGAGTACCTGGTCTGACAGCCCTAGCTCCAAGTCCTGCTCTGACACCTGGCTGTGTGACCCTAGGCAAGCCACATCACTTCTCTAAGGCTCAGTTCTCCCATCTGCAAAATGGGAAAAAAACACCTAGCCCACGGGTGTTTCACCTAGCCACATGGTTATTACCAGGATCTGTAATAGTCACAGGGGGTGTCTGGCCCAGGCAGGGCTCAGTCAAGGGCCACAGGATTGCCCAGAGCATGTGTAGACAAGGGTGGGAGTGGGGAATGCCAGTGCCAGGGCTTCCTTTAGGCCTGGTGCCAGTGGCCCAGTCAGTATTGGGCCACTCCATGTGCCACCTACAGGCTCCCCACCTGCAGGACAGAGCCAGGTTCCCATCCCAGCTCCTCCATGTTCTAGCTCTGTGGCCTTGGGAAAGTGACCCACCCCCTCTGGCCTCCATTTCCCCATCTATAAAATGGGCATAGTCATGCTCCTCTGAAGCACCCAGAGACCAGCACACAGTTGGCACCCAGGACTCACTCACCACACTTCCAACATGCATCCCAGCCTGGCCAGCATGCCCTCCCCACCACTCCCCTCTCTGGTGCTCCTCTGAGCAACTCACAGATGATTTATACTTCAGAGTACGAATCAATACAATATACGGCCAAAGACATCTTTAATCTTTCACAGGGATTAGGCTACAAGGTACAGTGGCCTCTTTCTACTGGCTGCTCAATTCTGATTTCAATTTGGCCAGCTGAAGTGCAGCTCTCTCTCTCTCTCTTCCTTTCTTTTCACCCACTAAAAGATGTTCCTCCAAATCAAATTTCATTTATTGGGTTGCGCGACGAGACCTAGCTGCCTGAACTGCCCTGGCCAGGCCCCCGTAGGATGTTGCACACTGGCATGGGGTGGCCTTGGAAGTTTGGGGACGTGGGAGGCCCAGCCAAGCAGGAAGCCAGGCCCTCAGATGGTGCATGGGGTGTGGCAGGTATTGTGAGGGGCGCCTCTGCCAGGACAGGAGTGCCCCGAGCTGGAGGCCCTTGCATAATGGCAAATTTTATTTTTCTAGATCATGAAGTCCTTTTAAAAAATCTTGAGTAGACTTTATTTTTTCTAACCGCCCAATACTTGATTAGATGTTGATAAAAAAAAAATTAAACAATAGGCTTACCTTCAGCCAAAACACAATGCCCAGACCCCACCCCCATCCCATGCCTCTCCTGTCCCTCCAGGCTGTGTGTACATGGGTGTGCCTGTGTGTCCCTGTCATACCCTAGCACTTGCACAGGGGCTGGCCCATGTGGGTCTCAGTGAGCACGCAAATGACAGAAGACAGAGAAGACAAGAGTACAGAAACAGATGAGACCTCTAGTTCCGGAGCCAGCCATCCTGGGTTCAAATCCCTTCTCCACCTCTTACTTGCTGTGTGGCCTGGTGCTAGCTATTATTCAGCCTCTCTGTGCCTGCACTTCCTCTCCTGCAAAATGGGGATGAGGCAGCATCTACCTCGTAGGGCAGGAAGGACTGCCCAGGACAGCAGGTGCTGGGCACAGAGGGAGGCCTGCATGAGCACTGGGGGTGGCTTTGAGGTCCCTCAGGGCAGGGACTGAACACAACTGAACACGGAGACTCAGGGCCCTTGATCCCTTCCCCCATCCTATACCTTTGCCCCTAAATCCTGCAGAGGTCATGCATTAAACAGAAAAGGTAGGAGGTTGGTTTGGGGAAGAGTTGAAGCCACAGAGGAGGAAAGGAGCCAGCAGAGCAGAGTGGGAGGTGCTGTCCAGAGGTAGGTGCCCAGGTCTTGGGTCTGAGCAAAGGAGGAAAGGACATGTGGGTGGCCCAAGGGAGGGGCTGGGCTCTGGGGCTCGGAGGCTCTGACACTGTCCGCCAGGGTTCCCAGGTGCTATTGCCAGCCCATCTGGAGCTGGGAGTGGAGTCCTGTTCACCTCTGCTTCCTTTTGCTCTGCCAGGCTGCAGAAGTGGGGAGTAGCCTGGAGCCTCAGCCATCAGTCAGTGCTGCCCCACTTCCCGCCGCCCCGCTGCCCCCTCCACCAGGTGGAGGCCCCCAAGCAGCTTCAGCTGTACAATTAAAGGGGCTTATCCGAGATTTATAGCAGGATTATGCCCACGGGGTGTTACCAACGGCAGCCTCTGGACACTCTGTAGTCCTTAGGAAAAGCAATTAGAGTCCTGAGGCCATGAGGGTATAAATATACAGACGCCATCACCCAAGGTCTCGGGCACTGGTGAGCTGTGTAGAGGCAGGGCCTTGGGAGAGACCAGGGGCAGGGCAGACGGGCCCTCTCTGCAGGAGGTGGGTCTGCCAGGAGGGAGAAGGGCCTCCCCACTTCCCCCACACACAACAGGGCCCCGAGGAAGTCACAGGCACCATCCTTCAGCCCCACAGCCCCCCAGGAGCTGTCCCCTCTTGGCTCACCCCAGCCCAGGTGGAGGCCCCCAGCCTAGGGCTGCCTGCTGCCCCAAGATGCCCACAGCTGCAGCCCATGCAGCCAGCCCTCTCAGGGCACCAGCAGCAGCACAGACCCAGCCAGGGGCCTGCTCCCGGGCCCTGCTAGGTGGGAGTCACCTGCCAAGGGGATAACCCTTGTTATCGCTCAGCCACTTATCACTGGGGACACCTGAAAGCTTTATCACAGAGCATCTGAGGACAGCAATTTAAGGCAATTCAGCACGCTTAATGGGGGAAGATGGCATCAGGGTACGAGGGGGAGACCTCGAGGAGAATAAATACTTGCCAGAGTTCCTCAAACCCCACCCACAGGGACACCTTCTTTACTGATGCCCAAACCAGCACAGACCACCCGCGGCCCTCCACCCTCACCCCCACCACAGACAGGTTAATTTTAGGGGCTCCAAATTCCTCATTCCTCTGAGAGCCTGCCTGGCTGTCCGCCCATCACCTGAGTCCCTGACAGCCCTCTAAACAAGGCCCCTCGTCCCCACCCCATCCCTTCCTCTGCTGTGAGGAGAGCGGCCGCCCCGCAGGCTCCTGCACCAGGGAGGTCAACAGTCCCCTCATCTGCACACCCACGTCTGCAAAGGCCTCACAGTCGCCGTTGACCGGAGTCACCCAGAGCCCAGTGAGGCCATGGACCAAACCACAGTGCTCAAAGAAGAGGCCGAGGCCCACCTGGCAACAGCCAGGCAGTCAGAGCCTGTATCAGGCCCCGGCTGGGAGCTCCTGGTGGGTCAGTCACTGTGCCGGGACACCCCCGAGCCTGGCATGACTCTGCGGCCAGGCGTTTGACTCACCGTCCTCACGGGACTTCTGGATGAAGGCCTCCACACCGCTCTCACCATAGCTGCCCTCCGAGGCCACTGTGGACACATAGTTCCACTTGAGGGCACGGACGATGTCCACCATGGCCTGGGCCTGGTACGTGTCCGAGGGCACCACGCGGGAGAAGAAGTCGTAGCGGCTGTTGTCACTCAGGTCTGGCGCTGTGGAGGCGTAGCTGATCTGGGGTATCTGAGGGGCGAGAGGGGCTGCTGAGGGTGGCGACTGGCTCCCCACCCTGCCTAGCCAGCCCCATTCCCCTACACACCAACCTCCCTTTGGTCCCCACAGCCTTGGGACCACCACAGCCCACCCCTCCCCATGGGCGATGCCTCCTCCTCCAGAAAGTCTCCCAACCGGCCTCCCTGGGGTCCCCAAAGACACCCCAACCACACACAGATACACACACAGGCACACACATACATACACCACACACACATACACCCTGGGAGCCTCTGGCTGCCTAAATTTACACAAAGAGCTCAAAGATCCCAGCCCAGGGAAAATCCCCACATACGTGAGATGATTCAGCCTGGGGATGGGGTGGGATTTGGGTGTTGGGAGGGGCCCTGAGGGGTCATGTGGCCCATCCCATGTCCCCAGGCAGCTCCTCTGGTCAGGACCCAGCAGACCCTGTCCCCACAGCTCTCTGCCAGCTCAGCCTCCTTCCTCGTGCCCTGCTCAGAGGAGATGGAGCCTCGATTCCAGCTCCCCTGTCCCCCACTCCAACCCCAAGGATGGAAGCCCAGGAAGCTAGTGGGGTGGGCTTCAGGAATTCCCTTCTCTCTGGAGCTGGGGACACTGAGCCCAGAGAGTCACCACCCTGCCGGGTCCCACAGCCTCTCCAAGGCAGAGCCGACCCGGGGCCCTGCCCCAGCCCCGGGGCTTTCCAGTCACGGGGCATCTTCCCGCCTCCACAGGCCCCACCTGGACCCTCCCCAGGCAGGAATGAGACTCAGACCCCCTGCCTCCTGTAGATACACCCAACCATCCCCAGGACAGGGAAGGGGTATGGTCCCTCCTCTCCGCCCCTCCCCTCCAGGGCGCCACCCACTGCTCTGCTCTCCCGGCTGCTCAGGGCTTGTGGGCTCCACTCCCCGCTTGGCCCACAGGGACACTCCTCTTTCCTGTGTGCCCTCTGCCCGCTCAGTTGTCCAGGGAGACAGGGGTGGGGAATGCATATTGATCCAGGCTGGCGTCGAAACTAAGATTTTATGCCCCTAAGGAATCACTCAGATTCAATCCTGGCCAAGAAACCTGTGGCCAGACTTCAGGCCCAGTGGCAACTGTGGGTGGGGAAATGTTCCTGGGACAGGAGGGTTGGGGGTGCCCCTGGCAAGTGGTTGCCCACTTGGCCAAAGCCTAGTGTGTCCCTATCCCTGGGGCCACCCCCCAGACCAGTCAGCTCCCCTTCCTCAGGACAGGGCAGAGGTTCTGCCGACCTAGAAGCCCCACCTCAATATCCCGACATTCAACTCTATTCACTTCAACAAAGACTTTATTGAGCACCTATGATGTCCTAAGTGCTGAGGACAGCAGTGAATAAAACACTCACGGAGCTTCCTTCTAGTGGGAGGAGAGGAGCAAGCAAGCTAACAAGTGACCGGGACCATTCTCCACAGCGATGAGGCCTCACAGAGTGGCATAAGGGGGTGGGACATCGGGGTGGCAGGTGGTGTATGGGTGGCCTAGCAAGGGGTCTGTGTGGCTGGAGCAGAGCAGGATGGGGAGAGTCAATGCATAGTAGGTCCCACAGCCTCTTAATAAAGGGACAAATGACAATAAGGAAGTTGACTGGGGACAGTGAGGGTCCACCCTCCCCTGAGAACGTCCATTGCCAAAAGCATGGCCCAGCTCGGCCACCCAGCTGGCCCGCTCTCCGCCTCCCCTGTGGGAAAAGCCCAAACCACTGAGACCTTCACGGGTGAGGATGTGGTTAGGGCAAACAGTTAACTGGTTTTTTGGATTTTCTAAGCAACCAAGGGTTAACTCCCAAACCCCCTCACTGCAGCTCTTGTAGTCTTTATAAAATGGCATGTACTACATTATCCACTGGCACTGTTTGTAACAGTAAAAGTTTGGAAACGACCCACATGTCCATCAAGAGGGGATTGTTTAAAGAAGTTCCAGCCAGATGAGGAATATTACACAGCTGTGAAAAGGAATGAGGCTGATTTCCAGGCACTGCTCTGGGTGGGTCTCCAAGATATTCTGGGGTAAAAACAACAGCAATAAGGAGGCAACATGCAGGTGGAAGCTGTTTACTGTGTGAAAGGGGAGGTGCATACTTGCTGCTCTGAAACAAAACATGTGCATTGCCTCAGGGGAGGAAAGCAAGTGGCCGAGACAGGATATGGCAGGGACCTTTCACCTTCTACCCTTTGTAGGTTTCCAATGTAGAACCATGCACGTCTTCCACCCATTTGGAAAGCAAACCACACTCGACTATACTGGAATCTATGTGTCCCCTCACCTGCTCTGTCAGCAGTGACTGAAAACTAGCCCAGTCCTCTCTGCCTTGGAGAACACTTGGCATAAAAACAGCACCCTCTAAAATGTGAGCTCGGATTGGATATTTATTAATTCACTTTAAGGTTGTTATTTTTGAGGTCTGAAAATGGTATTAGAGTCATGGCTGGTTTGTTTTTAGGAAGTCTTGTGTTTTAGAGCAGTTTCTCAGCCTTTGCACTCTTCACACTGTGCAGGGGAGGTTAGTTCTTTGCTGGGGGGAGGTCCCTGAGAGACAAGTGTTTTGTTTACCTCTCTTGCTGGCCTCTGCTGGGCCCTAGCCAGGAGCGATCATCACCTGCCTGCCTCCACGCCCCTCCTGATCAGAAGCTTGTCCCTACTTCTGGTGTTTCCTCCCACCAGTCCTTGATTCCCGGCAGGGGTTGAGGGCTCAACCCGGGCCACACAGCCGGCGGCAAATGGAAACAGAGGCCCCCCCAAGATGAAGTGGCTCCTTCTCACTCATCCCTATTCCTCCTTCCAAGCTCCTTTCCAGGCCCAGGTGGTGCTCAGCACAGGTGGTGAGCAGTGGATGGACGGATGGATGTCCGGGCATCCCCTGTGGGGCCAGACTCGTTAGAAGCCTTCAGACCCTGGCCCAAATCCAGAGTGAGGCCCTGGCACACTGGCCCTGGCCCACGGCACACACTGCATTCTCCCAGAGGGTGGGGGGCCAAGCATGTGCTCCTGCAGGATATGCGCGTCAGCCTGCAGGAGAGCCCCGGACCCCTGATTTCAAGAGCGCAGGAGGGGCCCCTGACCTTCCCCCAATAATTCCTGAGACACTAGAACAAGGACCCAACTTTGAGATGCGGGTGAGGGAATCACAGGCTCCTGAACAGGATCCCGGGGATAAGCCAGCCTCCTGCGATGTGTCCACCTGCCAGCCTCTCCTGTCTGCTCTCCCCGCAGCCTCCCTCCTCAGCTCCAGCCCCACCCACACTTCCTAGGGAGACAGTTTCAAGCAGACTTTGGGGAGCTATACTGCTTAAGTTCAAATCCCAGCTCCACCTCTCACCAGCTGAAAAAAAACTTGGGCAAGTTACTTCACCTCCCCGGCCTCAGTTTCTTCAGCTGCACAATGGGAATAATTACAATAGCTGTCTCCTAAGGCTGTGAGGGTCACATGAGGGAATTCAAGCAAAGCACTCAGAACAGTGCCTGGCAGGCGGTAAGCACTAAGGGTCAGCTCTTAGGGGAGCTGCCATTCCTCCCGCTAAACCTCCTCTGGCAGCAATCGCCTTCTCTTGCCTCTCTCTGACTTTACCTCCTAGGACTCTCCCTCTCTGCCGGCCCCCTCCCATCACACACTCTCTCCATGGTCTCGTTGTTGTCATTGTCATTGTCACAGGGACATCCTGGGAATGCTATTGGGCTCTCCAAGGCTCTCTTGCCCCACCCTGGAGTGGAGGGATCGGGGGCAGGAGGTGCCAGGGGCCGCCACAGGTGGGCAGGGAGCCACGTCTGCGTCTAAGCAGGTGACTGTGACAACCTGGCCCATGTGGGGCTCTGACGTCTCTTCAACTCCCACTGTCTGCGCAGCCCAGCCCGAGCAGGAGGGGGACGTGCAATTTACATTCTCTGAGGAGAATGCTCCTCTCCTCTCCCAACAGCAGCAGCAGGAGGGGAGGGAGGGAATGGTGCCCGCCCTGGTGCCAGCTGCTCCATCCCTCTGCCTCCTTTGCTTCCCTCACCCAACACATTGAGCACCTACTGTACACTGGACACTGTTCCAGGTGCTGGGGACACAGCACCTTGTGTCACACCCTCATGGGGCAAGAGTCAGAACTCAGATTCCAGCAGCCCCTGACCAAGCACAGGCGTCCTGCTCTAGGTCCCTCTGTCCCTTTCTCCTTCCTCTTTGTCTATTTTCCTCTGTCCCCAGAGTCCATGACCTCATCTCCCACATCCAAATCCCCCTTCTCATCAAGGCCCAACTCAAATGTCACCTCCTCCAGGCAGCCCTCCCTGAGCCCTCATCCTCCAGAGGGGGCCTAGCCTCCCACAGCACTGAATGCGGCTGCCCCAAGGGCACCAGGCACGTCCTCCCGGTGTTACTATTCTCTGCCTACTCATCAATTCAACAGGCCCTCCAAGCACCCCACCTTGTGCAGGCAAGGCCACGTGGAGAGATGCAGAGTTGAACTAGACTGATCCCACCCCAAACACTAGTCAATACCCACTGCGTTCTGGGAGACATCAGCAGAGACAGCAGAAAGTGTTTGTGCAAAAAGTGCTCCACTGTCTGGGCCCCCCGAAGAGGGGTAGGTTGTATGGCCCCTGGAGTGACACGCAGTGTGCCTGCAGCCACCACCCAGGAGAGCCTCAGCTGAGGTAAGGGGTGAGTGACTGAGGGGTGGAAGGATGCATGAATAAACCTCTCTCCCTCTCCCTCTGTCTCTGGCTTCTAGAGTGACAAGGAGATCCATGCCACATGGGGAAAGACAAAAGCTGCTTCCGGACTTAAGCAACAATGAAGATGGATTCCAAGTACATCTGAGTGTGTGTGTGTGTGTGTCTGTGTGAGTGTGTGCATGCACGTGGGCACACGGGCTAGAGCGTGTGTCCTTGAGCACATGGGTGCCCCGCACATTCATTCATTTATTCCTCCTACAAAGAGGCATGGAACACCCACGGCCTCCAGGCATAGTTCTGAGGGCTGGGGATGGACTATGAACAACTGCCGTCAGCGGGCTCCAATCTAGATGGAGGCAGGTCATGCAGAGGTGCATCATAAGCTTCTGAGTCTGTTAGATGGGGATGAGGAGCCAGGAGGAAAAAGAAAGGAAAGGAACAGGGGAGTGTTGCAGAGTGGCCAGAGAGACCTCTTTTACAGTCTGTGTGAAGACCCCAGCAGGGAGGGGTATTTGAGGCCAAGGTGTTCCAGGCCCAGGGAGCAGCCAGTGCAAAGGCCATGTGTGCATGTCTGTGTGTGTGTGTGAACATGTATGCATGCCTGTGTGTGTGTGTGAGCATGGTGCATGCCTGTGTTTGTGTGAGCATGTGTGCATGCCTGTGTGTGTGTGTGTGTGTGTGCGCGCGCATGTGTGTATCCAGGCACACATGTGTGCTTAGTGCCTGGATCTGCCCTCAGGCTGCCCCAGGCCCAGCCAGCAGCCTCACACAACCAGCCCAGGCATGCTGATACCGGCTAGCACACGGGTGGTGACCCAGAACGCCCACAGCTCCAGCTCTGGGTAACTGGTTCCCAGAACTGCAGAATCTGAAAACCCGCTGAGGGCAGCTGGTCCACATCCCACACCATCCAAAGGTGGAACGGGGATGCTGGAGGGCAGGGAATGTGTCCAGCATCTCAGTGCCCACCCGGAGCACAGTCCTCAGGGTCTCTGAAGGCTGGAGCTTTGTTCAAGACTGTTCAGCTCAGTCAGGGTTGAAATCCCCACCACGAACCCCACAAGTCAAGTGGGCTCAAGTCAAGTGACCAGACATCCAGGGCCATCACCACAGACACTCCAGGGGCTACCTGACAAAGCCCACACTCCTCTTCCTGTGACCTTTTCTGTTAAAAGCACCTTTGCCTTTCCTCCTCTGCCCTAATGCTTGGCACAGCACGTAAGTGTCCAGCACCCATCGGAGCCGCCCTGCCCAGGGCTGTGTGACCCAGCTTCGCTATCCAACTGTGCAACCTTAGGCAATCAAGTGAACTCTCTGGGCCTCAGTTTCTTCCCCGTAAAGTCGTCACCATCACAACAGAGAGGACTGCATCAGCAAATATGCAAAAAGTGCTTAGAACAAGCCAGGTGCATGGGGGCCCTGGGCAAATGCTAGATATTCTTATTAGAGAGAAAGGCAGGGCTAGGATCACTGTGCCCATTTTGTAGATGAGGAAGCTGAGGCTTGGAGAGATGATAGTGTCCTCTGAGTATCTCACCAGGAGATGTCAGAAACAAGGTGCTGACTGAGCTGCTCCGGCCCATGTTCCCACCCTCCTGGGCATGCCCTCCAGGCCTCCAGCTCTGCCCCACCCTCCTTGCTGACTCTGCTCTTTCTGTTCCACCCATGGGCCAGGCCAGGCCACCACAGATTGAGGCTGGGATCTTGCAGCCACCTCTGGCCACCAGCCTAGGCCCAGCCAGGACCCAGGCAGACTTTAAGATCCCCACCTGCCTGGCGCAGCCCCTATCCCCCAGGGAGCAGGGGACCCTGCACGGGGCCAGCACAAGCCCCAGGCTTGGCTGCCTGCTCCTTGCCCTTCTGATCCTGGCTGCTTCAGGCCCTCCACTGCCGGCTCTCAGCATCAGCTGTTTGCTTCACAGATAAAAGCCAGTGATGCTTTCAGGTAACATGAAAGCTGTGGCGGACAGGAATGTGTGGTTCAGAGAAAGAGGAGGAGAGTGCTGGCTTCCAAAGGCCTTGCCTGCAACATCCCCCACCCTGACCCCTCAGGGGCCTGAGCAGTGCAGCCTCCCCTACAGCGCCTTAGCTGCAGAGAGGGGGTGGGGGCTGGGAGGGGGTGCCCAGAGGTGCAAGAGATGGGGTTGCCAGCTGCCCTTCCCTCCCTCCCTCCCTCTGTGGGCTGGGAGCCGGTCTCACCTGCACCTCCCCAGGGCTCCCCCTCACAGAGCACCTGAGCACCCCTCTGGCCAGGTGCTGAGGACACAGATTTAAATAACACTCAGATAACCAGCCTAGTTGGGGAGTCAGGCTTGTGGCTGGGAGAACAAAGATTTCCCCCAACCTCCCATGGGCAAGGGAAGAGCCACAGGGTGAGGGAAACGATGGCAGGGCCTGGGGACCAGGCTGTCTGCGCACAGAGGTCCAGCCACAGGGGCTTCCCAGGCCCCGCCAAGGAGAGCGGGACTTTCCTGGGAGCCAGGGGAGCTGTGGAGGGAGCCTGAGCAGGGGTACAGGTGGTCAGATGGCCCTCAGCCTGCCCTCAGCCTGCAGGGGAAGAGTCTGGAGATGCAGGCCCAGAAGTCCAGGAGAAGGTGGTGAGTGCACGGCAGACAGTAGCTGATGTTGCCTGAACCAAGACAGGGGCTTCGGGGTGGAGGGGAGGTGGGCGGCAGGCACTTAGCGGGAGACTCACGGCATTGGGGATCAATTATATGTGGCCACAGAGAGAGTGGGGACTAGCAGGGGGGTGCAGGGAGGCAGCAGAGGGAGCAGGGTGGGGCCAGCACATAGAGAGGATGCCAGCAGTCCCCGGCCTTCAGCCCTGACCAGGCCCATCCCTGATGCGCACCGCTGGGTTCAGGAGCAGAAGGTTAGAGTGACCCAGACAGCTTGGGACAGCCCCACGGAGGCCTCACACACCCACGCCCTCCATGGAGCTGCCCTGTCCCCAGTGATCAAAGAACAAGGCCTAGGGGAAATGGCGGGGGGCACCTGGGCAGGGGACTGTGTGGGCACAACTGGGTGGTCTTTGGGAGGAGCAGGATAGGCCCCAGATCGGGAGACTGTCTGTCCTTGCCCCAGCGCCTCCTCCAGGGCCACACATTGGGGCCCTTCCCCTTCAATACCGCCTTCCCCAACACCCGCCAGAGCCATCTGGGGAGCACCAACCCCTTCGCCACAGACCCTCCGGGAATTCGAATCAGCCCTGCCTAGGCACTCACCTCAGGACTTGACTCCCTCATTAATCAGATCTATTCCTCTGCTCTGTGGATTTAGACCAGCTGCCTACTCCTGCCCTGAGCATCTGGTCACTCTGGGGCCTGACCATGTGCCCCTGTCTGGCCCTGGCAGGCCGGCCTGTGCTCCAGTGCAATTGATCAGCCTGCGAGGGCCCACCTTGGGCCAGCCCAGACTCAGCCTTCTTCCTGGCAGCTGAGAAAGCTGCAGTTGCCACCCCAGGGCCCTTGGCCTCCCTTGCTCTGCTCCTCCCCCCGGTCTGGAGATGGACCTCCCCTCTGCCCAGTTCCAGGGTTTCTCTGGCCCTCCTCTGCCCGTATAACCTATGGCCCCCTTCCTATCACACCGTGATCTGCAGTTTCCCCTCTGTGATGGAGAGTGCATGTCAGAGTGTCCTAGGCTGCAGGCACTACTATCAAAGACAGTCGAACTGGCCACGAGGCCCATGGGGTCCCTTTGCCTCAGCTGCTCCTGTGTCCACCAGCCTCCCCCCATACACTCTCCCAGCATCCACTCATGCTCCTCCAAAGCTCTGTCAGGCCATTCATTAATTCACTCACTTGACCAGGGTTTACTGAGCACCCACTGAGTGCTCTGCATGATCCCTGCCTTCATGGAGCGGACATCCGAGTGGGAGAGACAATCAATAGTGAATGAATACACACAGAGCTAATGCTGGGTGCTGGGCAAGGGCCATCAGCCAAACATTTCAAGATCTCTGCCTTCTTGGGACCACTTGAAAAGTTCTGGACAATGAGCTGAAAGCAGAACATGTCTATCGCTTCTGTCCCACAGCACTGAATTGCAGTCGTGAGACCTACAGGGTACACATTTCCTCTGCTACTGTAAGCAATGGGTCCCTGAGCACTGTTCCAGCCCAGCCCGGGTCCCTGAGTAGAGTGCCTAGCCAACCTCCATAGACATGTCACACTGCAAGAGTTAAGCTGACGCTATTTTAAGCCACGGAGCTTTGAGGGTTTTTTGTTATGGCAGCATCACCTCACCTATGCTGACAGACACAGGGAGCGGTAAACATTAGGCTCCACCTCTGGGAGAGCCAGGAATGACTCTTATTTATTTCCACCTCAAGGGCATGGATGTGTCAAGTTCACACTCATCACAGGCTGGTTTGGGCGGAATTGTATTGAATTAGATTCACACACACACATGCAATCCTCATCATCATGAGACCTAACACTTACTGGGTGCTTACTATGTGCCAAGAACTGTCCTAAGTAGCTTCATGCACCTTAACACCTTCAATCTTACCATAGTCCTATGAGGTGGGCCCTCTTATTCTCCCCATTTTTCTGAAACTGAGGTACAGAGATGTTAAGTCACTTGCCCAAGCTCACACAGCTAGTGAGTGGCTGAGCCAGGATTTGAACTCGAACTAGCTGCAGAGCCCATGCTGCTGTCAGGTAAAACCTGTCTCCTGCGTACACGGTGGGCCTACACATGCATATGCATTTACACACACACATGCAACATCTACACACACACACTGAGAATCTGAGGGTGACACTGCAGCCTCTAGTGAGAAGGCCGCCCCCATCCTGTGGGGCAGGATCCTCAGGGCAGCAGCTGGGAGACCAGCCCTGCTTCCTCTCCTTGCTGAGCCCCCGCCTCCACTCCTGGCTGTCAAACTAAGGGCTGAAGTGGCCCACTCGTCTCCAACACAAAAGATCGGGCAGGAGCCCTGGAAGGTTGTGTAAAACGGCTCTGCTTTGAGCAATAGCTAGTTTCTATACATAATTATTAATTTCATGCTTATTATAGGCAAACCTGTCTCCCAGACGAGATGAAATTGATTTAATTAGAAATTCCATCATCAAGCCTTTTGCATCTGAACTTTTAATTAGGATCACCAACCCCACACGAGGCTGCCAGAGAGTGATCTCGTGGCCCCTGGCTTCTCTCCCGGAGGCCAGGGGTATGGCCAGGACGTGTGGACCTCCACTGCCACCTGTGCCCTAGTGGCCAGGTCAGGGCCTCTCACCAGGATCCTTACCTGTCCTCCACCCCCAAAGCATGGCCCTGAAGTCCTAAGGGTCCTCTTTTTTCTCTTGGCGCCATCATGGGGAAATAGCTTGGGAAGAGTTTGCACCATCTTGCAGCCAGCCGGAAGGACTGGGGCATTTAAGGTGTGCAGGGGACAGGAGCAATAATAGGTCTCCCCACTTCCTGCAAAATTCACACACCAGCCTTCCTTTGGGAGCCCCTGCCAAGTGCTAATAAAATGCCCTTTACAGCTCAGCTCAGAGCAGTCTGTCAGAATTACACTTGGCATTTTAACAAAGCATTTTCATGCTCAACACCTCTGATCTCATCTCCAGCCACTCCCAGCTTGGCCTCACTGACTCGGCTCCAGTCACGCCAGCCTCCTTACTGTGCCTCGAACTCTCCAGGCACACTCCGCCTCAGGGCCTTTGCACTGGCTGTTCTGCTGCCTGAATGCTCTTCCCCCAGATATGCATGTGGCTCGCTCCCTCTCATCCCTCACTTCAAGACTTTGCTCAAATGTCTCCTTCTCAGGCAGGCCTTCCCTGACCAATCCCACCTCCCTCCCCTGAACTCCACCTTCACCTCCTCTGCTTTGATTTTCTGCACAATGATCACCTACTAACACACTACATTTCCTTACTTATTTCATTTAGTATCCATCTCCCTCTAAAACATCAGCCTGGGGCTTCATGTTATTCCCCCACTGTGTCTTCAGACACCTGCCACAGGACAGGCATTCATTGAACAAAGGGGACACCTCATTCCTTCTGCACAGCCCGCCCATGAGACAAGCACCACAGTGCTGAAGCACCTTCAGCCAGTGAGGAAGCTGAAGCCCAAAGCCTCAGGGCCTTGCCAAGGTCGCAGAGCTGGTCAGCAGCTCCAATTCTCACATGGTCTGACGCTGCGCCTGGGCAAGCCAGTGGCGTCACTCTGCAGTAAGTGGGCCACCCACGGCAGTGCCCAGCACATAGAAGGTGCTCTGAGGTCTCCTTCCTCCCTCCTGGGTTCAGGCAGGACCCTCCCTCTGGCATCCCTCACCTCCTGGGGCCTGTCACACCCTGTCCCCCACTGACACCCCAGGAAGCAAACGCTGGGAAGCTGCCCCATGCCACCTCTGTCTCCCCATCCCCGGGTCCTGCCCAGCCTCTTATCAGGAAAACAAGCGGACACTTGGATTAATTTCCAGGCCCATTCTGAATTACGTTTTCCAGGAGAGAACCAGACAGACGCAGGCAACAGGCCTTTGGACAAATATTTCCCCAGAAAGCTCTTTATTCAGTCCCTTGTCTCACCCTTTTAAACATTATATGTTTTCTTAGGCACCCAGGAAAAAAGAGGGGCCCGATAAGGCCCAGAAGCTGGAGAAGAATAGTGGGTACGGAGGGGAGAGCCTCGGCAGGGCTGACAAAGGAGGCGGCTCGATGCAGGCTCAGAGGCAGGGCCGCAGATAAGAGCGCCCGAGAGAGCAGGCGGGGGCGGCGGGCGAGGGAGAGCAAACGCGATCCTCAAATCAGCACTTGTCCTATTTCATAGGCGAAATGTAGATCAATAAATTATACTCACTTTTGCAGGTTTTACATGCTGACTCAGTAACCTTGTCAACAGTGATCTGTGGGGGAGGCCGGGAGGAGCCCAGGCAGGCAGGGCAGAGGCCCAGCAAGGAGCCCCAAGGGGCACAGCCATGCCCCCTTTTCCAAGGAGGGCTCAAAGTCCAACTCCCATAGGTGAGAAGCTGCCTCGCTGTGTGACCTTGGGCAAGTCACCTCCTTTGTGAGCCTCAGTCTCCTCATCTGTCCACAGGCACCACGGTGAAAGACTGGGATGTGTCAGGCACTGCGAGGGTCCCGAGGGAGAATGAGTGTTACAGAAGCCTGGGGAGAGGGGAGGAATTGGCCCAGATGTTCAGAGCCAGCCATGCACCTCTCTCACACACAGGAGGTGCGACAGGGGCTCATGCACAGCCTCCCTTGGTAACCCTCACCACGGCCCCGAGGTAGGAAGCCAGAGCCCGATCCTCAGAAGAGAAGCTGCCCCTCCGAAGCTGAGGAACATGCCTGGGTTCACACCCAGGCCCACCCAATGGCAAGCCAGGCTTCCTCTGTGCCACAGTGCTGTCTGTGGGCCAGGACACAGGCAATGATGACCTTAGGTCACACCCAAATGTCCAAGGGGCAGAGAGAGCTGGGGGCAGCCCAGGGAGGCTGCGGGACCCAAAGGGGCGAGGCTGAGGGTGGAGCAGGGTGGGCTTCCCCGGGGCTGGGGACATGGAGCAGGCTGGGCCAGGGCCAGGCATCCTTGCCAGTGGGCAGGAGGCGGCAGCAGCACGAGGCTACTGGAGTGTTCGTGTCATCATAACAGGACTGGTGGCTGTTGGCTAACGAGCACCTACTCTGTGCCAAGCACTTCGTGTGGATTATTCACTTCTCCCTCACACAATAATCCCATGAAGTGAACACTACTTATTACCTTCATTTTTCAGATGAGGAAATGGAGGCCCAAGAATACATGGAAACAGGATGACACAGCAAGTGGCAAAGTGAGATTTGAACCCAGGTCTGTCTGGCCCCAGCCCCTAAGCACTCTCACCCCCTGCTCCCCACCTGGCACACACTGCGTGTCCATTCCCAGCCTCCTGCCCTTTGCCTACACCATCCCCGCACCCAGGAAGCAGCCAGGATGGGGAGCTGAGAGTCCCTGTTCCAGGTGTTTCCCCACCACATCCCTTGGGTGCCACTTCACATCTCTGAGCCTCAGTTTCTGCATCTGTTCAATGGGGGCTTAATTACATGACCCCTGCTGCACTGACGGGTAAGGACAGGGAGGCCTCCACAAGGTGGGAGTAACATCCAAAAGCCCGTTCTGCAAAAGCCGACAATCCTCACACAGGCCGTGGGAGGCAGGGGCGGGGCTGGGAAAACCTCAGTGTAGCGTCTGGGGTGTCGGTAACTGCACCCCATGTCCTGATGACCACATCACCAGGAGCACTGAGTGCCAGCAGTGGGGCGTGGCCAGGCCGAGAAAATTAACCATGGTGTCTGCCCAGTGCGTTCTCGAGTCAAGTTAATGTGCAGTGCTGTATGTAATATATTGCACTATATTAATATAATATGATATAATGGGATATATTACCATTATTGAACACATGAGCCGATAAAAGTCACATCACCATCTTTCCACATAATTTATATCACAGCCAGGCCAGGGCCAGGCTGGCAGCCCCAAGCTGGCAGAGAGGAGGCCCCCCTGGGGCTCTGGGGGCTTCCACTGGGGAAAAGGGTCCTGACCCCTGGGAGGGGAGTCAAAAACCAGCTTGGAAGGAAGATGGAGGCAAGGCTAGGTGACCGGCCGGGCTGGGGGTGCTGAGCTGTGGCTGGGGATGCTCAGTCCCCTCTCCCCGATGCCAGTCCTCATTGCACTTGGCCCCACTGCAGTATTTGACCCGGTAGTCCCTTCCTCGCTTGGTGGTCCCGCTCCTGGCGCTCCTTGTCCCCTCCTTCCTCTCAGCTTCCTTTGCTGTCCTGCCTCCTCTCCCTGATCCGACCCTGGTGGTCCCCAGGGCTCAGCGCTCCCTTCCCTCTGTCTGCCTCTCCACTCACTCCCTGGGGCCTGGGACTGCCTTCTCAGGGGTTCACCAGATCTCACCATGGCAGGCGAGGAGACACAGCATGCACCCCTGAACTCCAGGCTCCCATCCAGCTGCTGCTCCCCTGGGCTATCCAATGGGTGTCGCAAATTCAGCAGGTTCAAAGTCCGTCCCCGCCAGGTAACTGCTACTCTGCCTTCCAGTTATGCAGGCCAGAGTGTTGGGCAAATCCTTGAGTCCTTTTCTCACACATCCCAAACCTGATTTATCAGCAAATATTGTTGGCTCTACTTGAAAAGGATCCAAAATCCAACCACGACTCACCTCCTCCACCAGGACCGCCCAGGTCCACAGCTCCAGCATCTCTGTCTGGGCTATCACAACAGGGCCCTTAGCCTCCTATTGGGCTCCGGCCTCCCACACTTGCCACTCCCACACACATGCACAGTGCACTCCCACCTGGCAGCTAGAGGAACCCGATTAAAACCTGAGTGACACCACAGGGGTCCTCTCTTTAAGAGGATCCCATCATGGCCAGGCATGGTGGCTCATGCCTGTAATCCCAGCACTTTGGGAGGCCGAGGCAGGTGGATCACCTGAGGTTAGGAGTTTGAGACTAACCTTGCCAACATGGTGAAACCCCATCTCTACCAAAAATACAAAAATTAGCCAGGGGTGGTGGCCGGCGCCTGTAATCCCAGCTACTCAGGAGGCTGGGGCAGGAGAATCACTTGAACCCAGGAGGCGGAGATTGCAGTGAGCTGAGATCGCACCACTGCACTCCAACCTGGGAGACAGAGCAAGGCTCAGTCTCAAAAAAAAAAAAAAGAAAGAAAGAAAAAACAGAGGCTCCCTTCTCATAGAGTGAAAACCACAGCTTTCAATGGCTCCCAAGGCCTCTACACGACCTGCACCATTAGCCCCCTGGCCTCCCTTCCTACCACCCTCCCCCTCACTCACCCTGTCCAGCCACTCCAACGTCCATGTTGTTCCTCCCAACAGAGCAGGCAGGAGCCCACCTCAGGGCCTTTGCACTGGCTGTTTCCACACACCACTCCCTGCAACACCACACCTTTCATTCACGCATCTAGTGAGGACTGTTTGCCTCCCGCTGGCACGTCAGTCCCATGAGGGCAGGGGATTTGTCGGCCTTGCTCACTGCTAGAGCCCCAGGACTTAGGACAATGCCTGGCACCCACACTGTCATCTTGCAGGTTCTGCAAATAAATATTAATGACAACTACAAACAGGCGAGCCTGAGCGGCAGTTGGCTTTCACCTGCTTCTCATTATCAGGTTTCTTCAAGATTCTGTTGGGGGAAACTTTCTCCTTCCAAAGAGAATCTGGAAACTCCTGGCCTGGTGTGGATGAGGCAGCTGAGGAATGGACGGGCCAAGTGGCAGCAATTCAGCCAAGACCACAGGTGGCTGGAGGCTGGCCCCTCCCTCTGCCCAGCACGGCCTCCATGGCCCTAGGGTAGAGCTGGCTGCTGAGCACTCAGGCTGCAGGGGGTATCTCCGAAGCCAGGGGTGAGAAGGACCCCAGGGGATCTTTGCCTGATTCCTGGCTGCCTCCCACGGCTGTCCTTGGACACTGGCGGCCCCTTGCTCTGACCTGATCTCTGGTGGTGTCTGCAGGAAGGGGCCCACATACAGGTACTCATGGTAAGCTTCCACTCCCTCTAGCCCCTGGCAAGGGGGGAGAGGCGATATGGCTCCACCCCATGATGGACACATTCAGAATATACCTCCTGAGCACCCTCTATGTGCCTGGCGCCATGGCAAGCACCAGGAGGCCACAGTGAGCAAAAGCAGACAAAGCCGTATGCTCGTATTGCTGAGTCCAGAAGGAGAGCTGGCCTCTCACCGGACCCACACACGAATACACACAAAATCGTGATGACCGAGAGGCGATGGGGATGAGAGCCCGGAACAAGGTCCTGGATCTAGCCAGGGTAGCAATGGAGCACTCCCCTTAGAAGGCAGCATTACGCTGACACCTGGAAGAGAGGTAGGCAAAACCCAGGTGAAGAGGGGAGGGAAGCACATCCCAGACAGAAGAGGCAGCAGGTACAAAGGCCCTGTGGCCAAGGGCCCATGGCAGGTCCAAGAAACTAAAAGGCCAAAACAGAGGATGGGAGACACAGCTTGACGGGCAGGATGAGCCCTGGATACCCACGGGAGGCCACTGCAATGGTCCAGGTGAGAGAAGACAGCAGCCTGGACCGGGGTGTCTATGGAGATGGAGAGAAATACAACCCTCCCTCAAACCCTCTGGCTCCCAGGTGTCTCCTCCTTGTGACAAACAGTTGACAAGCCCTTGCCTAGACACTGAGCCCACCAAAAACACAAGGGCCTGGAGCCAGGAGACAAGGCTAACAAGTTCTCCAAGGACAGCTGAGTGGTTCCCCTCTGGGCCAAGCCCATTCCTTCAAGAAAACAGGGCTGCTGCAGGTTCTCTAGCTACCTCTGCAGCACAGGCTGGGTGAGGAGGGGCAGGGACCCAGCCCAGAGCATGAGGAGAAGGCCACCCTGCCCCACCTCCACCACTGCCACACTCCGCAGCTCCGTGAGCTTGCCACGACGGGAAGATCTGAATTCTAACTCACCGCATGACCTCAAACCAGACAGTCCTCCTTCCTGTGCCCCAGGTTTCTCATCTAATAATCCTAACAGCCGCTATAATAAGAGTTAACAGCTCTCAAGCACTTATGATGTGCCAGCCTCTGCTCTCAGCACTGCTTACGCATTGATTTATTTAGGCCTCACCAGAAACCTGTTGCAGACAGAGCTGCTAGCGCCTAGCCCAGTGCACTGCTGAGGGGACTTGCCCAGAGATACTCAGCTGGTAAGTGGCTGAGCCAGGGCTTGAACCCTCACAGCCGGGCCCTGCCTGCCATCACACTATGCTGCCTCCACAGAGAAATAAGGATTGGACGGAATCACCTAAGACTCTCTGGCTCTGTCGTGGCTGCCTCCTATGATCCTCAGCCCAGAAATCCAGCCTCCCAGTTTCTCCGAAAGGATGGCAGACCTGATTTGGGGTGGGCCTCTCCCACAGCCCTTCTACTTCCCTCCACGCCTGCAGAGACCTCCCAATGTCCAGTTCAGTGCCCACAGTGTGCCAGGTGCTGGGAGGTGGCAGAGAACAGGGCAGCCCCCGCCCTGTATTGAGGATCTGCTTCCGCCATCTCCTGGCTGCCCACCGAGGTCCCCTGCTCACGAAGGCACTGGCACCAGCCCCCCATCCCTGCCTCTCACCTCCCGTCCTGTACCGGTGCACCTCGAGGTCCCCTCCCAGGTAGAGTGCCTGCAACCCTCACTCAGGTCTATTCCAGGGGACCCACCTGTGATAGTGCTTTCCACCGTCATCTCCCTTCATGCCACCCCTATAGCAGCCCTTCCCAGTAGGAATTATCACCCGCCACTCGGGGTGAGGACCTGGGGACTAGAGAGAAGTTGCCATCCTCAGCTGCCAGCAGCTGACTGAAGCCTAGGCCCATCAATGCCAAAGATCGAAACCCTTCCTTGCTGCTGCCTGGCCTCCCTCCTCCCCTGCCAGCAAGAGCCACCAGCACATCTGGGTCCTGTCCAGACAATGAGGGGACAGGCAGGAGATGCCCGCTGGCTCCCCCTGTCCAGGTTCGATGTGTCCAATTGCCAGCAACTGGTGATCTGAGCTGACCCACTCTGAGAGGGAAGCCCCTCGTTGATCTTAGCCCCTCCCACCCTGTCCCACCCACCCAGGCCCCTGCCCCAGAATCTTCATAAAAGGTGGAAGGTTGACAAAGCTCTGCCACCACCAACCCAGGCCTCAGTGGGTCCCTGCAGGGGCTGCCTCTGGAGCAGAGCCTGCAGAGGGGCCACCCACCCCAGTCAGCAGGCACGGCCAGGCCTCCCGGGCACCAGCAGACAATGGGCATCTGCAGAGTACATTCAAAGGGAGGCCCAAAGCCCTGCCCAGTCCTCCAAGGCCTCCACAATGCCTGCTGCCCAGTCTCAAAAGCCGATTTCTGTTCAAACCCACCCATGTCACCTGGAAGGAGGCCTTTAACCATAGACTCTTAGCTGTGGAGGGCAGGATTACCCTCTACGGTGTCCCTGACTGTGGCCTCTGGCTTCTGCTTGCCTGCCTCCTGCAACAGGCAGCTCACCACTTCACACGGTAGTCAATTCCAGCACCTGCGGCTGCCAGGCTTTCAGGATACTGAGCTGAAATCTGCCTCCCTGTCACTGTCATGTGGTTCCAAGTTCTCTGGAGCCATGGAGACTCTGACTGTGCCCTCAGCTGGAAGGACCTCCAAGGCTCTTTGACTCTCTGCTCCATGTACACCACCCCCCAGCAGCCTGCTGCCCTTCCCTTGGTGGTCTAGGTCCACACATGTGCACACAGACACACGGGGGACACAGGTCACATGTTCAGGCACAACCGCCACTTAAACCATGGTGTCCCTTGGGAGGCTGAAGCGGGCAGATTCCTTGAGCCCAGGAGTTCAAGACCAGCCTGGGCAATACAGCAAGACTGTCTCTACAAAAAATTTAAAATTAGCCAGGCATGGCGGTGCACAACTATAGTTCCAGCTACTCGGGAAGCTGAGGTACGAGGATCGCTTGAGCCCGGGAGGTCGAGGCTGCAGTGAGCCATGGTTGCGCTACTGCACTATAGCCTGGGTGAAAGAGCAAGACCCTGTCTCAAAAACAACACCCACCAAAAAAAAAAAAAAAAAAAACCCCACATGGTGTCCCAAGCCCTCCCCACGTTGAAGGAAAGCCGTGGCCCTGTGTCAGCTCCCCTGCCTCACTTACCTCTGCACTTACCAGCCCCCCTCCCCCACCCGACCTGGCCACACTGGCCTCCACCGAGCACCCTAAGCATGGCCAGCCTCACAGCCTTTGCATGTGCAGTGCCCTCTGCCAACTGGGCTTTTCCGCAGAATATCCTCCTTCACACCATCCACATCTCTGATTGAATGTCATCTTCTCAGAGAGGTTGTTGCTGAATATCTCAGCCACAGCAGCCCTGCTCCCTACCCCCTTACCATACCCCTTCTCATCCCCACCTTACATGACATGTCTCTCCAGGAGCGTGTGTCTGCCTCAGCCTCCCCGCTGTGCCGGGGTGCTGGGCTGGTAGCACCTGCAGCCCGTGAGTCCCCAGGGCATCAGAGATCAAAGTGGTGCCCCTCCCTGGCCCAGGCTGCAGGCCATCTGTCTTGCCTGGCAGCTCTCCTCTGCCCAGCCTTCCTCCAGCTCAGGCCTGGAGGTGAGGAGATAGCAGGAAGTTCCCCCCAGGGCAGGCTGGGAGTATGGACAGTAAGAGCCCACAAGGAACAGCCTCTCTCCAGGGGAACGCTGTGCCCCACAGACTGCAAGGAGCCAAGCGGAGACAGGGCTCCCCATGGGCACCCTCAGGCTGCCAAGGCTTGGGGGCAGCTCCAGACAATCCGTCTCATGCATTTGGATATCAGCTGACAGCAGCAGGGGCCAGGGAGGAGGAGACACACACAGGCCACATACACACACACACACACACACACACACACACACACACACACGCCAGGATCCAACCCTTCCAGGAGCTGGTGGAGGCATGCTGTCAGACAGGCAAGAACACTTCAGGCACATGGGTGCACTGAGCATCCCTAGACACCCCCACCCCACACACATTCAAGAGCAGCAGCTCACACAGGTGTGCCCACACACATATGAGGAGCCACTCCTTGAGTCCCACACATACTTTCCTGGACTCACACTCACAGGCCTCTTGGTGGTAAGTACAACCAACCGTGCACACACACACACACACACACACAAACACACACACATAGAGTCAGCACTGGTGGAGGCAGCATTAACAGTGTATTTTGGGGAGCACAAGAGAGTGTTCATAACCCACCCCTGATCTTGCCATCCTGCCCAGCTGCCCATCAAGCAGCTGGAACTCTTAACTGCCCATGGTAGGCAAGAGAGTGCTGTCCCCCATCCACACCCCGGCAGGGGACAGCTTTCTGCAGGGCTGGATCCTGCCCATGGGAGAACCAGCCTGGCAGGGGCAAAGCTCAAGGTGGGCAAGAGCTGATGGGCTGGGTGGGGGTCAGAATGGGCAGCAGCCAGGTGGCAGTGGGGATGGAGGAGGATTAAGGTCGCTGGGCACTGGCACCAGCTTGGGGATGCCCAGAGGCTGCCCCCCGGGACACCATGGGCTGATGTTGGCAGCATTGCCCCTCTCCTCAGTCACCAGCCTGCCCAGGAATTGGCACTGCTTGGGGGAGTGTGGCCAGACCAGACGCACCCCCACCTGTTCCATTTCCTGATTGTCCAGATCTTATTGAGGTTTCTCAATAAGAAAAGGAGACTTGCCTGGAGATTCTGAAATGGGGAGGTCTCCTCACTCACCCCAAGTTGCACCTAAATAAACGTAGTGGAAGGGGGGGACATGATCACTCCTGGAAAGCCCTGCTTCAGCCCAGGGAGGAGAAAGCAGTGCCTGTAATTTGTTTTAATAATCCTGCTGAACTGGGAGAAAATTAACAAATGAGAAACCAGATTGAAATTAATCAAACTTCTCCCTGTCCATCCCCCCACCTTCCATCTTAATGAAGGTTATTTATCCAACGAGCGATAAAACACGGAATTAAATTAAATAGCCCCTTTCTTTTCCTCCTCTCCCCCGCCCCAGGGAGGCAGCATCTCCCTGCTTACAGCTCTATAAGCCATGCTGGGCTGGCGGCCATGGCAGACCCATGATTCCTGGACACCAATCAGAGGGGTTTCCCAGAAGGAGCCCCTCAATTAGTGCATTCCCTGTTTGGGTCTCACTGCCAGCTCTCTGCCAAAAATATGAAAGGCAGTTAACTCAACCACCCTCCTGAGGTGGGAGAGAGGGAGGTCCCTGTTGTTGGGTCTTATCTGATGCAGCTGGGGGGACTCACCAGTTTCTCTGTGGGGGAGAGAAGGGCCTGAGTGTGGAAGGTGGGGAGTGTGAGCTTCCCCCCAAATGAGGACACTTTAGTGCCCATGGCAGGTTCCAGCTGGAAACCCTATCCTGGCCCCAACTTCTTGGTGGGAAGGGGTTGGAGGCGGCAGGGGAAGCTCAGGAAAAACCTCTAGTGAAAACAGGACTCAGCCCCCCGCCCTATCCCCTGCCTGGCTCCCTCCCTTGCCTGGGGCTCAGGGCATGAAACACCAAGAATGCGAGTGGCACAGATGCCCTCACTGCACCTCTCGGCCAGGGATGCTCCCATACCCCTAACTTCCTCTGTCAGTTTGCTAGGCATCTGCTTCCCCGAACTTCTCTTCCCTGCAGCTTTGAATCCACTTATGTTTTCGCCAGGGCCATCTTTTGGAGTCACAGGTTGCTAAACAACTGCTCTCAGGGTCTGTCCTTAACCATTCCCTTTGGTCATTCCCTCTGGGTTTGAAAATTGCAATAATAATGACCTTCCATTTACAGCTTTTACATACATTCTCTGTTTTCCCTCCTTCCTTCCTCCCTTCCCTTTCTTCTTTCCCTTCCTTCCTTCCTCCTTCCCTTCCCTTCCCTCCCTCCCTTCCTTCCTTTCTTTTCATTTCTTTCTATTTTAGAGATGTTGCCCAGGCTGGAGTACAACAGTGCAATGACAGCTCACTACAGCCTCAAACGCCTGAGTTCAAGCGATGCTCCCACCTCGGCCTCCTGATAAGCTGGGACCACAGGTGCTCACCACCACACCTGGCTAATTTTTAAATTTTTTGCAGAGATGGGGTCTCACTATGTTGCCCAGGCTGGTCTCGAACTCCTGGGCTCAAGTGATTCTCCCACCTCGGGATTACAGGCCTGAGCCACCATGCCTGGCCACGTTCTCCCATTTAAACCTAACGTCTACCCAGGTAGGGAGATATTTGTTGAAATGCCCACTTTATAAGGAAAACAGATGCGGGTCCTTGTGCAGGGTTTATCTAGCAGTAGCTGGAGGTCCCAGCTTGGTTGGGCTGAGCTTTGAGGATTGGGGTGGGACTCGGAGGGAGGATGGGGCTCTGCAGAACTGCCCAGCCCTCTGGAAGTCTCCTCAGGGGCTTTCTGTGGAGCAGAGCTGAGGCTGACGACTCTCTGGGAGGAGTGAGAGGAGAAGGGAGGAAGGAGTGGGGGAGCAGGGTGCAGCTGAAGGCTCTGACAGTGCTGCAAATCTGGTCCTCACATGGCAGCCAGGGAGCACTTTTTAAAACGTAAGTCTAATTATGTCACTCTGCTTAAAACTCTCCAAGGCTATCTACTGCACCTGGAGTAAAAGTTCTCCTCTGTCTCAGAGCCCACAGGCCCTGCTGACCCAACCCTGCCACACCTTCCCCTCCCCTCTGAGCAACCCCCTTGCTCCTCAGATGGGCCAAAAATGTTCCTGCTTCAGGGTCTTTGCACTGGCTGTGCCTGCCACCCAAAACACCACCCAGCCACCTGGCTGCCTTCCTCACTCACCTGGGTCTGTGTTCCAAAGTCCCCTCCCCAGGTCTTCCCTGACTGCCTTGTGTACAAGAGCCCTTCCCCTCCTTCACAACTCTCTAGCCCCTGGCCCTGGGCAGGTCCCCTCCACAGCACCTGTCCCCACTCATGTAAGTGATTACATCATGTCTCCTGTCTTTCTTCCCACTCCAGAAGGTCAGCTCCATGTGGGCAAGGACGGTATGCATTTGGCTCACTCTGCTGCATTCTCAGCCCAACCCAACATCTGCTACTAAAAGATGCTCACCAGCTATTTGGTGGATATATGAACCAATGGATGTCACTATGCATAAGGCCATCATCCGGGCCACCATCACCTCCAGGCTGAATTGTTCTATCCATCTCCTCATCACTCTCTCAGCTTCAGGCCTTGCCCTGCAACCAACCCTCCAGTCCACACCCAAAGGAATACTTTTAACTCCCAAATCCAAGCAGGCACCATCCTGCAGGATCAAGTCCACCTTCTTGACCTAAGCCCCCCAATTTCCTCCAGCCCCTCTCCACTCACCCTCTGCCCAACCCTCCTGCATGCCACATCCCTGTCACAGACAAGCCCAAGGTCCCACCGGTGCCCACCCTCTACCCTGAGGACACTGCCCGGCTCCACCTCTGACAAAGGCTGCCCCATGCACGCCTTGTCAGAACTGCCCTCGCCCTCCTCTGAGCCCCTAGACCCTCACCTGTACCCCCTCACAGCCCTCCCATACCCCAGTTTGAGCTGTGGCAAATCACATGCCCATCACACCTCCCCATCCAGGAAGGACCCAGATTTATTCACTCGGCAATCCTGCCCATCCCCACCACCTGCTCCAGTATCTTGCACAAACTTGGAGCTCCATACATGTTTGCTGAATCAAATGGAATCCATTCAAAACACAGCCCAGGAAGCATGTCCATTAAGAGAAGCCTTTCCTCCAGGTTGCCAGCATCTCAGGCTGGTCTGAGGACAAACGGACCTTTAAGTGCCACTAATCACTGCATCCAGGAGCAGCTGTCCCCAGATGCTGCTAACCTCTCCTCAGGGGTTGCCTGGGTGCAAAGAGGTTCACCAGGGTTGAGAGGTGGTCAGGGCCCTGCCTAAACGCCAACACGCTGCCTCTGGGCCAGCCACCAGCCAGAACAGCAGCTCCTGGCCCACTCCACAGCTTGCATGTGTGCGTGCGTGCGTGTATGCGTGTGTGTGTGTGTGCATGCGTGTGGCCACCCCCGTGGGTGAGGACAGCAGGCACAACACAGCCACTGCTGAATTATTTATTCCCTACATTGTTAGCGCAGTAGAGAGAGCAACCGTGTCTCCAGGCTTCAATTAAAATATCACGGCACCCGCACCGTCTGCCCGGCCACATGCCCAACTCCCACCAAAACTGGCAGGAGCGCACCCCCTGGGAAGCATAACCACCCCCAAGCCCAAATTGCTGCCCCTTCCCCTGCTCCCAGCCACAAGGTCCTGGTTCAGGACCTTGGACAGCAGCCTCCAGGGGTCTGCCCGAAGACACTCGGCAAACCTTTCAGGCCTCTAAAAGACCATTTAGTAAATCGATGCTCTGAAAGAGCCTTTCTAGCTTCCCAAAGGGGCCCTGGGACAAGCCTTGCTGGGTTTTGGGCCCAACTCCAATCCTCTGTCTGCTCCCAGCCCTCCCTAAATAACTGTGCAGCGCGAGGCTGGAGGAGGAGTTCGAGGTTCTCACCCCAGCTCTTCAGGCTCCAGGAGAAACTGCGGACACATCACACCTCCCTGGGCTCCATTTGTTATCACTCAGAGAATGCAAATGACAGTGGCCAGACTGTGACCTCCATGGACGGTCAATCAATGGAAAGGGACTTTGAAAAGGTAAAAATGAGGTACCGATGTTGGCCGCACCAGAAGAGGGCTTTAATTACATACAAGTGGGTTTTCTGCGGCCTCGCCACCCCTATCCAACCTGGAAATCCCTGATTCTGGGGCACAGACTCAGAATGAAGAAAAAGCTGACAGATCCTTCAGGAGTTGGCTGGGTCACAAACTAACTGGGTCACCCACAAGATTTAATTCAACAACCCCCGGACTAGAATATGAGGCCGAGTGAAATCAAAGTGGGCGAGCTGAAAAAGAGCAAGAAATTCCAAACACATGCCGCCTAGAACTGCAGAATGAGCACCGGCTTCAGGGACAGGCAGCGCTGCAGGCCTCCCTCCACTGCTTTCTGAGCAAGCCTCAGTTTCCTCTCCTGTAAAATGGGGCCGGTGATACTGACTTCCTAGCTGGCGACTCACACAAGATAACCTGTGTAAAACACCTAGCACACACCAGGCACATAAATCCAACCATTCATTTTATTAAGCACCTACTATGTTCCAGGCACTGGAGACCAGAGCAGGGAAGAAGAGAGACACAACCTTGCCTGGTAGAGCTGACACCCCAGTGACCAGGGTTATTCTCTTCAGGACAGCAGAAGAGGGGGCATTGGAGATGGGCCTCAAAACAAATGTGGAATTACCAAAGCAAAGAAAGGTGGCAAGAAGGTACAGTCTCTTTGGGAAAATGATTGGCAGCACCTCCTAAAGCTAATCATTCATGCAACCTATGAGCCAACAATTCCACTTAATATATATATATGAGAAACGAGCGTTTACATCCACTAAAAGACACGTACACAAATGTTAAGAGTGGCTCTATTCATAATAGCCAAACACTGGATTCAGCCCAAATGTCCAGTGGCAGCAGAAAGGGTAAATAAATGATGAATTACCCAAACAATGATACAATGAAAGAGTACAGAGCAATAGAAGTGAGCAAACCACCAACAGACCCAACCCCAGGGGGTTCTCACAGACAATGTGAGCAAAAGAAGCTGGACATAAAAACCTTGCTGCACGATTCTGTTACGTGAGGCTCAAAACCAGGCAACACCAGTCTACACAGTTAGAAATCAGGCTATTGATTATCCTTGGGGAGGAAAGGATATTAACTAGGAGGGGCTCAAGGGAGCTTTCCAGGGCACTGAGAATGTTCTCTATCGGATACCGGCAAATGCATTTATAAAAGTTCAACAAGTCATACACCTGAAATTTGTGTATCTTACAGTGTATAAGTTGTACCTCCATTTTAAAGAAAAATGTAAAGGAATGAAAAGGCAGACAGAGCATTCTTCGGGGCAGGTGGACCATCAGAAGCAGAGGCCTGGCAGATGGGAAGCTGGGGGGATTTAGAGACTGGCCTCGGGGGAAATGGAACTGAAAATGGCAGGGCCGGAGGGAGGGAACAAAGATGAGGTGGGCGAGACAGGCTGGGCCAGCCCAAAAGGGCTTCCAAGGCCATGCCAACCTGAGAGCCTCAGGGGTATCTGCCTCCTTCTCCCAGGCCCCCCTGCCACAAACCCCACCTGTCCATGGTGAAGTATACTTGTGAGGTCATCCCTCCCTGCCAGCCTGGCTCCCTGCCCACCCACTACCTCAGCTGCCACACTGGATTTAAATCCCTGAGTTGAATTTCCGGGGTTTAGGGGGCTTTCATCCTGAGCAAGCATGAAGTGAAGCCATAGTCCCTGGCTCCCATGCCTGCAGTTCATCCGGCACGTCTCTCCAGGGCCCTGAGTATCACCTGGGACACCTGGCTGCCTCCTACACTCCACCTGCCACATCCACCTCCTCACCTGCCCCCATGGGGAGCTCACCTGAGCACCTGTCTTTCCCATGATAACCGCTCCAATTAGGAAGGGCCTCCCACCTCCTGCTCCTCACCACCCAGCACCCAAGGCTGCACTGTCGCATCTCCTCATGGAGAGAGGCCACTGGAAATACATAGATGCAGCCAGGTAAGCAGCCCCAAGATCTCACATCCAACCAGCCACCAGCGAGACATAGTATATGAAAGATGCGAGGGCCCCTTGGGTGATGACCTAGCCATTGAATGCCAGGCTTCAAAGACTAATCAAGGATATTGGAACATGCTCACCACTGTAGTCTAGTGGACAAAAGCTGGCTACAGAACCATATAGATGCTGTGATCTCAATTTGGTAAATTACACAGAAAAAGGGCTGGAAGGAAATACACACATGTATCAAGGTTGCCATCCTGGATAGCAGAATGAATGAGCAATTTCAAATTGCTTCTTTATGCTTTGCTGTTTTCTTCCAAATCTGTGACAAACATGCTGGCTTTTATAGCCACCATAACAGGAAGGGGCTAAGGGACATCGAGCCACACTCACACAGGGACCCATGGCTGCCTGTTCCGTGCTTAATGGGATAGAGCAAGGGCTGACCTGATTCCAGCCTGCAAAGCACCCATAGGCTCCTGCACTAAGAGCTGCTGGACTAGGAGGACACACTCATGACTTCCAGGTGTGGGCAGGGGCAGGGCACTGTGCTGGGGGGCTGGGACCCTGATTCGAAGCCCAGCTCTGATTCTAACTGGCTGAGGTGGCCCCCCACACATTAACTTCTCTGGGCCTCAGTTTCCTCATCTGTAAAAAAGCCGTCCTGACCGCGTTGTAGGACTCTTGTGTGGAATGATCAAGAAGTGACTGTGAAAGCCTGTAAATTGTGAGCTATTAGGATTTATCCCTGAGTTCCCTATTACTGTTCTCCACCAGGCCCTCTGTCCCATTGCAGTTTCTAAGAAATGCCCAGAAGCCGCCTACAGCAGGCATCTGAGAGTCCTGAAAACTGTGGGCCATCCTCACATGCTAATTCCCAAGGTGCACATAAAATATGCATTTTTTAATTGAACTGGAAAGCAAACAAAAGCAAAGGAAAAACCCACCTCCTGGTTCAACAGCAAAATTGAGGGCCTGTCACACATCTTCAGTAAACATTTACCAAATGAATACAACTGTACAAACTGGAACCAAACCCACTAACTTAATCTCTCATGAAGATTAAAATGTTCATGGTTGAATCAGGTACTCGCTGCTAACTTCCAGTAGGTTCTCTGCCTCATTTCTTTTAGGAGCAGAGATTTGTTTTCCTATATTGACAACTCTCTGTTAAAACAAATAAAAATATGTGATTCATCCCTCTAGATTCCGTGGAGATCCACAAAAGAAACAGATGATGAGGCCGGGCACAGTGGATCACGCCTGTAATCCCAGCACTTTAGGAGGCCAAGGCGGGTGGATCATTTGAGGTCAGGAGTTCAAGACCAACCTGGTCAACATGGTGAAACCCCATCTCTACTAAAAATACAAAAATTAGCCAGGCATGGTGGCGGGCGCCTGTAATCCCAGTTACTCGGGAGGCTAAGGCAGGAGGATTGCTTGAAACCAGGAGGCGAAGGTTGCAGTGAGCTGAGATCGCACCACTGCACTCCAGCCTGGGCGACAGAGAGAGACTCCATGAAAGAAAGAAAGAGAGAGAGGGAGTGAGTGAGGAAGTCCCTGACCTGCTACATGAGGCCAGGTCGGGATCAGCCACAGGGCCTCCTTCTGGGCATGTCCTGCAGAGGTGGAGGTGTCACAGGGCACCACGGCACCAGCCCTGCCCCTCTCTGGCAGGAGGGCAATGCGGCCACGTACAGGGAAATTGCAAACACACCTGCCCTTTGACCAAGCCCTCTGTGGGGAGGAGTCTGTCCTGCAGAGACGTGCAAAGTGGCCCATGCAGAGACTTCCACCGCAGTTCTGTCGGAGCCTAGATTGGAAACCACCTAATGTCCATCATGAGGAGACCAGAAGCAGGGGCACTACGCAGCCACACAAAGTAAAAGGTCCTTATGCACTGACGAAGCATGTCCCTGGAAATGCTGCCAGGTGACCCAGCAGGTGCTGCAGCTTTGGTGGGGCGTAGAGGGGGCAGAATGCGGGAGCCATATATATGCATTTAATCCCCTTCCTACCCCAGGCCTGCGGTGAGGATATCCAGAGAACCCAGCCTCTGGAGGCAACACGCACCCCAGCCCGTACGCAGGCCTGAGTTTCTCTGGAAGGGTGCGCAGGGAATAATGGCTGCCTCCAGGGCCAGGCTGGGGTTGGGGTGTGTCTCTTGGTACCTTGAAGACCGAACCATGGGAATGTATGATGCATTCAAACAGTAATACCGTAACTTAGAAGAATGACCAAAGATTTTGCATCTGTGGGGTTGAAGGGTAAGCCAGGCCTGGGGAACCCAGTCTCCTCCAAGGCCACTGAATAAAGGCTCATTCAGGAGAGAGAGAAACCCATCTTTGAAGGAGACCCTCAGGCACCCCTCTCCAGCATGCACACTCTTTCCCTCCACGAGGCCTCAGCACAGGGCCTGGGGCTCCCTGGCCCAGGGCTGGGAGGTGAGGGAGGAAGTCCTGGCCCAGGCTGATCAGCCAGGTCCTGTGGGGGTGAGGGAGGCAAGGAAGGCAGGTGAGGGCTCCTGGCTTCCCCTTCTTTCCCCCTGTTGGGTTTGTTGTACTTTCCTAATTGATTTTGTGTCTGTGTCCCTGGGATACTTAGGACCATCTTAGAAAACCACTTAAGGAATTTAAAATAATCAAAGTACTTACAAGGCACTTAACATTTCCTCGCACTTCAGGCTTCTCAAAAACCTCCTTCCAGCAGCAACCAGAGACCTGGCTGTCAGGAGCTACCAATTCGGGCAGGAAGACACCTTTGTCAGGTCCCCAGCTCCTGCCACATCACCCCCTAAGCCCCAGCAGCCTCCCAGGAGCAGGATAGCCAACCTCCACACACGAGCACATCATGCCCTCTCTCAGGGCGCGCCACAACACCTGGCCAAATTTTTCTGTATTTTTAATAGAGACAGGGTTTCATTGTGTTAGCCAGGGTGGTCTCGATCTCCTGACCTTGTGATCCGCCCACCTCGGCCTCCCAAAGTGCTTGGATTACAGGCATGAGCCACTGCGCCCAGCCTGCAAAGTTTTCTTTCTTAAACAATTTTGAAACTGTTACTGGAAGATATCAATATGTGGCCAGGTCTTGGGTACAGGCTAATTCATTATATTATCCTCTATAATTTTCCATATGTTTTAAATCATTTATTAAGATACGTGCACACCTTGGTGAAAGAGAGTAAGCCCTTCATGACGGACCCACATTGAACATGCCACTCATTTTCAATAAAGTAAAAGGCGGCGTGGTGAGAGCTGCACACACTCCACTTCCTGCTGAAGTCTCCTCTCAGAACAGTCCTGACCCCGGAAACCACTCACCCTCACACACCGCCCCCCAGTCCTAAGCCTCAGACTCCTTCCCTGGCTAGGGTCTCCCAGCTGGAATTCATTCCCTGGGATTAAGGGTTGTTCTCTTCCAGCTGCTCTGCTGTGGGGACCTCACTGGACTCCCTGACAGCTTCCAGAGCCTGAGCTGGGAAGGAGAGAGAAGACTGCACTGAACATAAACACCACCCTCTCCAGGGCCCTGACAGAGGTTAATGCTGCCCATCCTCCCCTCGGCCACAACCCCAGGGACAGAGAACGTGGCAAGTGCTACCTCTGTCCGCTCCCATTAGGGCTCCCATTAGGGCCCCGCTCTACCCAGCCAGAGCTCCCCCTCCAGGAGATTTCAACTCTGATAGTTTTCAATCCCTCTTCGCCCTGGAGGTGGCTGGAGACCAGGAGCAGGCAGCACCTTCGAGGCAGATCCCCGCTCAGGGCACCTCTGCTGGGCCAGGGCCAGGGCTGAGCAGAGCATCCCTCCTCCTGGGGCACCACCTCTTAGCAAACCCCAGGGAGAAACTGAGGCCTGGAGACAACTGAGGTCCAGGAATGAAGGAATGGGAGGAGGGACAGGAAGGAGAATCCAGCCTTCTCCTCACACATGGGCCCACTTTACAACACCTCCTGTTTCCTGAGGGCCTGCGATGTGCCAGGCACTGAGCTAATCACCTTGTGCTGTTCCACCCTACCCACAGGCAAGGAGAGCAGGGCCCTGAGCAGTGCCAAGACTTGTGGTGGGATTGAGGGGCACCCTGAGTCGGAGGGAGGGGTCTGGGTGGGGCGGGTGCCCACCAGGAAGTGCTCAGTACTGAGATGCCCGAGGCCGTAATCAAGGTATGAGGCAGGCGGGCAAGCAGGTGGGCAGCCAAGTAGGAGAGAGGCTGGGATGTGTCCCACAGGGAACAGGTGGGCTTGACAGCCGTTCTGCCTCCAGCCCTTAACCACAGGCCACCAAGGCTGAGGCTGTCCCACACCACCCAAACAGAGAGGGAGCCCCAACACTCTCTCTCTGTGCTTGGGTGGTGTGGGACAACAAGGCGTCCAACAGGCACCAGGGGGAAGAAAGAGATGGGGTGGAGGACATGAGAGGGGAACAGAAAGCCACAGTCAGACAGAAGGAGGCAGGAAGCTGGGGATAGACAGACAGGGAAAGAGGGGACAAAACTGTGTTCCGGCTCCCCTCCCCGCAACAGCGCTGCGGGCCACCACTCTCCACACGGAACCAAGCATAGAGGCCGGCCCTGCCTCTCCTCACTGCCCCCAGCCCAGGCCTCGAGTGAGTGGCAAGCATAAAGGTCAATTGGAATATAAAGCAGAATTTGCTTTCCTTTCATTTCCAACATGTCTGGGTCATAAAAATGCTAGTTTAGAAAGTCGGGAGAAAAATGAAGGCACATGGTTCATTCAGCGGTGGGCGGGGGGTGGGGGGGGCAGCTAACCCTGCAGACTAAGGGGGGTCCACCCCTGCTGCGGGCACCATCCTGTTCCTCAGTTCCACACCAAGGCCCCGGGCTGGCGGCTTCCCCGGTTTGTCTGTCTGTCTGTCTGTCTGTCTGTCTGTCTCTGGGCCAGGCACTGGAAGTAGGGGGGGAAGACCAAGAGCGGTTCAGCCCAATCCTGCCCTCAAGAAACTCAGAACTGTGGGGAGAGACACGATTCCCGCAAGAGCCCCCACATTCCCTGGGAAGGTCAGTTAAGTCCTGCTGGATTCGAGTCAGTATGACTGCCCACAAGGCAGCAAGAAGGGCATTCCAGAAGGACACGGCCCGAGCAGGGCCAGGAGGCAGGCCGTGGAAGGCACAGAGCATGACGGGGTGAGGGGGAGCAGGGTCACCTCAGAGCCTCAAAGCCTGCCTAATCCTGTGCTCTCAGTTACAGAGAGGGCGGCCACGTTACCCAAGGTCACACAGCGAGTTGGCAGCAGAGGCAGGCCCCAAAAGCAGGACCTGGGCCACAGGTTGCTTCACTGGCAAGGGGAGACCCTCAGCCCTGCCTTGCATAGAGAGCCAGAGATCACCCCAGCGCCCGCAGCAGGGCCACCCAACAGTGTGAAGGGCCAGAGGACCCCAGGTCAGTAAGTCCCCATGCAAGGAGGCTCTGGCACACCTACCAGAGTCATCCTGTGGCTCAATGCAGTGATGTGCCCCTCCCCATCACCATGCTCCGTGACTCAGGCCACACCCCTCGAACGCCCCTTAGATGCTCCTTCGGCAGGAGATGAGGACAAACATGACCGGGCCCTGTGTGAGCCCGCCACACTACCAGCTCCCACTGCAATTTTCACCTGCACCTGGAAAGGTGCACGTGATTCTGCCCATTTCCCAGCTGAGATGAGCGAGGTCCAGGAGGGTCAGACTTCTGGAGCCAGGATCTGCACCAACTGCCACATGCCGCCTCCAGAGCTGGTACTTTGTTCCACACTCCACGGTCTACACGCCAGGCACTGCCCTGGCCCTTGCTGTGCACGCATTTCATCCTCACAGCACCTATGAAGTGGGTGCTGCAGGCATCCCCATTTTACACACAAGGAAACGGGGGCACAGAGAGGCTTTCCCAGGCAACAAATGGCAGAGCAGGGGTATGAACCCAGGCCAGCTGGCCCCAGGGTCCATGCGGCAGCCACCACATTACTGCCCCTCGGGGATCCCCATCTGGCTGGCCCTTCCTCTCTCTGGTCTCCAGCACCCAACTCTGTCCATCCTCAGGCTGGGGGCTGGGGGGAGTAACGGGGTGGGGTCCGAAGAGGCCCAGGAAGGCCCGAGTGTGCAAAAGTCATCAGGGTGGGAGCCCAGGGGAAGAATGAGCCTCTCACAGGGAGCTCTCACCTCCGTGGCTTCACAAGGGCTGCTCAGGGACCATCTGCCCACTTTATAGGTGAGGAAACAGGGGTCCCAAGAGACCTGGTGACTTGTCCTCCCACGACACCCTCTGCCAGCAAGAAGATCAGGAGGGGTTTGAAGGCCTTCTCCCTGATCCCCGGACTGTCTCGGACCCACATCTCAAGGTCCCCGCTCAGATCAACTGCCAAGCAGAGTCCTGTCCCCGGGGTCTCTGCACGTGTTACTGCCTCTGCCTAGAACACTCTTACAGCCACAGGGCGGCCCCTCCACTCCGTTCAGGTTCTGCACAAAAGTCCGCTCTGAACAAGGCCCCCCCACCAACCCTGCCTAGACTGACATTCCCTCCCATGCGGCTCTCCAGCCACTCCTTGCTTTGTGATTCTGCAGGACACTGCTCCCCTGACGATGCGCACTACATGCTTTGTCTTCCCACTGCCTGCCGTCTCCCTCCAGTGTGGAAGCCCACCAGGGCAGGGCTCACCCGAGTGCTTCCTGCGTGATAAAGTTCACTTCGAGGGGTGGTTCTCCACCTGGAATGCACCTGTCATCACTCGGGCAGCCCAGGCCCAATTTCAATTAAATCTGAATTCCTGAGGTGGGCCGGGGTATGAGGCTTCTCTAAACTCCCCAAGTGATTCCAATGTGCAGCTGAGACGGACCGCTGCTCTAGCAGTGCCGGGCATGGAGATGGCCAGTAGGTTCAGTAAATGAACAAATAAATGCATGACTCTTTACAGATGGACAAAGTGAGTTCCAGATGGGAGACAGAAAGCCAGAAGCCAGCACTCATGAACTTGAGGACCCCCCCCTAGACTCAGCCTTCACCTCAGCCCTTCCATAATGCCATGCATCACATCCAGAGGCCCCATCAGCTCCTACCTGGGCTCCAGGAGCCTCTCTAGGAGGTCTTCCCAGAGGCCCCCAAAGGCCTCCACACTTACTTTTTTTTTTCTGAGACATAGTCTCGCTCTGTCGCCCAGGCTGGAGTGCGGTGGCGCTATCTCTGCTCACTGCAAGCTCCGCCTCCCGGGTTCACGCCATTCTCCTGCCTCAGCCTCCTGAGTAGTTGGGACTACAGGTGCCCGCCACCACACCCAGCTAATTTTTTGTATTTTTAGTAGAGATAGGGTTTCACCGTGTTCACCAGGATGGTCTCGATCTCCTGACCTCGTGATCCGCCCGCCTTGGCTTCCCAAAGGACGCTTACCTTTTAACTCTGCAGGAATGAGCCTGTTTGCCCATCCAGTCACCGCACGCTAAAGCTGACATCCTGCCTGCCTCCATTCCAAACCCCCCATACCTCAGGGTTCCCCTCGGAGGAAGCAGGCTTGAGAGGACTGCAGGGTGGGTGGGGCGCTCCCTGGAGAAGAAAACCAAGGACTCGAGGCATCTGGGTCAGTGGCCAGCTGAGGCTACTAGGTGTCCAAAAAAAGACCCTGGGCTCACAGTCTTATCAACCTGCTGGGGATCCAGGAATCCAATGCTCCCCGAACTCCCCCATGACTGTGACAAGCTGCTAGGCTTGAGAGCAACTAGAGCAAAGCAACTTCT
Organism: Homo sapiens; assembly: GCF_000001405.40. NCBI lineage: Eukaryota > Metazoa > Chordata > Mammalia > Primates > Hominidae > Homo > Homo sapiens. The sequence continues at coordinate 34,125,590 of NC_000006.12, forward strand.
GCCCCACTGGCCCCAATCCACAGGGAAGGGCCTGCCCAAGGGCACGCAGAGGATTGGCTGCCAGTAGCCACGGGGGCTCTGAGCTTCCCCTCAGGGCTCCTGGGGCTGCCCAATGCCAGGGTTCCCCTCCTTCCACGTCCCTTCCCCTCTCTATTCAGGCTCAGGCCTGGCTCTGGTCTGGAGGTTCCCCTTCCCAGGCTCTCACCACAGTGGGGGTTTGGGGGAAAGAGAGACTATCTCGGCAGGGGGCTTCTCTGCCCTCCCCTCAGGAGAACTGCCCCTGACAGTCACCCTCAGCAAGACCTACTTCGGACAACCCTTTCTCTCCATCCCCAGCACCTCACGAGCACTCCAGCATCTATTGAATCCTATTCTGTATCCCTAGCCTCCCCTGAGCACCTCCTGAGGGCTTTGGGCACATTATCGCTTCTGCCAGCTGGGTATCATCACACCCATTTCACAGGCGAGTAAACTGACGCTTGTAGAGGCCATGCAGTAAGTAAGCATCAGGCCAGGTCTCAAACCCACCCCTAGCTGGTGGTCAAGAAGCAGGAGAGCAGAGTGGTGAAAAAAGGTAGATTCAGGGCCAGATGGCCTGGGCTCAAATCCAGGCTCCACCACTTACTAGCTGTGTGACCTTGGGCAAGTTGCTTAGCTTCTCTGTGCCTTAGTTCTCAGTTCTGCAAAATAGGGATAACAACTGTATACCTGCCCCTGGGGTTGCTATGAGGGTTAGGACCAGCCTGGCACAGGGTAAGTGCTATGTAAATGTTCCAATTATTTCACCTCAGTCACCTCTTAGAGAGGGTCCCTCGTTCAGCCCCCACCCCCAACATTTACAGAGCAAGCCCTGTTGGGACAAATCTCTAATGACAGCCTAAAATGGTACATGGCAATCCCCCCTGACTAGGAGCAAAGCTTTAGGTGAAAGGAATTCCCTGAGTCAGTGGGGACCTGGAGAAGGTGTTTTGAGGGGAAGAAACATATCCAGGTGACCCTGGATACCACCAGTAGTGGGCACTAGTGGGCACTGGCTTGACCCAATGGTAAGGTAGGTCCAGCCACACCCATCCCCACAGCCAGGAGCTCGCAGAGAGCTCCCAAGACTTCAGCTCCCAAGACCAGCCCAGCTGTTGCTGCAGACATGGGGGCTGCAGAGGTCTCCCTCCCATTCCCCATCCCTCCATGAGTCCATTTGGCGAGGGTTTCCTGAGGGCCACCGTCTGCCTGCATCAGCTGGGAGTTCTATGGGTGGGGCGTAGAGCCTAGCGGGGGCCAGCTCTGTCTCTGTCTCCTCTACTCAGTTCTGTGCTTGTAGCTTGACAGCAGCCCTAGACAAGACACAAGTGAATCGGCATGACTGTGTTCCCATAAACCTTTATTTATGGACACAGAAATTTGAGTTTCATATGATTTTCCAGTATCATGACATTATTTTTCTTTGTATTTTGTTTTTCAACCCTTTAAAACATAAAGGCCTTTTTTAGCTCATGAACTGTACAAAACCAGGCCAGATTTGGCTCCTAGTCTATCGTTTGCTAACCCCTGGGCTAGAGGGGAACTCAATAGCAAAAAGGAAAACAAATGTGTACATGACTGCAACTGTGATGAGCGCCATCAAGGAAAAGAACAGGGAAAGAGACAGAATAGCCAGGGGCCAGGGAGCTTCTCCGAAGAGAGGCCATTTAAGCTCAAGGCTGAATGAGAAAGATCCAGCTTCAAAGAGTGGGAAGAGAAGACTCCAGACAGCAAGGCAAGCAGGTGCAAAGGCCCTGCAGTTGGAAAATAGCATGGTGTCTTCAAGGAGCATAAAGAAAACAGTATGACTGGTGTGGGCAGTGCCCAGAGAGACAAAGGGACATCAGGGGCACCAGGTAGCACAGGGCCTCTCAGACAGGAAAGGAGTTCACATTTTAATCTAAGAGCAACGGGAAGCCAATAAAAGGTTTAAGCAGAGGGTTGAGTGGATTCCATCTGGGTTTTAGAAAGATCTCTCCGGCTGCTGAGTGAAGGTTTGGCTGTGGAGAGGCCATTTGGAGGCAGGGAGAGGAAAGACCAGGCTTCTGTAATGGGCTGGGTAAGAGACTATGGGGATGGAGGCCGTGAGGAGTTGTCATGCCCAGGACAAGTTCTGAAAGTGGAGCCTGCAGGGTGAGCTGACGAACAGAAAGACGGTGGTCAAAAATGCCTCCAGATTCCTTGGCCTGGTCAAGATGGGTGCAGTAGGGTGGGTGGGCTCTCTCTAGAGTTCCTCCTGGCTGTGTAGTGAAAACACATAAAGACACAAAGCCACGTCCTCGACAGAACATCTTGTGGGATCTAAGACAGTGTTCCCCCAGGGCCACACCCATAGCCCCGGCTCCAGAAGCAGCCAAGAGCCCAGGGGGCACATGCAGCCCAACATGGGACGAGGGGAGGGAACTCACACCGCCAGGCTAGGGGTGGCACATACAGGCCACCTCTGCTCCCCCTTCCCATGCCCCATTTCGTGATAGCAAGAAATTCTCATTACTCAAAGTTAAGTTGTCTGCTCGGTCTCAACACTGAGTGCTGCACTCGTGGCAGGAAGACGCAAGAGGCCCAGCAGATGGTGGGGAACTCTCCGGGATCAGCCTTAAAGGTCACCGTCTGTCGCTGCCTGCCCGCTCCATCCTCTTCCGCATCGCCGGAGTCCCTCATGCTGACTTAAGGCCCAGCTACAAGCTGTGCTGTGACATTTCCTGTGGGCTGACTGTGTGCCAGGCACCATGCTAGGCCTTCTTGGACCTTAACTCTTTTTTTTTTCTTTTCTTTTTTTTTTTTTTTTGAGACTGAGTTTCGCTCTTGTCGCCCAGGCTGGGATGCAATGGTAGGATCTCGCTGACTACAACCTCTGCCTCCCGGGTTCAAGCGATTCATCTGCCTCAGCCTCCCAAGTAGCTGGGATTACAGGTAACTGCCACCACGCCCAGCTAATTATTGTATTTTTAGTAGAGACGGGGTTTTACCATGTTGGCCAGGCTGGTCTCGAACTCCTGACCTCAAGTGATCTGCCCACCTCAGCCTCCCAAAGTGCTGGGATTACAGGCGTGAGCCACCACACCTAGCTGGACCTTAATTTTTAATCCCCGTGCTGTCCTATGAGGCTGGCACCATTATCATCTCTATTTTACAAATGAGGAAACTGAGGCAGAGAAGGGTTAAGCAGTTTGCCAGGGTGGTCAGACCTCAGGCTGCCTGGCTCCAGAGTCCAAATGCTTACCCCCATGCTGTGCAGCGCCCCCTTCTCCAAGCCTTAGCTTCTTCCACTGCAAAATGAATAAAAGACTCAAAGAAATTATTTCTGGATCCCCCTGAGCTCTTACAGGTACAGAATTTGGAAACTGCTTCCCTCTGGGGGTGTCTCCAGTCTGCTCTTCCTCCCCCGAACAATGACTTTTCAGGAAAAGGTATTTTTTTTTTTTGAGATGGAGTCTCACTCTGTCACCCAGGCTGGAGTGCAGTGGTGCGATCTCGGCTCACTGCAACCTCTGCCTCCCGGGCTCAAGTGATTCTCCTGCCTCAGCCTGCCGAGTGGCTGGGATTACAGGCACATGCCACCACACCTGGCTAATTTTTGTATTTTTAGTAGAGACGGGGTTTCACCATGTTGTCCAGGCTGGTCTCGAACTCCTGACCTCAGGTGATCCACCCGCGTTGGCCTCCCAATGTGCTGGGATTACAGGTGTGAGCCACTGCGCCAGCCACAGAAAGGTCTTATGGGCTCATTCACAGTATGGTGTAAATAACTGACATGGTAAGTGGAGGTGAGGTAACTAGTGGATCAGGGATTCAAACCCAGGCCTGACTTTCTCCACAACCTGGGCTGGGCCCACAACAGTGCATTGTACAGGCTACAACCACTGGGCTTGGGTGCCCACCAAAAGGTATTCTTCACACCCATCAGCACCCCTGTCCTGAAAGAATGGGACAAATTGCAAATGAAGGAAGGGGTGGGAGCAGGGAAGTTAGGGATAGAAGCTGTCAGACCTATGAGTTCCCAGAGTCAGGCCTTCTGGTCCGCAACAGAGGCCTGTTCAAGTCCCACTTCTGACTCAGCTGTCTCTTGAGCAGGCAGTCTCCCAGGAGTCAGGCCTGGGAGAGGGCACCCGGCTTTGAGCCCTGCCCTGTCATGTTATCAGGGTTCAGCCTCCACATCTCTAGAGCAAGAGGTTGGCCCCTTCCAGCTCTGAGCCTTGTGAGTTTTGCTCATATCCTGACCCTGACTGCACTCCATTAGCATTCTCCATGCAGGAAATCACCTGAGTGCCCCCACACCCAGGGCTCCCCTCTGAGCCAAGCACCGGAAGTCCACCTCTTGCAGGAAGGAAAGCTATCATCACAGCCTCTGGTGCCAAGTTCCCAGCAGGCCACATTAACCCATCATTAGGGGAGCAGGGCGGGGGCTGCAGTGGTGCCCTTTGAAATGGACACCTGGTGGTGGGCGCAGGTCCCCTCCCCCAAGGCATCCCTCCCTCACCCTCTCCTTCCCGAGGCTCCTGCTCCCGACCTCCCTCCCCAAAGTTCAATCTTTTTGCTTCTGTAAATGGCTTTTAAGTTTCTCACCCAGCCTCTCATTTCTATCAGTTTAATTATTGAGGAGGCCTCTTGTCACCAGCCTGGAACATTAAGGCTGTTAAAAGGGACCCAGGGAATGCAGGCCACAGCCGGCTGGTTTTCTCCCCGCTGTCCCTCCCTTTCCTTGCTGTCCTGCTTTCTTCTCCACTCCCCAGGTCTCTACCTCCCGGTCCTGCCTTGCTCTCTGTGCAGCCTGAGGGGCTCCTGACCCCTGCCCCAACCACTCCATCCTGTGTTCTGAGGAGGCACAGACCAAACTGAGACCACACCATGCTCCTCTGTGGCCAGACAAACAGGGGACACCATGAACCCCCAGGATGGTAAGGCTCTTCACCCCAGGCCCCTCACCCCACCCTGGCCCTTCCCCATGCTGGGAGAGGTTAGCACAGCAGCTGCAGCCCACTCCCCTGTCTGGGGCACTGAGCGTCTCATCTCAAAATATCTATGTTCCCAAGAACACACTTTAAGACCTAACTCTGAGTGACCATTCCTTGAGCCTTCGCCATGTACCAAGTGATGGGGCACTCTCAGCTCCTTTGGGCCTCTCCACCTCCCTGTAAAGTAGGCACTCACTCCGCTCTGGAAAACAGGGGAAGGGATCCTCACCAATGTCACAGGTTCAAGGGCTGGACCAGGCTGTTTTACCATCTTTCTAAAAGACCCAGAGTCACTAAAGGAGTTTAATTACAACTCAGATAAAGAGAATACAGCAGCCTCCCTTGTGGGGTGGCCTTCCTGGAGGCTGGGGATCTGTGCCCCACCCTGCCAGGCTGACAAGGAGGAGTCCAAGGCTTGTCCCCTCTGCTGGATGGCCCAGGCTGCCTCAGCTCCCAGGCCAGGGCCAGGAGGGCTGAAGTGATGACTCATCTGGCCTGAGCCATCACTAGGCCCTGGCCTGGGACAGCCCAGCCAGCTCCTCCTCTCCTTTTGTCTCCAGTCCCCACCATAAAACTGGGTGCGGTGGGAGGACTGAACCAGGCTACCATTCCCAAACCATCCTGCCAAAGAACTGCAAAAGATGATCACAGCGACACAGCCCCCGGGGATTGTTCCAGCTGCCTACCGCGAGGGCAGAAATGTTTTCAAGTTTCCTGCTTCATCTTCAAACTACGTACATCCATGTTCAACCACTGATCATAAAAAAATAAAAAACAAAACCATGTACAAATTTTGCAGTCTTCATAATGCATCCATTTGCTTTAAAATTAAAATTGTGTTTTCATCCAACTCATCAAGTAAAACCAACACTCCAGGAAAAGCCCTATATTCGAGGCCCACAGAGCATACCAGAGACATGACTGCATACACAGGTGGGCGCACACGTGCTCTTCAGCCCCAGAGCAGCCAATGGCAAAAGTCCTGCCCCACCCAGACTTGTGACAGCACAACTCTGGCCTCCTCCCTTTGCCACTCCCGCTCACCAGCTTCCTCACCCCCACCCCAACACTGGGACCATCCTTTCCCTTCATCTCCACTTCTACCTGGGCCCCCAGACATGCCCCCAAGTCCTGATGCATCATGGGAAGTGGGCTAATGGCTTCCAGAAAGAGTCCCGGTGAGAGTGGTCCAGGCTCAGCTCTCCCCACCGTGCCTAGTGCAAAACAGCCTCTCTCAGTCTACTTCCTAGCCCTGGAGACTTTGGGGAGACAAAGGTCAACTCCAGAGGCCGAGAATCTGACACCAGGGTGAGGGAGGGACCAAGCAGCTTCCTCTGTGTCCCTTCCTCTTCCCTCTCCCCATTCTCTCCTCCCCTCCCTACACACACAAACATGCACAAACACACACACATGCACACACACACACACACAGAGCAAACAAGACAGGCTCCAAGAGAGAAACGGGCACATAATTATTGGTAAAATGCTTGTAATGTTTTTCTCTCTACCCGGTAGCTTTCAGTTGTTTTAGCAGCTTAGCGAAGCACTTGGCTCCAATTGAATTGCAAATCAGCAGCTCTTGCCCCAGGAAGAGAGGAAAGGAGGCGGCAAGGAGGGGGCTGGGAGGGATTCCAGAAGGAAAGGGAGAAAGGTGTGCATGGAAGAAGGGCAGAAGGAAGGAAATCACAGAGGGAAGCTTGGTTCAGGGCCCAGGGCACCAGAAACAGAGACCGCCTACTCTCTCAGGCCTCAGTTTTCCCGTCCTCATCTGCATTCTCTGCAGGCTCAGCAGCCCCACACCCCATCCAAAAAATGAGGACACATTCTCCAACCATAATCTCGGGTAGGGCAGGAGGGCCACAGGGAGCTTCCTCAACTACCCAGAAGAAAAACATCTTTCTTGGGAATTGCAATTATATGAAAACAGTGTCAAAACAAAAGTCTTGCTTTTTCTCCCTGGCAATCTCCAGCATTCATATTTCCATTCTTCTTATCTGTCTGTCTGTCTGTCTATCCACCTGCGTATCTTTTTATCTGTCTGTCTGCCTATCTCCTCCTCCCTCTGTCGTTCTCCAGAACATCCTTTTCCTCCTGGTACAGAATTCCCCAGAGAGGAGTGGAGTTGCTCACCGAGCCTCCAGCGGCAGGTGCTGTTTCAGCACCTCGGTCAGCGCCACAAGGCTGGGTCCCGATGCCTTTCATCTGCTGTGCCTGTGCTGAGACCACAAGACAACATACTGAAACCAGGAAGAGCTGCCCCAAATTCTCAGACACTGCTCTGAGGAAAAAACTGTCCCTTAGAGTGAGGAAAAAAGGAGGAAAAAGGGGCTGGTCGGCCAGGCCTGGCACCCTGAAGTGGGGCGGGCAGAGTCCGTTGGGGGAAGAGCACCTCAGGGGACCAACCAAGGCACTGACCTTGAAGAGGCGAAGGATGTTGGCCACCATGATGGAGACCGAGCTCCCTGAAGCACCGATGACACCCACCACACGTTCAGGCTTGGTGATGATGGGTGGGCCGCCACTGCCACAGCGGACCTCTGTGCCATCCTTCTCGATGAGCGCCTGCACAAAGGTCAGCGACTGCTCGAGGGCATGGGTGTCCCTGGAGCAGGTGTCCAGAATGCGGGCGCCCAGCGTGATGTTAGGCAGCAGGTCCGGGTCGTTGTTGATGCGATCCAGGGCGAACAGCATGGCCTCCAGCCGGTGGATGCCCTTTTCCTTCTTAAGTTCTCCACAGGGCTTGCCCTCTGAGCCCCGGCCATGCACCGGGAACAGGCCTCCCAGTGTGATGTCCCCATCTATGCGGATGGAATTCATGTGAGGGTGGCCTTTGGGCTTTCCCAGGGAGGAAGGCATCCAGGGGCCGTAAAGGCTGAGGAGCAGGCAAAGGGGCAGCCGGGCCCACCACCAGCCCAAGCCTCTCTTCCCAGGCATCTCGGAAATCCCTAGAGACCCATGAACGGCAGGCCCACTCCTAGCCCTGGCAGGCCCCTGGCCCCACGGCCTGGGTGGGCATGGGCAGGGCAGCTTCAGCAGCAGGGGGACTGAGGGCAGCCAACCGCGTAGCCCATGCTGCTACCCTCTCCCACCTCCTTGTCACTCGGGCCAAGCACAGTTGCCCGCACAGTCCAGGCCCACAGACAGCAGGCAGTGGCCGGGGTTGCAGGAAGGCTCTGATCCTTGTCCCGTCCTGCAGGCCTGTTCTCGGTGGATGACTGTGGAAAGGGCAGAATGCTCCTAGCTTGGCGTATCTTGGCATCAAGGAGAAAACAGCTCCAATCCTCTCCTCCTACCAACCTTAGAAGGGGAAGAGAGAGAGAGAATATCAAACAGAAGCCCAAAGAAGACATTAGCTAGTCTCATCTCTCATCAGGAGCCTGAGAGAAGGAGATGCTAGAGGTTATCGCCGAAGATTCCATAAATCTCCTGAACTTGGTTTCCTCTCCGCCATTGCTCAAATCTGGCTTAAATGGGAGAGTGTATGGCAGAAATTAGGTCATGTTTGAAGCTTCCTAAGGCCTGTACCCACTGCTATCAGTAGCCCGGGCATCAGAGAGCACAATCCCCAGGAACAGCCTCGAACTGGCTTGGAAGGAAGAGGGGCCTTCCTCAACACATCCACATGAAGGAGAGCAAGAAACAGGTCCTATGGGCCCAATCCCATTACAGAGATGAGGAAACTGAGGCCCAGAGCAGGAGAGCATTTTGCCTGAGTCACGCAGGGAGTGTGCAGTTTAATTACAAGCTCAGATAAAGCTTGGACAATGCCTACTGCAGCCCAGCTTTCCTGCTGTCAGCTCTGGAACCCGAGACACTTTGGCTCTTCCGGGACTCAGAGACCCAGGAACACAAATAAGGCCCCCTCAAGAAATCATCCTGGAACGCAGTGGTGTAGGCTGGGAGCTGCTCACTCTGAAGGCCAAGGGAAGGCCAGGGAGGAGCTGAGGCTGTGGGGGTTCTGGATTTTCATCCTGAATCAGGGAGCGCAAGGTGGACCCTGTACTCTCCTGCTTCCACCCCAGCTACACAGCTACCCCAGGCAGAGCAGGGGAAACCCAGCAGCCCCTGCATGAGGAGCAGGCCTCCATTCAGCTTGCACATCCTCCCTCCCTCCCTCCCTCCCTGACTTTCTTCATCTCTCCATCTCTCCACTGCTCTTTCTCCCCACCCCCACTTCCTCCCTCTGAGAGCGGGGCTCGGGTTATGGCCTGAGCTACTGGCACATTATTAAGATCATCATCATCATTATTGTTGTTGTGATTAAATATTTATCTGCAAGAGTAGAGAAGAGAACACCAGCCCTTCCTCATTCTCACTGCTAATTTGGGCTAATTTCCCCCCGGGGTTACTTCCCTCACCCCAGCCTCCCCACTCAAAGCCAGCAACCTCCCTCCCCACCACTTAGGAGGCCACAGGGAGAAGGGATGGAAGCTGAGTCAGGGCTTGGCTGGGGGCCAAACCCAAGGCCCCCTTCCCCAGGGGTTTGTCAAATGAAGACCAGCAAGCCACTTGTCCATTCTGTGCCTCAGTTTCCCCAAGCAGTTGGAAGAGGAGCTTGTGTTGGGATTGCGAGGCTTCCCCAGAGATGTGGTCCCTCCATCAAGACCAAGCCGTGGTCTCAGGGTCATCCCTCCCCCGTCATTCCCCCTACAGAATCCCTGACTGCTCCAGTTCTGGGCCAAGGGGAGGGAAGGAAGCTGCAGTGCCCCAGAGTCCAGCCTCAGCTCCTGAGCTTCTCCAGCCTTCTAGACCCTCATTTCACATTTCACCCCTTCCTCAAAATGCTCCCTTCATATTACCTCCTCAGAAACCAAGAATATGGCTACTAATTCTCCCTGGCCCCATGCTGCAGGTGAACCGGTAGCCCAGAGGTATCACATAATTCTCCCAAAGTCACACAGCAAATCAAGATGCATCCAGGACTAGAAGCCATGTCAGCCACACTGGGAAGCCCCAGCGAAGCTGACAGAAAGTTTCATAATACCACCCTCTCCCCTGGAGCCAGGAGCCAGGGACCTAGGACTAGGGGCCAAGGCCAGTGCTTTGAGGAAGGCTTAAGAGCCATTAAAATACAAGGCGGGGAGCTGCACCTGTATGGAGCTGTCATCATCACTCATTCCTTCCTGTGAATGAATTTATCAGATCTCTGTCCTAGATGGCTATGCATAGTGACAGGAGGTGGGGTATGAGTTGCTGATGCAAGTACCAGGTAATTCAGAAGAGAGAAACCATAAGAGCCATAGACGAATCTCATGGTCCTGCTGCAGTAGCTAGAGATAAGGCACATCCCTGCTAGTTCTCAGGAAAATCTGTAAAATGGGTGAGTTGGAGTGAAATCCAATCTGGGGGCCATACTGCCCCTGCTGACAAATTTTCAGTTGTTGCAATGATGGAGGAGAGTCGGCTACTAGCCCGTGTGCAGGCAGGGGGCAGAGATGCTAACTGGCCAGCTGTGGGTGGGAGAGCCTGCACAGTTAAACACCATCCTGTCCAAATGCCGACGGTGCCTCGTGGAGAAATCACAGCAAAAGACAACCACTGCCATGTGCCAAGCACTGTTCTAAGTGCTTTACCTACATTTTCTCATGTAATCCCCACATCCCTATGAGCTTCATGGTATTTTTATCCCTATCTCACAGATGAGGAAGCCAAGGCACCAAGTGCTTAAGCAACATCTAGCCAGGGGCACAGAGCTTGTGCAGGCTGCCCGTGCCCCTGGCTGCTCCTCTGTGCTGGCCCAGAGGATCTCTCAGGCCTTGCCAGTTCTAAGGTCCTGTGAGTTTATGATCGGTTTCCATGAATTTCAAACAGAGGGCTTTTTGGCATCATGACAGGCTGTGTGCTGGGGCTACAGCAGGGCAGATTCAGGCTGGGAGACCAATGCACAGCAGCTTTTGAAGTCAGGCCCTGCTTAGGCTTCCAGATCCTTCGTGAGGGCTCACACTGGCTTCTCCTTGAGGCCGGAGCACGTCTGGGCTGAGCAGTGCATGCGCGCGTGCGGACACACACACACACACACACACACACACACACACACACACACGGGGAAGGACAGATGCCATGGGGGAAGGAGGCCTCCAAGAGGAGAAAGGCAAACACCCGCAGATTAGAATCAAGAGCCTGGAGCCTCAAGCTGGTCAGATCCCCTGCGAGACTTCCCTCCCACAGGACTGGGTCCCAGCCCCTGCCCACAGGTCCCTATCCACCCCTCAGTCCCACCAGGCCTGCCTTTTCTGAGCTTCTCCAGAGAGCTGGGCAAGCCACTGCCTCTTTTAGCTTCCCCTCCCTCCTTTGATCATGTAACAGGAACAAGGGAAAAGTAAAAATACCCCATGAGTGAAAGGAGCCACTGAGAGCAGAGGCAGGGTGTGGTGGGGTGGGTTGGGGTGGGGGCCAGGCGGATGCTCCCTTCCCCCGCAGGGCCTGCTTCCTTCTGCAGAGGGAAGAGCTGGGGGCACATAGAAGGGGTCCTTCTTTAAAGTCCTTGCCCAGTTTTCAGACACTCCCCCGCCAATTCCAAAATAGCCAGGAGAGCTCAAGCCTGGGTCAGTTAGGGGCATCCTTCCCCAGGTGAAATCATCGGGATGACTGTGAGTCCAAGCCAGTGTGGGCCCCACCCCCAGACGGGCCTCTTCCCCCTTTCCTTTCCTTCTCCCTTCCCCACCACCCTCTCCCAGTCTCTCTCCTCTTCTCTGGCTCCACTAGGTTCCTTGGTTCCAGGGGAGGACAGAGCCAGGCATGGAGGAATGAGAGCCCTGAGGGGCAGGGATGAGAGCGACTGGGTCACCTCCACATAGCAACAGCTCTCAGGCCAACAGTGTTTTCCAGAACATTCTTTCCAGTGAATGGGGATGTAAGGGGAGCTGGTGGGGGACAGCTGCAGACTACCCCTTTCCCCAACCAACAGTCAGGGTAAGGGGGATGGGGGAGTCCCCACACATCCCAGCTGGGACCTCTCTGTTATCTAGGGCTTTTGTGCAGGAACTCCAGGAACCTGCCTTGTGGCCACTTCTAAGTCCCTTTTTTTTCTTTTTTTTTTGAGACAGGGTCTCATTCTGTTGCCTAGGCTGGAGTGCAGTGGTGCAATCACGACTCACTGCAGCCTCAACCTCTCAGGCTCAAGCGATCCTCCTACCTCAGCCTCCTGAACAGCTGGGACTACAGGAATGCGCCATCATGCCCACATAATTTTTTTTTTTTTTTTTTTTTTGCAGAGATGACATCTCACTATGTCGCTTGCCCAGGCTGGTCTCGAACTCCTGAGCTCAAGCGATCCTCCAGCCTCAGCCTCCCAAAGTACTGGGAATACAGGTGTCAGCCACTTTGCCCGGCCCTCTTCTTAGTATAATATTAACAAGCAGGACCTTCGTGCTTTTCCAACTTCAATCCTTCCCTCTGCATCCAGGGCCCAAGCCAGAAAGAACCACAAACCACAAAACAACAACCGGATCCGAAGAGAACTGCTGTGATTTACCAAACCCCCAATTATTTTTCATTGAGTTTCTTTTTATTCTTCCAAAACTAAGAAAATAGAACAAAACCCAAACACCAGAATAAAGGGTAAATCGAGAGAACAACCTTGTCCTTTGTTTCCCAGGGTCAGGGTCATTGCCAGAGTCCCTGGTTCCTGCTCTTGGCCCTCTGAGGGTCAGCTCCCATAGGAAAAGGGCTTGGGGACTCAGGCCCGAGCCCCTTGGGGTTCAGCAAAAAGAGCCAGGCCAAGAGCTCCCTCCCACCTTCCTCTCAGCTCCCAACCTTCCCTGTGTTCCCACCAGCACTTCCTTCATCTCCATTCACCTTTGTCTCTGCAGGGCCCACCCAGCCCAGGTGCTCAGGAGCGCTCTAGAATTGTGAATGGCTGTGTGGAGTCTGGTTTCAATTCCTGAGCTGTTTAGATGCCTCATCACCCACATCCCACATCTCCCAGAAGGGGGATGGCAGCGCCACTGCCCCAAAGGGGAAATGAGGGAGAACTGGAGGCCTCTCCCCTCCCCTCAGCTCTGTGACCCCTCTGCTATCCATCCGGGCCCCCACTGGCTGGGCAGAGGTGTGGTTTGTAGGACAGGACAGGAATCGGGTTGTCAGAACTGTGCCACCCCTGCCAGCTGCACTGTGCGACTCGCAGGCCATGGGGAAGGTGGATGACCAGTTAGCCCTTCAAATCCTCGCAGCACAGCCCTCCTCGTGCTGACCTCTGCAGCCCAGTCCTGCACAGAGCCTGGCATCCCCAGCAGGCTTTGTGGAGGTGAATGAATGACGTGATGTGAGCCAAATGATTCCAGGGCCTCTCGTTCAAGTAATCTATCTCTGTGTTTAAGGCCCCTTCCATAAGCAACTCTTTAACCCACAGGACTGATTCTAATGGTGGAATGTGAGGCATAGTTTCAGGCAGGGAAACTAAGGATTGATTCAGCTATAAGGAGGCATCTTGGAACCTTCAACCCACCCCAGGCCAGCTGGGGCTTTATTCTGCCTAAAGAGAAGCCCTGCTCCCAGGCAGTCAGCCAGAATGGCCACAGCCGCATGCTAAGAGCTAAGAGCAAGAAGCACAGTGGGGGTCTGGCCCCAACCGGCTTCCCTTTCCTTCCCCCGTGAGCTGCTCCGGCTCACCAGCCTCGACCAGGAAGCCTCCTGATGTCAGAAATCCCAGACCCCAATCCACAAGCTGTCCCCTCCCTGTTCTGCCAAAACAACAGGGCCCTGATTCAGAGGCAACTGGCTCTGTCATGGGCATGGGGTGGAATGCCCCAGAGGAGAGCAGGGAGGGAAAAAAGGAAGGTAATTCTTAGGGAAAGAGGAAGTAATTCTTTTGCCTAATGCCAGTGTAAACTTGGAGCAGAAAACTTTAAATCCATTGCCCCTGCCTTCCCCCAACCTATGATTCCCTCCAGCCTCCTCTCTGTGAAGCTCTCCCTTCAAGAAGCAGCTGAGATCCTTCCTCCTCCAGGAAGCCTGCCCTGATTATTACAATTCTTGTCATCTCCTTCCTCCGCAGTTAATGACACAGAACCTCTCTCATGTTAACAATGACCAGGCTGGGAGCACATTAAAGGCCTGCATGGACAGCACTGCCCTCATCTCTATGTTCCCCACGCCCAGTCCGAGGTTCAGAACACAGGAAAGACTCAGTAACTGACCAGGCAAAGCCAGCGCCCTGCCCAGAGCAAAGCCCAGGACAGGGGATCTGCAGCAGTGCGCCCGGTCCAGAGTGGCACTCGGACCTCGCACTGAATTCTCACAACTCTGTTGTGTGCTCAAGCATAGAAGACAGTCCCCTCTGTCACAACCATTCAGTCCCTCGGTGTGACATTCAAAGGTGCTCTGAGCACCCACTGTGCACCAGCCTCTGCTCTGGGTGGGCGCTGGGGAAACACTGGGAGTGAAACAGGCACAGACGCCTGCCCTCTGGAGCCCACGTCCCAAAGCGGGTGGGCACAGGACGAACAACAAATACCTGAACATATAGATGGCTGGGACTTCAGGGGATCAGGCGATATGAAAAAAAATAAGGCAGATAAGGGGACAGGGAATGACCCAGAAGGGCTTTTTCAGAAAAGAATAATCAGGGAAGGCTTCTCTGGGGAAGTGGCATTTGATCCTAGAGTAAAAGCAGTGAAGGCATGAGCCATGTGAACATCTGGGAGAAGAGGATTCCAAAGAGAAAGAACAGCAAGTGCAAAGGCCCTGAGGTGGGCACAGGCTTGGCACTTGATGTTCGAGAATGAGCAAGGAGGCCAACGTGACCAGGGGGCAGTGGGGAGAGGGTTGATGCGATGAAGTCAGAGAGGGCCTGGAACACAAGATCAACAGGACCTTATCGACCACGGTGTGGACAGGGAAATGAGGGGCCACAGAAGGGTTTGAGCACAGCACAGGCAGGGACTCATCACCAGAGAAACCTGAGACTTAGAAGGACAGCCACGTGCAAAGGCCACAGCAGCTCACAGCAGCAAGTCCCATCGACAAGGCAAGCACATCTCATCAGCCCTTGGGCCTCCCTGCTCAGCCTAGAAAATACCCCACCCTGACCTTCCTCCTCTCCCAGAGCCAGGGGACCAGCCACCAGGCTCACGCTTGCCTGGATCTCCTCCATCCAGCAAGCCCCAACCATGCAGACCCCCAGGCCTCTCCTCCCCATCCCTACATGCCGCCATCTCTAGTTTTCCAGCACAAGACCCAAGTGGGCAAGTGTCTTTGTTTGCAGCTGTTACTATTTTGGCCTTCGCCACTAATACTGCTTCTTCCTCTCTCCTCCCTCTTCCTGTCCCCTCAACAACCCAGCACTGCCCTGGAAAGCAGGGGCCACTGGCTTAGCCCAATCAACATCCAAACTGCACCGCATGAATATAACTGTGGTTGGTGGGGAGACTTCCATCCCTCGGCTGCACCGAGGTCAGGCACTGAAAAGAGGCAGTGAGTGATACCTGAGAAGCAATCACCCTCCACAAGCTTAGGAATCAGGTCGAGTCTCCAATCTTTATTTCTATATTTAAACCTAAAAATAACCCTGTAGCAATGACAGAGTTTTTACTAGAAGTCATGCCCCTAACCAGGAAATAGATCCAGGGGCTAGCTTGTGTCACCCTAAGGAACAGAGGGGTGGCTGGGAGAGCCAAGTGTGAAGGACTGGGTGGAACCCAGACCTCCTGGTTCCCATGCTGGTGGCCCAGCCCGGGGAGAGCAGCTGTCCAGGCTCTCCTGGGACTCACCATCATCACCACCAATGGGCGACCAGTGCCTTCTCGGGAGAACTGAGAGCCTTAGCTAGACACCACGGCCTGCCTGTCAGCATGGCTCGGCCCCAAATGGCGTGGGCTGGCATTATGGGCTGGCATTTCCCAATTACCACAGATAATATCTACCTTAATTGAATGGGGTCCAGATAATGTCATTATGCACTGCGTTCCCCAATTTATTTAATATACGTGTGTACACATACATTGATGCCTCACTGCTGCCACGAGATTGCTAAATGGTGAGGTTAATAATAAAACATTTTGACAGGAGTCATCAGCTTTAATTTAAGGGGTGATTTTTACTATCCTTGTGGTGCTCGTTTTTCCAAGGAGCCAAGAGAAACATGGACAGACTGGAACAGTCTCTCGGGCCTGCAGTCGAGGGGCGGGGGTGGGCAGGGCCGCGGGGTGGGCTGGCTGCTAGCTAGCAGGCTTCATCTCTTCTAAGCAAGTTCCATTGACATGCCTCCCTTCCAGGAGCAGGCTCAGGCAAGGCAAGCCAGGTGGAGGGGAGAAGTGGGAAACCAAGGCAGAAGCCCCCAGGGCAGGCAGGGAGAAGGAATTAGTTGTGAAGGAGGAACTACCAGCCTCAGGTTCATCTGGGAGGCAGCAGGGAGAGGGAGCCCAGAGAGAGTACACAGAGAGAGGAGAGACATAAACAGCTCGCAGGACCAAGAAAAAGCAGCCTGCACTCTACAGGGACCAAAGGCAGCAAAACCCTCTAACTTAATTTTTTATAGTCCCCTGCTAACTACAGCAGAGGTGACACTTAAGAAAATGAGCCCTCTCCGTTCTTTCCAGGAGCCATCAGTCTGAGTGGGAGTGACAGAGAGCTGGTGTCCAGTGCTCCAGGCCCATGCCCACCAGTGCAAGCCCCTTAGGCCCGCCAAGACAGCCAGCAGCTCTTCTGCAGCCCCGGTGAGTGGGGCCAGAGCTCCAATGCCAGCTCCCCACATGCCTTCTTCAGGAGGCAAAGGCAGCCGCCACTCTGCAGAAATGAGATAACCTGCCAGCCAACAGCCGGCAGGCCCAGCTGTCCAGGCTGCCAGTGCGTCCTGCCCACTGGAAAGTTGGGTTCTAGACCGAGCAGAGGAGGACAGTGGGGTGGGCAGATATCTTGGGGTGGGTGGTAATTAGAGGCTGCAGGCTCCACACTTGTCTAGGAGAGAGGACACGTCTATCGGCAGTAATTATTCAGCTAAGGAGCCTGTGGGTTCTGCTCCCATCTTTTGCTGCCAGCTGTCCCCCGCAGCAGGGTGGGGATGGGTGTGGCCACACATCCTGGCGCTGGACTGTGGACCCCTCAGGAAGTGAGTGGGAGCTGCAGAGCCCTTCTAGGCCTGAACCCGGCCCCCTGACCCTTCTGGCTAGCACACTGCTCAGTTCCAGTTTCACTCGATCGCTCACCCGCTCGCTCTCTCACCTACCTCGGGCTGCCTGCCGCTGTGCAAGGCGCTCCCTCTCAGAGAAGTCACGCCTCCAACGGAATGAAGCCGCCCAGACGCAGGTTGGGGGAGGAGGGAGGAGGGGGGGAGGAGGAGCGGCCTACGCAAGGCCACTGAGGCCCAGAAAGCAGCTCAACTCCTGACATGCTCCCGCCTCCCCTCCGCCTGCTCAGGACCTGTGCTTGGTGACGAGCTACATGCTGCCACCCCCCCACCAATATATCTCGCTCCTGAAAATGCCTAAGAATCCATGAGTAGGGTAGAGCACTCCTTTGGGTTAAGCCTTGCCATCTTCCTCTCCCGTCTCTCTTAAATGCAGATGCCCCTGGAAAGGGTAGTCCCTGAAGTGGCTAAGGTGCGGGGTGTGGGGGGGATAACTTTTGAGGTATTTTTGTCCCTGACAGGTGTGAAGGTATTGGCAGGTAGGCAAAAGCTTATGTGTAAAAGGACAGAAGTTGGAGGAACATAAAGACAGCGGCCACCCAATTCACAAGCGGACATCACGCCCAGCCCAGTGCTGAGCAGAGGCTTGGAGGCACCATCCTCAAAGCCCCCCGCCCACCGCACCCCAAGGACAGGATCTGACTAAGGGCTGGTGAAGCCCTCCAGGAAGTGAGAGAGGGGACAAGGCTCCAACCTCCACTCTCCACCGCAGCCAGGCCCATTTCGAGAGCCGGTTCAGCAGTCCCCAGGGCCTGCCAAGAAGAGGTGACGAGGCCCCTGCGCTATGGGTGCTCACACCCCAGAGTACCCAGAGGCCTCTGCGGAAGTTCTGCCACCTCCGAAAGGGCTCCTGCTAGTCCTCCCCTCTTCATGAAAGCTTCCCCCTACCCTAGGCCGGAAGGCCCTGAGGCCCTTCTGGGCTCTGAGGAGCTGAGCATGCAGAACCAGAGCCTGAGGTTCAGCATCCCATTGGGATCCGGGGGAAAGTGGGGCTAGCCCAGGACGCATCCCGGGAGTGTGGGCAGATGGGTATGAGAGCATTCTTCACGTCCACCATTGGCTGGCCCCGGGGCGGGAGGCTGAGCGCTGCAGAATGGCAGGGTGTGGGATGGGGTGCTCCGTATGGAGACCCTGGGAGCACTGGTCTCCCTGCCTGCCCTAGGCCCCCACTCACCCCAGAACGGACAAGGCGAGGGACTATGATGGGAACATACATGCCCCTCCCTCCCTGTCACTTCGGGCTTTCTGCCAGATTGACACAGGGGCAGCCACCGCTCTGAGAGACACGTGGCTTCGGGCACCCAGCTAGGCAAGCCCAGCTCAGTCGGTGTCCGGAAAGGCCGCGTTCTCCCGCGCCAGGGGCCGGCAATGGTGCGGAGAGGGGAGAAAGAAGCAAGGCGCCTCCTCCGACAGGGACTGAAAGTCTGAGGGCGGGATGTCACTCAAGGCCTAGGGGCAGGGGGCGCTCGTACGTTCGGGCCTCAGGACTCCCTGCCGCCGCCGATGCTGCTGCCCCATCTCAGCACAAACAGCCTCAGACCGCCCTGGTGCGGGGGCGCCTCTCGCAGTCGAGGCCTCCACCTCCCGGCCCCGCCCCCGCGCGGGGAGGAGACGCCTCCCACCTGCGAGCGCCGGGGAAGACCGACCCCGGAGCGGGGACCCCCAGCACACACGCGCGTACACACATGCACACACAGAGACCACTGCCGGTCCGCTCGCCCGGCGGCCGCGTAGACGCGCAGGTTCATCACGGTCCCGGGGAGGGACGGTCCCGAGTGTCCGGAGAGAGCCTGACCCTGAAGTCCTGGGGCTGCAGGGAGACCCCAGACCCTAGAGACCCCCACAACCTGCCGAGGCCACGGGCAAGCGGTTGCCGGGCTCCGGCCGCTGGCGAAGGCGGCGCTGGGGCGGGCACGGGAGCTGGACGCGGTGCCTGGGAAAGGAGCCGAGGCGCGCGAGGCTGGGTGCCCTCCCGCCGGGAGACTGCCGGGAAGAGGTGCAAATAATGCCCCGCGCCCCCGCCTGTCCCGCCTCTCCGCAGACCGGGATGCGCTAATGCCGCCGCCCCCACCTGAAAGCTGGCACGACCCTCCATCCGGTGGAAGCCCCTGTATACAGAGACAGTACTTTCCACCGGGCCCGCAAAAAAGCCTCTGCCCCATTCCCTCCCTCAGGGGCACCCGGAAAGCCTGCCTTAGCCCCGAGGGGAGACCCTCTAGTTCAGATCCCGCGCCCTCCGGCCCCTAGGGCTCCGGGGGCGCCAGCTCTCCTCGGAGCACTCCAAGCGCGGGAGCTCGCCGGAGGCCACCTCCCCGAGCCCCGATGTCCCCGCCGCAGCCCTCGCCCCAGGAGGCCGGAGGGCACGGTCCCCTCTGTCGGTCCCCCTCGGGCCACAACTCACCGCGCGCCAGCAAGGTTTAAGCCGCGGCGAGGGGTCGGCTGCGTGCCGGCCTGCCCCGGGGGCGCAGGCAGTCGACGGCCGGAGGCACGGTTCTCGCGGTGCCCAGAGCCCGGGCCGCGGCGGGCAGCGCTGACGCTGCGGACCCAGCGCGCCGCGGAGCCGCCCGGAGTCCGGGACGCAGCAGGGATGAGCTGGCGGCCGCCCGGCCGGAGCCGCCGCCAAGCGCGCGGCGTTCGGCTGCTGCTCCGGCAAGCGAGCAAGCGAGAGGGAGATCGGCGGCAACCCCTGCTCCTGCTGCGGCGGAGCCCGGCGTCCGAGCCGGAAGGAGCGGGAGAGGCGGCAAGAGGAGCTGGGTCTGGCCGAGAGCTCCGGGCTGGGAAGGGAGCGGAGCGGGAGCGACCAGCGAGCGCAGCCGGCCGAGGTACGGGCGCCTGGCGGCGCCGCAACAGCGGCAACAGCAGCAGGAAAAAAAATGAGAGCGAGCTAGAGAGCGCGCTGGAGAGCGAGCGAGAGAGGGAGCGAGAGACGAGAGAGCGAGGAAGGCGCTGAGAGGGGAGGCTGCGGGAGAGGGCGGGAGAGCCGGGAAGCGCAAGGGGGCGAGGGGGCCGCAGCCGCTTGCCCCGGCGCCCACAGCCGCTGCTGCACCCGAGGAGGCACGAGACCAATCCGGCAAGTTTGCGCTGAAAGTGCGGGCCAAGCTCACGGCGCTTCTGCCGGCCTTTTAAAGAGAGAGCACCTGGAGCCCACCCCCTACCCCACACCTCCACCTCCGGAAGGCCAGGGCTCTCGCGGCGCTCCGCCACCCCTCCACACCCGCCCTGCTGGCAGCTCCCCCTTCCACCACACCCCACCGGCGCCCTCTTCCGGAAGCCCCCCCCTTCCTCCTCCCCGTGCGCGTGCCAGCTCACCTACCCCGAGGACATGGCGGGGACCCCTTCTCACCCCAGAGGGGGAGGGTCAGGAACATAGCCTCCCTAACACACACCCAGAAAAGTACAGCAAAGCACAGGGACGCAGAGGGGCGCGCTACTCCCACCCTGGTGCGTCACTGGAACCTCACACATCCGCGCGCACGTGGCGTATGCCCCCATGTGGCATGTTCATTTGCACACCCCACTGCTCCTGATTCAAGTATATAACAAGGGGAGAAACTGAGGCCCAGTGAGGTGACTCCACTTGCCCCAGATCTCACAGCCTGTCCAGGGGACACTTTCCACAGAGCCCCCTTACCACCTCAAAACCCCACCAGGCTAGGGAAACACCCCACCCGCTGGTCTCCCTCCAGCACTGGATGGCAAAAGTGTAACAGGTGGCCTCCTGGTCGGCAGGCTGCAGTGAGACTCGGGAAGAATCCCTTAGCCAACCATAAAGCCAGCTCGCCCCCTTCCCAGAGGGGGCTTGAAAACTCTCAGGAGAGTGTTGCTAGAGGCAGGCAGCGTGGAAGTGAGGGAGCCACGCAGCCCTCTTAGGATTGCAAGAGCATCTCACCCCAGACTGCAGAAGCGGCTTCAATTAGAGCCGTGATGTGTGACTGTCCTTGTCCTGGGGAGGGAGCACAACACTGTGCCAGAGAGCTGGGGGAAGAAGGTGGCAGGCAGCAGAGCTGGAGAGGTTGGCCAGAGGCCTCCCTCCCCATCAGTACCTCGACCCCCGGCTGACCTGCCAAGTGCTACCTTGTGCTTGACGATGCCCAGGCCTGGCAGGACTCGGCCAACCCTAATTTCTACAGGGGAAATTAGGTGAGGGGAATGTCTGGGAGGGTCTGGGAATAACAGGGACAGACCCCCATCCCTTGCAACTGGACTGCCCTTTCTCCCTCCTTGCCCTTTTCCATGCTCCTGCCCTTTCCTGAAGACCTGCTTAGGCTCCACCTCCTCCAGATCTCCAGACTATGCTAGGCCAAAACCACATCTCGTTCAGCATCATTTGGCCATGGAGCCTGGCACCATGCCTGAACGGTAGCGTAAGCTCAAGGAATGTTTGGTGAGTGAATAAATGTTGGCAAAGCTTGCACTCTCTTTGCTGTCACATGTAATGACCCAAATACATGTCTCATTTACCCAATCGGTCTGAAGTCTCTGAGGGAAGCACCCAGATTGTTCATTCATTCATGCTTTTATTTTTTTTAATGCAAACAACACTGACTGAGGTCCTGCTCCATTCCCAGCTCTAGGTGTAAACACACGACTGAACGCAGTTCTGCCCTTGAGGAGTGCACCCCGTGGCCATTCGGACCTCAGCACCACACATTTTGTAGAGATATAAGCAAAGGCCTTGAAAGTTCCTGCTGCCCAGCAGCTCTGCCCAGCCAAGTGTGCACTGCTCTGGGCTTGCAGGGAACTCAAGTTATTCCTGGAGAGGCAGTGTTCTTGGGAACAGCCTGCCTGGGTTCAAACCCGCCTGTGTCACATGTGCATGTCTGGGTCACATTGCTCAAGGTCCTCAGTTTCCTATCTGTAGAACAAGGATTACGACACTAATCTCAAAGCAGAACTGCAGGTATGGGGTGTGCATCGTTCACTGCCAAGAGGCCACCCAGTTGAGGGGGCTCAGGACAGCTCAAATTCACCCTGCCTTGGTCTTGACAAGTGACACATCCTGACTTGTGGCTGTGTCTGCCCAAAAGATGGGTTTCCTTTTTCTGATCTTCTCAGAGGTACCATATGGGCTAGTGACTGGGGCCCTACTTACAAGGTGTTCATAAAAACAGAATGAAATAATGTATGCCCAGCACCTAGTACTGTATTTAGGCGGCTGTAAGTGGGAGCCACTGAAATTTTTAACACAGAACAGAATCCTCAATATACTTTTGTTGAATGAATGAATGAATGAATGAATGAATGAACTAATTAAAGTGAAGATAACATGGGCCATGGTTTATTGAGAGATAAAACAAACCCAGCCACTCTCCCCACCCCCTGCCCCTCAGTGTTGCTTTCACTCTGGCCATAATTATCCCACCCCCCGCCCCCCACCAGCTGTGTCGCAGAAGGCTGGGCAGGCTATATTTTTCAGGGGTTAAAAAAAGAAACACTGTTGGCTGGCAGATGGCTGAGTTTGTGGACTCGTCCAGTTTGCAGGTTCCCAGCCTGAGGCCTAGCTCTTCCGGGCAACATCCTGACCACCCCGGGCCTCCAGACCATCACAGTGGCCAAGCGCTCCGTCAGCGGCCCTCACCTGTGGGCCCCCCTTGCCCAGCTGGGGCACGCTCTTCTCACTCTTGTTCTCTCTGCTGGGTCGTGGCTGACTTGACTTGCCATGGAGACAGACTCAGAGACCCAAACACAGACTCACACACACACACACAGAGACACACACACAGACACATAGACTAACACACACACTGAGAGACACACACACACACACCTCAAAGAACTTCCAGTGGCGTCCCCTGCCCTGGGGGAGCTAGGGGACCATGCTGTGGGAGAAAAGCAATCAGAGATGACCTCAAGGAGTCATGTTTCAAGGGACTTGGCCTGGACCAGCTGCTCCAAGGCCTGATTTCTAACCGTGTCTCCAACAAGCTGCCTCCCCTGTAAGTCGTGCTCTGACTGGGAAGAGTTGGGGTGAGGGGAAGAGGACACAAGGTGGGAAACCAGGAAGCCGAGACTTCTGCGCTAAGAACCATGTGACGTGGGGGAGCCCCCCAGCCTCTCTGAGCATTGGTTTTCCCATCAGTGAGACCAGGGGCTGGGCCAAGGTCTCCCTAAGGATGCTGGGATTCAGAACTGGGTCTCACTCTTAAACCTTTAAAGGAGGCTGGCCTGCTACTCGTGGAGTAAGCAGGGAGTGATGCTGACCCGCCCGTTCCTGCACCAGTCCTCATCCAGGGAAATGGCAACACCATCTCTGCAGGGGAAGGGGAAGGGTGAAGGGAAGAGAGAGAGGCAGGGAGTTCTAGAGAAAATAATAATACAGAGTCCTGAGCCTGTGTTTCATACCTGTGTGACCTGGAAGTTCTTCCTGAGGTCTGACCTAACTCCCTCCTGCTGCATCAGATTGTTTCTTCCTGCTCTTTTTCTGGCCTCCCTGGTGAGGGAAAGCAACTCCCCCCCAACCTTTTGAAAGAATCCTAATAGAGGAGGACAATTGTCTTTGAAAATCCTGACCTTTAGGATTTGTTGAAATAAAGTGAGCCTGGAGGTGCAGATTCCCTGAGAGAACCGAGCAGACCCAGAACACCTGATAAATGCTTCCGTGTTGAGCTGACCCAGCCATCACCTCAGCCTCTGTGTCTGATGGGTTTCAATTTTGGTTTCCCCTAAACCAGGCCATTAGATGAAAATGTCTCTGATGGGGGAGTCTGTTTAAACAATAACTGTCCCCTGGCAGGACATTTTCAGGATGAAGAGCTGACTGCAAAGAGAATGCAGTGGCCCCAGGCTCTCCAGGGAGCCGTAAGTCACCCCGCAGGCACTGAGGAGGAGCCATGGGCTGAGGTCAAGGGGCTAGGGCCCCGGGTTAACAATCCTGGGGTAAGTTGTCCCTGTCCTGCCTCCAGAGGTCACCTCAGCCCCGCTCCTTCACCTCAAGGGCACTTAGAAATTCCCACAGCCTGCTCGGGACAGGCTGGGACAGGTATGAGTGACACCTTTGATGGCTAGGGGACAGAGCCCTGGGAATTTGCTCTTCCCTCAGGCCAGTATGAATCCAGCCTCCAGGAATCCTCCCACCTCTCTGGGACTTTCTCCAGCTTTTGGCTTGGAGTAATAACTTGACTAAGACTAAACTCCCCTTTCCACAATTCCAAAATCCGAAATGCTCTGAAAGCCACAAGTTTGTCCATAGTTTTCGGCAACTCAACTGGCAACAAAACTTGCATCAAAGCTATTCCCTGCCCCTGCCTAGTGCCTTGGTGGGGGAACACTGTCTGTTGCACTGCAGGAAGGCCAGCCCAAATTTGCTCTCAGGATACTGCCCCAGGCCTCCTGGGGGTATTGCATACTGTATGGCATTTGCACCATAATATCTTTCTAAATTCCAAAAAAGACCTGGCCCCAAGGGTCTCAGATAAGGGCCTTGCACCTGTAATCATCCCATTTGGACTAAGGGCTTTCCCAGGTACACAGCGCATTTGTACCTGTACCCCACCTGCCCTGGCAGGCTGAAGGAGGAGAGAGACTGGCTGGGGCCAAGCAGGCTAAGAGCAGAGAGAGCTGGATCTGAACACAGCTCTGCTAAATGCATTCACCCAGGACTAAGCAGGAGCAGGTAGGTGAGGATTTATGATAGAGTACATTTGGCACCAGCATGCTAGAGAGGCCTTCACACATGCTGCAGGAGCACCCCGCAAGAGTGGGGGTGCAGGACAGAGAGTTAGAGGCTAGGCTGGGGTCTCTGTCTCTTCCCACTTGCATGGAGGTCAAGGCAGCTGGGAAGGAGGGGATGCTCACCAAGTGGCTGGGGGGTGGGCAGAAGGGCTGTGAGTGGGGTGGGTGAAGGAGACGAGTGGTCCAAGGTCAACTTGAGCCTTTCCAATTGTCTGCTCCAGAGTTCCCTGACCTGAGAGATGATGCTTCCTCTTTCCTTCCCCAGCCTCAGTTTCCCCGCCTATAGGGCTCCCTGACCTGAGAGATGATGCTTCCACTTCCCTTCCCCAGCCTCAGTTTCCCCACCTATAGGGCTGAAGAGGGAGGGAATATGAGAAAGGAAAAGCAGAGGAAGCAGGAAAACTGCTTCTTCCTTTCCAGCGGCCACGGGGCAGAAGTTGAGAGAAGCCAGAGTGAAATTCCTCCTGCCACTGGGCAGAGAGGAGGAAGCACTTTATTCAAAAAGAAGGGAGGGATGGTGGGATTCGGGACTGCGCCTTATTCTCAGAGCAGGGCAGCAAGTGGTAGGCTGGGTGCTCAATGGGTCACCCCTAAAGCACAGGTCCTGGTGGTATGAAGCAGAGGACGCAGGCACAGGTCCTGACTGTGCCCCTCCCACGCCCTGCCATGCGCTAAGCACCTGGTGCTGCCTCCAGCATAAGAGTGGCCAGGAAGGCAGGGATGGCTGAGGCTGGGAGGTCAAAGGAGGCCTCCCCTTGAATTAGACCCTAAAAGACAAGTAGGATTTAGAAGAGCCGAGAGACCTAGCTAAGGGGGAGTGGGATACACGGCCAGACTGAGCACCTGGCCCTCCACTGGGCTGACACTGTGCCGAGTTTACAGTAAGAATTTATTGTCCAACAAATTGTTAAATGAATGAATGAACGACCCACCTAGAAAGACTCTTTCTCCTCCTCCTTCTCTCTCTTGGTCCTCTCCCTGTCTCTTTTTTCTTAAGACTCACGATTTTCCAGCCTCTTTGCCTCGCTGCAATTTAAAACAACTTATCATCTCTCTCTCCACATGTCCGGGGGCTGTCAGCCGTGAGCCAAATGTCATTAGCATGGATGTCACAAGCCGGGATGTCAAAATACAATTAACATTTAAAAGCCCCTTCCGCCCAAGACCTCGTGGCCGCCTGCTCCTTCGGCAGAGTGGCAGGGCTCCGGGCGCCAGGGGGAGCAGCCAGGTGACAGGCACGGGAGGGGCGCAGTCCACCTGGCCCTGGGAGGAGACCTGCAGGAGGCGGTGCCCTGGGAGGCCAGTGTCCTTGCTTCACTGCCCCCAACCTGGAGCGCTGCCCACCCCGCCCCCACCCCCACCCCACCCATCTTCCTCAGACCCTCCAATCCTTTTTCCGAGCTCTCCACTGCACTCTTCCAGGATCTTGTTGCACACACTCCACGAACAGACCAGTGTGGACACTGTCCACAGCACTCAGGGTCCTCACAAGTGAGTGTTCCATGGCACTCCACTACTTTGAGCCTTAGCGTCATCCACTGCCAAATGTGAGTCCCAATGTGGCAGGCCACTCGGGGCAGTTTGGGGGATGAAAGAATGGAGTGAGAAATGCTTTTCAAGGGCCAGGGACCTCACGACTGGGGCCTTAGATTGTGTCTGATGCCCCTGTCTTCCAAGCAAGCTCCAGGCCCCTTGGCACAGGGCAAAGACCACACAAGCTCGTTAACTGATCGGCAGTTGAGAATACCAGGTGGGCCCCTCTGTCAATGTCCCCCTACCACACTCTAGCCTTGGTTCTACTTAGGAAACTCCATGGACAATGTTTGCTCCTTCCCAAGCAGGACCCAGACAGCTGACAAGACAGAGAGCTGGACGTAGGCCCCGGGACCTCCCACCGGCAGAGCCTGGAGGAGCCCGCATCCCACTCAGGCCACCTCCAAGCCTGGCTGCTGCGGTATCTCCAGCACGGACACCAGGCAGGCTGCACTGCCCTGGAAAAAGTCCCATCAAGGCAGAGGAGAAGGGGTATTGTGGTCTGGTCCTGGGGCTGAGGTCACAGCTGCACTGCCCCCAACTCTGTCCTCCTCATTCCTGGGGAAACATGAGCTACAGGGGTGGGGAGGATTCTGCTCCCCTCGAAGGAGGCAGCAGCATTTCTGCAAACACCCCTTGTCCTCCTCCTCCTCTTCAGCTTTCTCCCTCTCTTCCTGTACCCACCTCCCAGCAACCGACCCATCACCTAGACCCCCCAAAGAGGACAAAGCAGTGCTGGGGAAGAAAAGCCCACACGCCAGCTCCTACCCTCGTGGGCTGCATTTTAATGGCGTTTGATTGGATCCGATGCGCTTTTAATTCCCTCCTGGGACATCAGAATGAGGGTAGAAAAGAATCTTTAATTCATCAAACTGAAATATTAATAGAATTCTAACCAGCTGGAGTGGGGTATGAGGCCCCCACAATGGAAGACAAGGGGGACAGGCAGGAGCAAGGTGGGAGGGTGGCTGGGGATGGGAAGGTGGGGCATCTCAGGAGGGCCAGGGCCTGCAGAGACCCAGGCTGGGGGTGGAGTAGGTGGCACACCGGAGCCCTTGCTGCATGCCAGGTGCTCATCAGAGTCTCCACAACAGCCCTGTGATGGACCAGCCAGTGCAATGATTCCACTCCACAAATGGGGAAGCTGAGAGGCACAGAGGAGGGAGGGTCCAGGTGTGAGCCCCTGCGGTGCGACCCTGGAGACCTCCTCACCTGCTGAGACATATGGACTCCACCCTGGACAAGAAGGGACCTTGGCAGAAAACCCAGGGCTCCCCGACGCACACACCCAGCTCATCCCTATATCCCCACCCCTGAGCCTCTCCTCAGCCCTCCCTACCTCCGGGATCTGCATCACCCCTTCAGGGTACAGACACGCACGCAGGGCCCAGAGAGGCCAGGGCTGCACAGAGATTTCATGCCTGGCTCAGTCTCTGGCCTCAGTCCCTGCCCCAGATTCTGGCCAGCCCAGCTCCAAGCCTCCATCCCCCACACTCCGGGCATCTCCATCCTCAGGACTGCTGGGAACCCCAAGACTGCCTTGGCTTGTCCCCACCAAGTGCTCCCCACCTGTTGACAAAACTGAATTGCCTGCCCAGGGGCAAAGCCTTTTGCCGAACACTGCAGAGGTCATGGCTGACGCTCTCCTGTGAGCAGCTGTGAGCGGGGAGAACAGAACCACAGGAAACTTGGGGGCACAAAAGTAGAAGCCAGGACCGGGTGTGGTGGCTCACACCTGTAATCCTAGCACTTTGGGAGGCTGAGGTGGGCGGATCACCTGAGGTCAGGAGTTCAAGACCAGCCTGACCAACATGGTGAAACCCCGTTTCTACTAAAAATACAAAAGTTAGCCAGGTGTGAACCCCGTTTCTACTAAAAATACAAAAGTTAGCCAGGCGTGGTGGCACATGCCTGTAATCCCGGCTACTGGGGAGGCTGAGGCATGAGAATCACTTGAACCTGGGAGGCAGAGATTGCAATGAACCAAGATCACTCCACTGCACTCCAACCTGACAACAGAGTGAGACTCTGTCTCAAAAAAAAAAAAAAAAAGTTGAAGCCAGGAAAGACCCCCTGTATTCCTGGGAGGCCAGCGCCAGGTCCAGGACCACATGGGGTGTTTGGGACTGTCTGTGGGTGCGGGCTGACCCTGGCACAGCACTCTCCCAAGTGTCACGCTCTGTGTTAAAGGCTAGGCTCTTTCCACAGCCACATTCAGCCGTATTCAGCCTGGGCTGTGACATTCCCCACTGCGTGGGCACTTGACCTCTCCAGCCCAGGTTTCCTCATTGGTAAGGAGAGGAAGATAAAGCCCACAGCTCAGGCTGCTGCGATGGCCCTGTGAGATGGTGAGCACGGCTCCCCGCACACACCTCCCCTCACCGCGGTCCTGCTCCCCGACCCCAGCCCAGCCCAGCCCCTGGGCCCTCTCGTTCTCACCTCTGTGGCCAAATTACCTTCTCTTCGGCACCCAAAAGCCCCCTCCTCAACTTTCAAGGCCCAGCTTAAGCAGCACCCCTAGTCCAGAATTCCGAGGCATCCCGCTCACTGGTCTGCCTTCCCAGACCGGAAGGAATGTGTCCCTTCCCACCCCATTTCTTTGGTCCAGCTGGTTTACAGTCCTTGGGCAACAAATGTGACATGGGTGGGTGGTCGGATGGACAGACAGATGGGAGGTTAGATGGACGGATGGTCCTGACTACACACACACACACACACACACACACACACACACACACTCTTAGACTTCAGGAAGCTCGTGGGAAATGCGGGACAAAAAGCAGCAGCAGGAGGGCAGGGAGACAGACACGTGGGGGGGAGTCGGCACCCCGGCCCGGCTCTCTGTGCCCGCAGAAGGGAGTGCCACTGCCCCGGGCAGGCCCCTTGCGCCGGCCTCCTCAGGATGGAGGGCCAGTTCAGCCACCCCAGAAACGCGGCAAGATCGCTGAGAAGAACGTGAGGAGCCTCGATTCCCGCGCGCCCGAGCGCGAGCCTAGCGCCCCACCAGCCAGGCTCCCCATCGCGGGCCAGCACCGCCGCCCGGTGGCCGAACGCCCTCATTGCACCCAGCGGCCGGGCCTGGGGCGGGTCCGAGCGGGACCCAGGCCCAGTCTACGCCTCCCACAGTGCTGGGCACCTCCCCGTCCCACGCCCGGGGACACGCCCGGATTGAGAGGCTTGTTTTTCACCTGAGCAGATTCCGGAAGGAGGCAGCGGGGGCGGCGGGGGTCTATTTCAGGGCTGCTTCCCAGCTGGGCGGCCGCCCCCTCGGATTCGTGCGCGGCCAGGCTCACCTGCTCTCCTGGCAGGGAGGGGCCTCTTGTGCGCACCCACACACACCGGCAAAATCCAAAGGACCTGGGCGGGAGGCGGCAGGTGAGGTTTCCTTGGTGGGAGGAAGGTGGGGTACAGGGGTGGGGTGCGATGCAGAGGCGTAGAGG
The DNA here is from genome assembly GCF_000001405.40 of Homo sapiens. Lineage (NCBI taxonomy): Eukaryota > Metazoa > Chordata > Mammalia > Primates > Hominidae > Homo > Homo sapiens. The sequence goes on from NC_000006.12 coordinate 34,155,331, forward strand.
GGAGCAAGGAGGGGCGCGCCAGCCGCAGGAAGCTGCAACTCCAGGCTCCCAAGCCGGCATCCTCCCACTCTCAGCATCTCCTGAGCTCCCTCTGTGTGACAGGCCGGCGGTTCGCAACCTCGACGCACATTGGAGTTACCTAGAGAGCTTTAAAATTTCCCTGTGTCCAGGCCGCATCCCAAACCAATTAAAATCTGTTTTTTTGTTTTGGGACAGACAGGGTCTCGCCATGTTGCCCAGGCTGGTCTTGAATTCCTGGGCTCAAGCGATCCTCCAGCAAAGCGCTGGGATTACGGACAGGAGCTGCGGCGCCGGCCTAAACCAGATTGTGTGCGGGAGGACCCAGGCTCCAGCTATCCCAGAAGATGCCAGGTGCAGCCACGCCTGAGACCTCCATGCCAGGCATTACAGGCGCTGCCAGGCATTATAGGCACAGCGTCGGCAGACTCTGGCAGGGGGTAGCCCCTTTCATCTTCATCACAGCCCCAGAGGTACATAGGGCGTTCTCTATCTTCAGAAGCTAAGAGAACTTAGCCAGGAGTTGGGCTTCAACCCCCTACGCCCAGCCCTGTGCCATGTCTGTCCAGGCAAACTAAAGCCCCATATGCTGAGAGAGATTGTCACTAACATGTGTCATTACCTGTGCAATATTTTAATATTTTTACTAATAATACAGCCATGTCCTGCCAGGGGCCCAAGCGCTGAGGACAGAGGGACAGAGTGGAGAGCCAGGGCAGGCAGGCACTCCATGAAAAGAGCTATTTTAGGCCGGGTGCGGTGGCTCATGCCTGTAATCCCAACACTTTGGGAGGCCGAGGAGGGTGGATCATCTGAGGTCAGGAGTTTGAGACCAGCCTGGCCAGCTTGGCGAAACCCCGTCTCTACTAAAAATACAAAAATTAACTAGGCGCGTAGTCCCAGCTTCTCAGGAGGCTGAGGCAGGAGAATCGCTAAATCCAGGAGATGGAGGTTGCAGTGAGCCAAGATTGCGCCATTGCACTCCAGCCTGGGCGACAGAGCGAGACTCCATCTAAGAAAGAAAGAAAGAGAGAAAGAGAGAGAGAAAGAAAGAGAGAAAGAAAGGAAGAAAAGAAAAGAGCTATTTTAAAAGTTAAAAGTGCAAATGTCAAGGAGTGTGTGGGTAGGGAGAGGTGTGTGAGTTTCACACACTGGAGCCAACTGAAGCTCAAGTGCTCCCAGGCCCCACCCTCTCAGGCAAAGTGGGGGAGAGGGCCCTGGGGCCTCTGCCCTATTCCAGGTCCGTTAACAGACCGGGATGTGAAAACTGCAGCACTAACAGCTGTGTATTGTCACCATCTGCCCCATTTGAAAGACAAAGGGACTGAGTGGGAGATGTGAAGTGGTTTGTCCAAGGGCACTGGATGAATCTCCAAGTCCCGTCACTTCCAACTCCAAAACATATTCTGCATCTACACATCCACATGGGGGGAACTCAGAGGTAATGTTGAGCAAAAGAAGCCAGACTCAAGCAGACATGCACAAACTCTATGTGATTCCATTTCTACAAAGTATAAAAACCGGCCTATAGTGAGAGAAGTCAGAATATTGGTTACCTTTGAAGTGGGTAGAGACCAAAAGGGACATGCAGGGGCCCCTGGGGGCTTCTTCCTTCACCTGGGTGCTGTTCTGTCCTTCACCTGGGTGCTGATGACATGGGTGTGTTCACTCTGAAAGTGTTTTGTTTCAATAAATACATGGAGGGGGTGCAGTGGCTCATGCCTGTAATCCCAACACTTTAGGAGGCCAAGGCAGGAGGATCGCTTGAGCCCAGAAGTTTGAGACCAGCCTGAGAAACATAAGAAGACCCTGTCTCTACAAAAAATAAACAATAAAAAAAAATAGCCAGGTATGGTGGTATGTGCTTGTGGTCACAGCTACTCAGGAGGCTGAGGTGGGAGGATCACTGGAACACAGGACGTTGAGGCTGCCGTGAGCTGAGATTGCACCACTGCACTCCACCCTGGGTGACAGAGTGAGACCATGTCTGTAAATAAATAAATAAAGGAATTCCAAAGGTGTCCAGTTCCCAGAAATGCCCCTGCACTCGGGATGGCTTGAAACAGGAGCTCCAAGCATCTCCACCTCTCCCTCCAGCTCACCTCCGCCTCGCCCTGCAATCCAGCCTCATCCAGGTGGCAGGAAGTACGCTGCTGCATCTAGGATTCTTCAGCTGCAAACAGCAGGATGCCTCTGGCCAATTTAAGCAATAAATGTAAAAATTGTAAAAGAAAATAACAGGAACTGACTTGACAACACACGTGTAACTTGCTGACGGTCACTGCTGTTCACTGAGAGGACGTGAGCTGCCTTCCAGGCTCCCTTAGGATAATGGCAGCCACCGTAACCCAGCCTCTTTGCATAGCCCCCCAAAGCCATGCAGAACAACAGGGAGAGCAAAGAAAGTCATTCCTACACCCTGCCCTTAACATCATCTGTGGATGGAGCACTACAAACTCCTTCCACAACCAAGTAGAGAAATAAACATCTGAAAATGACAGAACAAGGTCTGGAGCCCAGAGAGTACACAGTCCGGTGGAGACTCCATACAAAAGAGGAGAGGGCAGCCAAGGCCTGAGTGTAGACACAAACAATGACCCCAGAGAGAGCAAGGCCTGCTCTGAGTGGGGCAATGCTGAGAAAGGGCTGATGCTGGGTGGATCAGAGCACGGACTTCTGGGGGAATTGAGAATGTGCAGGGCCAGAGTGGCAGTCTTGAAAGGGCTGAGGAAGTGGAAGGGAGAGGGGGCGACCCGAAAGGGGAAGGTGTCCCTTGGAAGCTTGGTGGTGAACGCAGAGAAGGGAGTAAGCTGTGGAAGTTAAAGGTTTTACAAAACAATAACAATCACAAAATCAAAAGACGTATCATCCCCTCCCCACAACAAAAGTATCACTGATTTTTTTAAAAAAATTCTTTAGAGGCTGGGCGTGGTGGCTCACGCCTGTAATCCCAGCACTTTGCGGGGCTGAGGCAGGTGGATCACTTGAGTCCAGGAGTTCGAGACCAGCCTAGACAACATGGTAAAACCTCATAGCTACCAAAAAATACAAAAATTAGCTGGGTGTGGTGGTGTGCACCTGTAGTCCCAGCTACTGGGGGAAGATGGGGGAGGCCTGAGGCAGGAGGATCGCTTGAGCCCAGGAGGTTGAAGCTGCAGTGAGCTGAGATGGTGCCACTGCACACCAGCCTGGGCAACAGAGCCTAGGGGAAAAAAATTTCTTTAGAAGAGGGTGCCCTTGAACTAAGAAACCTAGTAATCCACCCAAACCCCCTGCTTCTGTCTGCAAGTGCCTATATTGCTGGTCAAGGGAAATAGCAGATATTTCAACATGAACTGAAAAAAGCAAACATTCATACGAATCTACTATAAGAAAAAAATAGAAAGTGAGAATCAAAACATTTTAGCTGATGAAAATTCTCCTCCAGAAAAATACCAAGCAGAAAACTGTAACACAATACTCCAACCCAAACTAAGTATTCTTACATAAGCATTTGCAGCCTGAAACACCCTTTAAATAAAAACTTTTAAAACACCAAACAGAAATAGACCAAAAAAGGGGAAAAGCAGGAAATGAGAGTTAACAAAAATCAGGAAAGAAATTAAAGAAAAAGTGACAGATCTGGGCAACATAGTGAGAAATACAAAATTAGCTAGGTGTGGTGGCGCACGCCTGTAGTCCCAGCTACATGGGAGGCTGAGATGGAAGGATCCCTTGAGCCCGGGAGGCAGAGGTTGCAGTGAGCTGAGATTGTGCCACTGCACTCCAGCCAGGGCAATGTAGTGAGACCCTGTCTCAAAAAAAAAAAAAAAGAAAAGTCAAAATCATTTCAGAAATGAAGATTAAATTGCAAGGTACTCACCCATAAAAATAAAAATTAAAAATATGGCCAGGTACAGCAGCTCATGCCTGTAATTGCAGCACTTTGGGAAGCCGAGGTAGGCAGATCATCTGATATCAGGAGTTCGAGACCAGCTTGGCCAACATGGTGAAACAGTAGAGACAGGTATCTGTCTCTACTAAAAATCCAAAAATTAACCAGATGTGGTGGTGCACGCCTGTAATCACAGCTACTCATGAAGCTGAGGCAGGAGAATCACTTGAGCCCAGGAGGTGGAGTTTGCAATGAGCCAAGATTGGGCCATTGCACTCCATCCTGGGTGACTCCATCTCAAAAAAATATAAATATAAACATAAAATAAAATAAAATATTTAAATAAATAAATTGAAAGATACTCTAAGGGGAAATTAAATTTAATGGAAAATATAATAAGAGATTCATGAAAGAAATGAAAAGAGCCAAGAGAACAGAAATAAAATCAATAAAAAGAGTTTTCCACCAGGCACAGTGGTACATACCTGTAATCTCAGCACTTTGGGAGGCTGAGACAGGAGAGTTGCTTGCATCCAGGAGTTCGAGACGAGTCTAGGCAACAAAGTGAAACCTCATCTCTACAAAAAAATTTAAAAGTATCCAGGCATAGTTGTGCACGTCTGTAGTCCCAGCTCCTCAGGAGGCTAAGGTGGGAGGATCACTTTAGCCCAGGAGGTTGAGGTTGCAGTGAGCTAGGATTGTGCCACTGCACTCCAGCCTGGGTGACAGAGGGAGCCATGTTGCAAAAAAAAAAAAGATATTTTTTTAAATGTCAGAGAGAAAGAGAAAGACATGGCTAAAGAAGATAGGCAAAGATAATCCAACATACACATAATTGGAGTGCCTGAAGAAGAACAAAACAACAGAAAAAATATCAAACTAAAGCATAACCCCTCCCCAGGCAAAAAGAGGAAACTTTCTAGAAATGAACAACTTGAGTCTACAAATTGAAGGGGCCCATCAAGTATTTAGAGAAGTTGACCTGGAATAGTGGACTCTGAATTATATCTTAGTAAAAACCTGGAAAAGGAGAAAGGCACCTTTACCATGGAAAATCTGGTGGACTCCACCTTAAGCAGGTGATCCAGTTCAGCATCACCACTGACATTGTGTGTCCCCAGATGTGCTACAGAAAGTACATGATACCACCTAGGTAGCATTCTTGCTAAAAATGCTTTGTTTTGTTTTGTTTGAGATGGAGTCTCGCTCAGTCACCCAGGCTGGAGTGCAGTGGCACGATCTCGGCTCACTGCAACCTCCGCCTCCCAGGTTCACTCCATTCTCTTGCCTCAGCCTCCCAAGTAGCTGGGACTACAGGTGCCCGCCACCACGCCTGGCTAATTTTTTGTATTTTTAGTGGAGATGGGGTTTCACTGTGTTAGCCAGGATGGTCTCAATCTCCTGATCTCATGATCCGCCGCCTCGGCCTCCCAAAGTGCTGGGATTACAGGCGTGAGCCACCATGCCCGGCCTCTTGCTAAAAATGTTTTAACCTGAATCTAATTATGAGGAAACCATCACATATATATATTTATATACATATATATACACACACATATACTCATATATATTTATATCTATACAACCCCACACACACAAACACATATATATATATATATATATATATATATATATATATATATATATTTAGAAGTGGGGATCTCACTGTGTTGCCCAGGCTGGACTTGAACTCCCAGTCTCAAGGAATCCTTCTGCCTCAGCCTCTCGAGTAGTTGGGATTACACACACACCATACCACCTGGCATCAGACAAAAATAGTAGGGGCTGGGTGCGGTCGCACGCCTGTAATCCCAGCACTTTGGGAGGCCGAGGCGGGTGGATCACCTGAGGTCAGGAGTTCAAGACCAGCCTGGCCAACATGGTGAAACCCCATCTCTACTAAAACTACAAAAATTAGCCAGGCATGGTGGCGGACACCTGTAATCCCAGCTACTCGGGTTCTGAGACAGGAGAATGGCTTGAACCCAGAAGCAGAGGTTGCAGTGAGCCAAGATCAAGCCACTGCACGCCAGCCTGGGCCACAGAGCAAGAACCTGTCTCAAAAAAAAAAAAAAATTAGCTGGGTATGGTGATGCGTGACTGTAATCTCAGCTACTCGGGAGGCTGAGGCAGGAGAATTGCTTGAGCCCAGAAGGTGGAAGTTGCAGTGAGCTGAGATTGTGCCACTGCACTCCAGTCTGGGCGACAGAGTGAGAGTCCGTCTCAAAAAAAAAAAAGAAAGAAAGAAAAGAAAAGAAAGTGGCTGCTTTACGTGTTATGGGGGAAGTGGGGGATTCTAGGAGGTGGAGGATTCTAGGAGGTGGGGGATTCTAGGAAAAGGGGGATTCTGAACAGACATTGTCCACTATGCAGGGTGAACCCTGGATAACCTTAGAGCCCAGAGGAGAAGCAGCAGGCTCAGACCTGGGTGAGGGCAGGGAGGCTGCTGGGCAAACACCAGGGTTGGGCCTTGGAGTGATGGGCACTCCAGGTTGCCTCACGTGCCCCTGCCCTGCACAGCAGCGGGCTTAGACCAGCCTGGTGTTTTCTCCCAGGAACCTGGAAGAGAGAGAGAGAGAGATTGACTCTAATTGTGTGCTGCACCTGTCATTCATGAATTGGGACACTCACCGCCCTGCAGCCTGAGAGGAAATGAAAATCTGCCCACATATGGAGAAGGAAGAGGGAAAATGAGCTTGCCTCCTTAGACCTGGCCGTGTCCCTGCCCACCTCTGACCATGGCTCCCCTTCATGCAGCTGAAAGGGGCCTCTGTTCTTCCCAGCTCCAGTCCTCCCACAAGTACAAAGCGAAGAGGTCAGAAGCCCAAACCAAGCAGCTGGGGGGAATCATTCAACAAGCCCAAGGTCCAGGGAGGGTGTGGGCACAGGGTCCCCTCTGATGGGGGAAGGAGTTGGGACTTACTGCAAGGCAATGGACGCTGGTGATGAAACCTTTTAGGAAAATCCTCTTGATGTAGAGTGGATAATGGCCCCAAGGGGGCAAAGCTGGAGGCAGGGAGGCCCATTAGGAAGCTGTTGGGGTAATCCTAAGGGTCACACAGAGCTCAGACAGGTGGCAGGGGGTGGAGAAGGAAAAGATGCAGAGACGATAGGGGAGAGTCGGCCTGGCTCGGGTCACGGGGGCGGGCTCAGAAGGGACCCATCTAGGAGGTGTAGAGCTGAGCCAATGATGCCAGTGTTGGTTGATGTTGGGAACACAGGAGAAGCAGAATTGGGGTCTGCCAGGGAAAGATTCAGGGATCCCCAATAATATCTTCAAATATTTCCAGGCAGCAGGTTGAATATTCTCATTCCATGGCCCAAGGAGGAGAACTTGTCCAGAGAGAGAAACCACAGACAGGAAGAAGTGTCTTCCACATGGCGAATCCAAGTCAGGAGGCTGAAGCAGTCGGCCACCGCGGGAACGGCTGCCCCAGGGAAAGGGAGGTCCTTGCCCGGCAAGGTGTGCACTGGAGGACCAGCATCACTGCATGGCCACGTGTCACAGATACTGCAGGTGACTCAAGCATCAGACAACAAGGAGATCAAATTTCTTTTCTTTTCTTTTTTTTTTTTTTTTTTGAGACAGAGTCTTGCTCTGTTGCCCATCCTGGAGTTCAGTGGCACAATCTCAGCTCACTGCAACTTCCTCCTCCCGGGTTCAAGCGATTCTGCTGCCTCAGCCTCCCTAGTAGCTGAGATTACAGGTGCACACCACCACGCCAGCTAATTTGCTTTTTGTTTTTTGTTTTTGAAACGGAGTCTCACTCTGTCACCCAGGCTGGAGTGCAGTGGCGCGATCTCAGCTCACTGCAACCTCCGCCTCTTGGGTTCAAGCAATTCTCTGCCTCAGCATCTCGAGTAGCTGGGATTACAGGCGCCAACCACCATACCTGGCTACTTTTTGTATTTTTAGTAGAGACAGGGTTTCACCATCTTGGCCAGGCTGGTCTTGAACTCCTGACCTCGTGATCCACCCACCTCGGCCTCCCAAAGTGCTGGGATCACAGGCTTGAGCCACCGCACCCAGCCCATGCCTAGCTAATTTGTATATTTTCAGTAAAGACTGGGTTTCACCGTGTTGGCCAGGCTGGTCTCAAAGTCCTGACCTTAGGTGATCCACCCGCCTCGGCCTCCCAAAGTGCTGGGATTACAAGCGTGAGCCACCGTGCCTGGTCAGGAGATAAAATTTCTATGATTCTCTGAGAGGCAACATGAAGAACACGAAGAACGCAGGACTTGGAGCCTCGGGTCTGAGACAACCACAAAGCTTGGCCTTGGCCAAGTCCCTAAACCTCTCTGAAAAGTAGCTGTAGAGAGGAATGAAAATCTGTCATGGACTGTATGAGGAACCAGTGAGAGGCTGAAGGTGACCCACTTTGTAACCATGAAGAACTCTCCCAGGCAGGAGAGCTACTCAATGTGGGGGCAATGGGGGCGATCACAAGCTTGGGAGCAGATGACTCGGTACCACATTCCAGGCCTGCACCGAGCCTCCCCGGGCCTCCCGCGCCTCCTCCCTCCAACCACATCTGCCGAAAGTGTTGCCAGCCAGGAGACCCTCACAGTGCAAGAGTAACAGAATCGGGGAGCGCGTGTCCCTGCTGTAGCAGATGTGCCTGGGCAGCTACTGATACCCCTCCCCACAGGGACAGAAGCTGCTCCCTCCTCTCGAGAAGACAGGGATCTTAGGAAGGAGGACAGGGCAGCTGCTTTCTCAGCCGGCCTGGTTCTTTGACAGGTTCTGACTCAGCCCTCAGTCAACACTGGCCAGCAGAGGGCACTCCAACACCCCTTTTGGTCCTTTCAACCTCGTTTCTCTTTTTGACCTTTTCCTTTCTCTCTCTTTTTTTTTTTTTTTCTTGAGACGGAGTCTTGCTCTGTTGCCCAAGCTGGAGTGCAGTGGCAGATCTCGGTTCACCTCGGCTCACCGCAACCTCCACCTTCCGGGTTCAAGCGATTCTCCTGCCTCAGCCTCCCTAGGAGCTGGGATTACAGGCACCTGCCACCACGCCCGGCTAATTTTTTGTATTTTTAGTAGAGACGGGGTTTCACCATGTTGACCAGGCTGGTCTCGAACTCCTGACCTTGTAATCCGCCCGCCTCGGCCTCCCAAACCGCTGGGATTACAGGCGTGAGCCACCACGCCAGGACTATTTTTCCTTTTTTTAAATTATTTTTTAATTTTTGTGGATACATAGTAGGTGTATATATTTTACGGGTTACATAAGACATTCTGATGCACGCATGCAATGTGTAATAATCACATCAGGGTAAATGTATCCATCACCTGAAGCATTTATCCTTTGTGTTACACACAATCCAATTATATTATTTGTTTTTTTAAATGTACAATTAAATTATTTTTTACTATAGCCCTGGCACAGTGGCTCATGCCTGTAATCCCAGCACTTTGGGAGGCCAAGGCGGGCTGATCACTTGAGGTCAGGAGTTTGAGACTAGCCTGGCCAACATGGTAAAACCCCATCTCTACTAAAAATACAAAATGAGGCAGGCGTGGTGGTACATGCCTGTAATCCCAGCTACTCAGGAGGCTAAGGCACGAGAATCACTTGAACCCAGGAGGTGGAGGTTGCAGTGCGTCGAGATCACTGCACTCCAGCCTGGGCAACAGAGTGAGACTCTGTCTCAAAAAAATAAAAAATAAAAAAATATATTTTTTACTCTAGTCACCCTGTTGTGCTGGCAAATACTAGGTCTATCCATTCTTTCTATTTTTTGTATCCATTAACCATCTCCACTTCCCCGCCACCCCCCAACTACCCTTCCCAACCCGCTGGTAACCATCCTTCTACTCTCTATCTCCATGAGTTCAATTGTTTTTATTTTTAGTTCTCACAAATAAGTGAGAACATGCAAAGTTTGTCTTTCTGTGTCTGGCTTATTTCACTTAACATGATGACCTCCAGTTCTATCCATGTTGTTGTAAACGACAGCATCTTATTTTTTTTATCGCTGAATAGTGCTCCATTGTGTATAAGTACCACATTTTCTTTATCCATTCATCTGCTGATGAACATTTAGGTTGCTTCCAAATCTTGGCTACTGTGAATAGTGCTGCAGAAAAATGGGAGTGCAGATATCTCTTCGACACACTGATTTCCTTTCTTTGGGTGTATACCTAGCAGTGGGATTGCTGGATCATATGGTACTTCTATTTTTAGTTTTTTGAGGAACCTCCAAACTGTTCTCCATAGTGGCTGTACTACTTTACATTCTCACCAACAGTGTATGAGGGTTTTCTTTTCTCCACAACACCCCCAGCATTCATTATCGCCTGTCTTGGAATAAAAGCCATTTCAACTGGGGTGAGATGACATTTCATTGTAGTTTTGATTTGCATTTATCTGATGATCAGTGATATTGAGTACATTTTCATATGCCTGTTTGCCATTTGTATGTCTTCTTTTACGAAATGTCTATTCAGACCTTTTGCCCACTTTTTATTAGATTTTTATTAGGTTATTCCTTATAGAGTTATTTGAACTCCTTATATATTCTGGTTATTAATCCCCTGTCAGACGGGTAGTTTTGATATATTTTCTACCATTTCTTGGGTTGTTTCTTCCCTTTGTTGATCGGTTCCTCTGCTGTGCTGGAGCTTTTTAACATGATATGGTCCCATTTGACCATTTTTGTTTTGGTTGCCTGTGCTTGTGGGGTATTAGTCAAGAAATTTCTGCCCACTCCAATGTCTTGGGGGGTTTCCCTAGTGTTTTCTTTTAGTAGTTTCATAGTTTGAAGTCTTAGATTTAAGTCTTTAATCCATTTTGATTTGATGTTTGTATATGGTGAGAGATAGGGGCCTACCTTCATTCTTCTGCATATGGATATCCAGTTTTCCCAGCATCGTTTATTGAAGAGACTGTCCAAGAGACTGTATGTTCTTGGCACCTTTGTCAAAAACGAGTTCACTGTAAATGTAAGGATTTATTTCTGGCTTCTCTATTCTGTTCCACTGGTCTATGTCTCCGTTTTTATGCCAGTACCATGCCATTTTGGTTCCTATAGCTCTGTAGTATAATTTGAAGTCAGGTAATGCGATCTCTCCACTTTTGTTCATTTTGCTTAGGATAGCTTTGGCTATTCTGGGTCTTTTGTGATTACATATAAATCTTAGGAATTTTTTTTCTATTTCTGTGAAGGATGTCATTGGTATTTTTGTAGAGATTGCATTAAATCTGTATACTGCTTTGGGTAGTATGGACATTTTAACAATATTGATTCTTCCAATCCATGAACATGGAATATCTTTCCATTTTTTGTGTGTCCTCTTCAATGCCTTGCATCTGTGTTTTATAGTTTTGATTGTAGCGATCTTTCACTTATTTGGTTCAGTTAATTCCTAGGTATTCTATTTTATTTGTAGCTATCACAAATGAGATTACTTCCTTGATTTCTTTTTCAGATTTTTCACTGTTGGCATGTATAAATGCTACTGATCGTTATGTGTTGATTTTGTATCCTGCAACTCTACTGAATTTATCAGTTGTAATAGTGTTTTGGTGGAGTCTTTAGGTGTTTCTAAATGTAAGATCATATCATCTGCAAACAAGGATAATTTGACTTCTTTCTTTCCAAGTTGGATGCCCTTTATTTCCTTCTCTTGTCTGATTGTTCTAGCTATGCCTTCCAGTGCTATGTTGAACAACAGTGGTAAAAGTGGGCATCCTTGTCATGTTCCAGATCTTAGAGGAATGACTTTCAGTTTATCCTCATTCAGTTTGATACTAGCCATGGATCTGTCATATATGGCTTTTATTATGTTGAGGTATGTTCCTTCTACCCAGTTTTATCACGAAAGGATGTTGCATTTTATCAAATGCTTTTTCAGCATCAGTTGGTTTTTGTCCTTCGTTCTGTTGATATGATGTATCACATGGATTGATTTGCATATGTTTAATCATTCATGGGATAAATCTCACTTGGTGATGATGAACGATCTTTCCAATGTGTTGTTGAATTCAGTTTACTAGTATTTTGTTGAGGATTTTTGCATCAATATTCATCAGCAATATTAGCCTGTAGTTTTTTTTAATGTATCCTTGTCTGGTTTTGGTATCAGGGTAATAGTAGCCTTATGGAATGAGTTGGAAATATTCTCTCCTTCTCTATTTTTTGGTCTAGTTTGAGTAGGATCTGTATTCATTCTTCTTTAAGTCTTTGGTAGAATTCAACAGTGAAGTCATCAGGTCTCAGGCTTATCTTTGCTGGAGACTTTTTATTATGGCTTCTGATATGGTTTGGATCTCTCTCTCCACCAAATTTCATGTGGAATTGTAATCCCCAATGTTGGAGGTGGGGCCTGGTGGGAGGCGACTGGATCATGGAGGTGTTTCTCATTAATGGTTTAGCGCCATCCCTTTGGTGCTGTTCTTATGAGGGTGCATGAGTCTAGGCCGGGCGCAGTGGCTCAAGCCTGTAATCCCAGCACTTTGGGAGGCCCAGGCGGGTGGATCACCTGAGGTCGGAAGTTCGAGATCAGCCTGACCAACATGGAGAAACCCTGTCTCTACTAAAAATACAAAATTAGCCAGGCGTGGTGGCACATGCCTGTAATCCCAGCTACTCGGGAGGCTGAGGCAGGAGAATCGCTTGAACCCGGGAGGCGGAGGTTATGGTGAGCCGAGATCACACCATTGCACTCCAGCCTGGGCAACAAGAGCAAAACTCCATCTCAAAAAAAAAAAAATAGTGAATGAGTTCTCAAGAGATCTGATTGTCTAAAAGTGTGTACCACCTCCCTCCTCATCCTGTCGCTTGCCCCTGCTCTGGCCGTGTAATGTGCAAGCTCCTACTTCACCTTCTGCCATGACTGCAAGCTTCCAAAGGCCTCCCCAGAAGCCAAGCAGATGGCAGCATTATGCTTCCTGTACAGCTTGCAGAACCATCAGCCAATTAACCTCTTTTCTTTAGAGATTACCCAGTCTCAGGTATTTCTTTCTTGTAATGTGAGCACAGACTAATACAGCTTTGATATCATTACTTGTTATTGGTTTATTCAGGTTTTGGATTTCTTCATGGTTCAATCTTGGTAGGTGGTGTGTGTCTAGGAATTTATCCATTTCTTCTAGATTTTCCAATTTATTGGCATATAGTTGCCCATAATAGCCATAATGATCCTTTGAGTTTCTGCGATATTGGTCGTAATATCTCCTTTTCCATCTCTGATTTTATTTATTCGGGCCTTCTCTCTTTTTTCTAGTTAGTCTGGCTAAGGGTTTGTCAATTTTATTTACCTTTTCAATAAAACAACTTTTTGTTTCACTGATATTTTGTATTATTTTCGTCATTTCAATTTCATTTATCTCTGCTCTTTATTATTTATTTTCTTCTACTAATTTTGGTTTTGGTTTGTTCCTGATCTTGTAGTTCTTTAAGATGCATCATTATGTTGTTTATTTGAAGTTTTTCTTATTTTTTGATGTAGGCACTTTTAAGTATAAATTTCCCTCTTAGTACTGCTTTTGCTGTATCCCGTAGGTTTTGGTATGTTGTTTTCTATTATCATCTGTTTCAATAACTTTTTCAACTTTCTTCTTAATTTCTTCGTTGACCCACTGGTCATTCAGGAGCATATTATTTAATTTCCATTTGTTTGTATAGTTGCCAAAATTCCTGTTGTTATTGATTTCTAGCTTTATTCCATTGTAGTCAGAGAAGATGCTTGATATTATTTCAAATTTTTTTGAATGTTTTAAGTTGTATTTTGTCACCTAACATTTGGTCTACTCTTTTTTTTTTTTTTTTTTTTTTGAAACAGAGTCTCACTCTGTCACCCAGGTTGGAGTGCAATGGCACAATCTCGGCTCACTGCAACCTCCACCTCCTGGGTTGAAGCAATTCTCCCAGCTCAGCCTCCTGAGTAGCTGGGACTACAGGTGTGCACCACCATGCCTGGCTAATTTTTGTATTTTTAGTAGAGAAGGGGTTTCACCATGTTGGCCAGACTGCTCTCTAACTCCTGACTTTAAGGGATCCACCTGTCTCGGCCTCCCAAAGTGCTGGGATTACAGGCATGAGCCACTGCGCCCAGGCTTTTTTTCTTTTTTTCAGACAGAGTCTCATTCTGTCACCCAGGATGGAGTGCAGTGGCATGATCTAGGCTCACTGCAACCTCTGCCTCCCAGGTTCAAGCAATTCTCATGCCTCAGTCTCCTGAGTAGCTGGGACTACAAGTGCATGCCACCATGCCCAGCTAAATTTTTATTATTTATTTATTTATTTATTTATTTTAGACAGAATCTCTCTCTGTAGCCCAGACTGCAGTACAGTGGTGTAATCTTGGTCCCCTGCAACAACCACCTCCTAGGTTCAAGTGATTCTCCTGCCTTGGCCTCCCGAGTAGCTGGGACTACAGATGCATGCCACCACACCTTGCTAATTTTTGTATTTTCAGTAGAGATGGGGTTTTGCCATGTTGACCAGGTTGGTCTCGAACTCCTGACCTCAGGGGATCTGCCTGTCTTGGCCTCCCAAAGTGTTGGGATTACACTTTTGTATTTTTAATAGAGATGGGGTTTCACCATGATAGCCAGGCTGGTTTCAAACTCCTGGCCTCAAGTGACCCACTTGCCTCAGCCTCCAAAAGTGCCACAATTACAGGTGTGAGCCACCACATCTGGCTTTGGTCTACATACTTTCTTTTTCCCTTCTTATAGTTTTTGTCTTGAAATCTATTTTGTCTGATATCAGTATAGCTGCTCCCGCTCTTTTTTTGTTTTCATTGGCATGGAATATCTTTTCCTATCCTTTTATTTTCAGCCTATATGTGTATTCATAGGTGAGGTGTGTTTCTTGCAGGCAACAGATTATTGGGTCTTGTTTTTTTATCCATTGAGCCATTCTATGTCTTTTGATTGGAGAGTTTAGTCCATTTACATGCAATGTTATTCTTGATAAGTAAGGACTTACTTCTGCCATTTTGTTATTTGTTTTCTGGTTGTTTTGTGATCTTCTCATCCTCTTTCCTTTCTTCCTGTCTTTTTTTGTAGTGAAGGTGATTTTCTCTGGTGATATGATTTAATTTCCTGCTTTTTTTATTTTTTGTGTATCTGTTGTGTTTCTCAATTTGAGGTTACCATGAGGCTTGCAAATACTATCTTATAACCCATTATTTTAAGCTGATAACAACTTAATTCTGCTTGCACAAACTAACAAGCAAGAAGAAAACTAGTAAAAACTCTACACTTTAACTTTGTCTCCCCACTTTTTCATAGAAACAACAAAGCCTCATGGAGCCACCAGGCCTGGCCCCAATTGGCAGAGTTTTTAAATGACCAGTTGCAGCGCTGGCCGTGTTTCAGCTCACTGAGTCCTCTCACGTGTTGCTGATGAGAATGGGAAACATGCTTGACCTTTCTGGCAAGCAGCTCAATTGTGCATAGGACTTGAGGAGGATTCAGCTCTTCGATCTGCTAATCCCATTTCTAGGAATCTCTCTCTGACATAATTTAAAAAGGGGTCAGAGGTTTATGTCCCAGCATCTGAAATTCATTCCATCATTACAGTAATAATAATAATAATAATAATAATAACAATAATAAAAGAAAAAATATAAATGTCCAACAAGAGACAATTGGTAAAACATATTAAGAGTGAAGGATAGGTCAGGCATG
Organism: Homo sapiens; assembly: GCF_000001405.40. Taxonomy (NCBI): domain Eukaryota; kingdom Metazoa; phylum Chordata; class Mammalia; order Primates; family Hominidae; genus Homo; species Homo sapiens. The sequence continues at coordinate 34,170,862 of NC_000006.12, forward strand.
GTGGCTCACACCTGTAATCCCAGCACTTTGTGAGGCTGAGATGGGTGGATCACATGATGCCAGGAGTTAGAGAGCAGTATAGGGCCAATATGATGAAACCCCATCTCTACTAAAAATACAAAAACTAGCCGGGTGCCCTGATGTGTGCCTGTCAACCCAGCTACTCAGGAGGCTGAGGCAGGAGGATTACTTGAACCCAGGAGGCAGAGGCTGCAGTAAGCTGAGACTGTGACGCTGCACTCCAGCCTGGGCAACAGAGAGAAACTCTGTCAAGAAAGAGAGAGAAAAAAAGAAAGAAAGAAAGAGAGAGAGAGAGAGAGAGAGGAAGGAAGGAAGGAAGGAAGGAAAGAAAGAAGGAAAGAAAGGAGGGAGGGAGGGAGGGAGGGAAGGAGGGAGGGAGGGAGGGAGGAAGAATGTTTACTGCCTATGTCTTGAAACGTTGTTGTAGTTACTATTTTTGATTGGTTCATCTTTTAGTCTTTGTACTTAAGAGTGTTTACACATCACAGTTACAGTGTTATAATATTCTATGTTTTTCAGTGTACTTACTATTGCCAGTGAGTTTTGTACTTTCAGATGATGTCTTATTGCTCATTAACGTTATTTTCTTTCGGATTGAAGAACTCTCTTTTGCATTTATTTTGGACTTTGATGAAATCCCTTAGCTTTTGTTTGTCTGAGAAAGTATTTCTCCCTCGTGTTTGAAGGGTATTTTCACCAGATATACTATTCTACGGTAACAGTTTCTTTCCTTCAGCACTTTAAATATGTCATGCCACTCTCTCTTGGCCTGTAAATCTCCCACTGAAAAGTCTGCTGCCAGGTGTGCTGGAGCTCCGTTGTATTTTGTTTGTTTCTTTTCTCTGGCTGCTTTTAGTATCCTTTCTTTATCCTTGACCTTTTGGAGTTTGATTATTAAATGTTTTGAGGTAGTCTTCTTTGGGTTAAATCTGCTTGCTGTTCTAGAACCTTCTTGTACTTGGGTATTGATATCTTTCTCTAGGTTTGAGAAGTTCTCTGTTATTATCCCTTTGAATAAACTTTCTACCCGTCTCTTTCTCCACCTCTTCTTTAAGGCCAGTAACTCTTAGATTTGTCCTTTGAGGCTATTTTCTGAATCCTGTAGGTGTGCTTTATTATTTTTTATTCTTTTTCCTTTTGTCTCCTCTGACTGTGTATTTTCAAATAGCCTGTCTTCAAGCTCACTAATTCTTTCTTCTGCTTGATCACTTATTTTTTTGTTTTGCTTTGTTTTTGAGGCCGAGTCTTGCTCTGTCGCCCAGGCTGGAGTACAGTGGCACGATCTCGGCTCACTGCAACCTCTGCCTCTCAGGTTCAAGAGATTTTCCTGCCTCAGCCTCCCAAGTAGCTGGGAATACAGGCACGTGCCACCACACCTGCCTGAGTTTTGTATTTTTAGTAGGGATGGGTTTTCACCATGTTGGCCAGGCTGATCTTGAACTCCTGACCTCAGGTGATCCACCCACCTCGGCCTGCCAAAGTGCTGGGATTACAGGCATAAGCCGTCGTGCCCAGCCGTGCTTGATCAGTTCTGCTATTAAGAGACTCTTGGCCGGGCACGATGGCTCAGCCTGTAATCCCAGCACTTTGGGAGGCTGAGACGGGCGGATCACCTGAGGTCAGGAGTTTGAGACTACCCTGGCCAACATGGAGAAACCCCATGTCTACTAACAATACAAAATTATCTAGGCGTAGTGGCACATGCCTGTAATCCCAGCTACCTGGGAGGCTGAGGCAGAAGAATCGCTTGAATCCGGGAGGTGGAGGTTGCAGTGAGCAGAGATCGCGCCATTGCACTCTAGCCTGGGCAACAAGAGTGAAACTCCGTCTCAAAAAAAAAAAAGAGAGAGGGAGAGAGACTCATGCATTCTTCAGTATGTGAATTGCGTTTTTTAACTTCAGAATTTCTGCTTGATTTTTAAAAATTATTTTGATCCCTTTGTTAAATGCATCTGATTTTTAAAAATTATTTCGATCCCTTTGTTAAATGCATCTGATAGAATTCTGAATTCCTTCTCTGTGTTATCTTGAATGTCTTTGAGTTTCCTCAAAACAGCTATTTTGAATTTACTGTCTGAAAGGTCACATATCTGTTTCTCCAGGAGTGGTCTCTGGTGCCTTGTTTAGTTCGGTTGGCAAGGTCATGTTTTCCTGCATGGTTTTGATGCTCATTGATGTTTGTTGGTGTCTGGACATTGAAGAGTTAGGTATTTATTGTAGTCTTTGCAGTCTGGGCTTGTTTGTACCTGTCCTTCTTAGAAAGGCTTTCCAAGTATTCAAAAGGATTTGGGTGTTGTGATCCAAGCTGCGTGTGCAATAGGGAGCAGCCCAAGCCCAGTTATGCTGTAGTTCTCGCAGACTGATAGAGGTACTGCTTTGGTGGTTTTGGATAAGATCAGAAGAATTCTCTGGATCAGCAGGCAAAGACCCTTATTCTCTTCCCTTACTTTCTCCCAAATAAATAGTCTCCCTCTCCCTCTCCCTCTCCCTCTCCCTCTCCCTCTCCCTCTCTCTCCTGAGCTACCTGGTCCTGGTCTCAGTCCTGGCGGAGGGGTGATACAAGCACTCCTGTGGCTGGGACTGGACTGGGTCAGACTTAAAGCCAGCACAGCTCTGGGCCTTGCCCAAGGCCTGCTGTAACTGCGGCCTCGCTACCACTTATGTTCACTCAAGTCCCTACGGCTCTACGATTAGCAGGTGGTGAAGCCAGCCAGGCTGTGTCCTTCCCTTCAGGGTGGTGAGTTCTCCTGGGCCCCAAGTGGGTCCAGAGGTGCCATCTGGGAGCTAGGGACAGGAGTCAAAAACCTTAGAAGTCTACCTGGTTTTCTCTGTGGCTGAGGCAGCCCTCAAAACACAAGACACAGTTCTTCCCACTCTTCCCTCCCCTTTCCGCAGGCACAGGAGCCTCACCCCATGGCCACCACCACAGGTCCATGGGAAGCACTGCCAGGCCACTGCTGATGTTCACTGAATTTCCCATTTGCGCCAAGAATACTTGCTGGAGTGCTTTACTCTGAGATAACTTTGTCACAAAATATCTCCTTTTTATTATTATTTTCACATTGTCCTAGTATATTGACTTTGAAAACAAAAGACATTATTCTATTTAGAGCATTCTGGTTTTAGTAGTGATATTTCCATTTACAAAATATAGTAATTCTTGATTGCTGAAAATGTCAAATCCTAGAAAACATAGCATTCCTACGCTTGATGTTAACATCATTCTCGAACAGTTTTTGGCCAAAGATTCATTTAATGAATCCGATTTTCCTGAAATAGATGATTCTAATGATTCAGATGATTCTGATGATATTAGTTCTGTTTAGAAATAACTCCAAGAACAGTTTTTATATTTTATTTTCACGTTGAAAATCAGTCAGATTTGCTTCAGCCTCAAAGAGCGTGTTTATGTAAAATTAAATGAGTGCTGGCAGTGAGCTGCACTTTTTTTTTTTTTCCTAAACGAGAAAAGGGTTAAGGCCCAAGAGCTCTTCAGTCAGCTCGTGGTGGATGCTGTCCGGCCCAGGTCTCTCCTCCCAGGGCAGCAGGCTCCCCTCTGGCCCAGAGCAGGCCCAGAAATGCCATCCAAGAGCTAAGGTCTGGAATCGAGGACGCCAAGGGCCTGCTTGGTGTTCTACCCCACTGCAGATAGGCTGGTGCCTAAGGTGCAAGAAAAAATCTCCCTTACTTTTCCCTCTGCTTTTTTCAAGAAGGAGTCTCTCACCATAGCCACCACAGCTGGGATTGTGTTGGGTCACACTGAAGCCACACCTCAGTGTCTCACCCAAGGCCCACAGTGTACTACCTGGGTATTGCTGCTGGTTATTCAGGGCCCAAGGGCTCTTACAGTCAGCAAGTGATGGATCCCGCCAGGCCTGGGCCCTTCCCTTCAACGCAGCAGATTCCCTTCTAGCCCTGAGTGTGCCTAGAAATGTCATCTGGGATCCTGGAATGGGAGCCTTAGACTCATGACTCTGCCTGATGCCCTATCCTACTGTGGCTAGGCTGGTATCCAAGATGCAAGACAAAGTCCTCTTTACTCTTCCCTCTCCTCTCCTCTCTTCAAGCAGAAGGAATGGATCTCTTTTGCAGCCATGAGCTGTGCAGCATGGGGCCGGAGGATGGGTGGTGCAAGCACTTCCTTAGCCACCCTCAATAGGTTGTGTGCCCCCCGGGTCCACTGGCTCCAACCCCAGCTCAATACTAGGACTCACCTAGGAGTTGCAGTCCTTGTGGCCTAGACAGCATTTCAAGTTTATTTAAGACCCTGGAGCACTTTAGCCTGTGGTGGCAAGGCTTGCCAGAACTCAATTTCTGACCACTGGGAGGGGTGATTCCCCTCTGGTTAGAGCTGATCTGAATGCTCCCCTTATGCATGGGCATCAGCTGAGCTCAGCCTGCTTTTGCTTTCCACTGTGGCAGGGCAGCACTGGGCTCAATCTGAAGTCTCAGAATCACTGCGCTCTCCCTTTCCCAATCACAGACTTCTCTGCACCATGTAGCTGCTGCAGGGGAATGGGAAGGGGTAGTGTTGGCAATTCAAGACTGCCTTTCTTACCCTCTTCAGTGCCACTCTCAGTGACGTGAAGTTAAAACCAGGTACTGTAAATGCTCACCTCATTTTTGTTTCTTATTAAGGTGCTTTTTATGTAGATAGTTGTGGAATCTGGTGTTTCTGTGGGGGAGATGATCAGTGGGGCCTTCTATTCTGCCATCTTGCTTCACCTCTTCCTTGTAACCTTTTCCTTCTTAATACAGGTACCAGGAAACATGGGAAGGTATGTGGGTATAGAAGGAGGAGGCAGAATAACAACCTGCCATTTACTGAGTACCTATTGTGTCCCAGGCACTGTGCCAGACCCTTTACACTATTTCACTTACCCCTCACATCAGCCCTTTCAGGTAAATATTGCTACTCCCCATTCATGTGTGAGGAAATTCAGGCTTAGAAAGGTTGTCTTTGGGGCTTGGCTAGGTGGCTCACGCCTGTAATCCCAGCACTTTGGGAGGCCAAGGTGTGTGGATCACCTAAGGTCAGGAGTAAGGTGTGTGGATCACCTAAGGTCAGGAGTTCAAGACCAGACTGACCAATGTGGTGAAACCCCGTCTCTACTAAAAATACAAAAATTAGCCAGGTGTGGTGGCGGGCACCTGTAATCTCAGCTACTCAGGAGGCTGAAACAGGAGAATTGCTTGAACCAGGGAGGCGGAGGTTGCAGTGAGCTGAGATCACATCACTGCACTCCAGCCTGGGCCACAGAGCAGCAAGACTCCGTCTCAAAAAAAAAAAAAAAAAAAAAAAAAAGGTTTTCTTTGGAAACTTTTTCCATCAAGTGTACACAGCTCCTGGAAAAAGGTCTACTTTCATTCACTCAGCAAACAAGGTTTAAATTAAAAGACCTTACAAAAGCAACGATAAGAAAAACACCAACAAAAGAGAGCCGTCTGAGGCTGCAAACAGCAGGCAGGCCAGGTAGTGTCCCCCGGCAGGTCCCAGCCCAAAACAGATGCCTCGCTTTGGCGGGAACCCTTTGGGATCCTGGTTCCCTGCCTGGTTTCCTCAGCTGGTCTCTGGCATGGGTTTGTCCTTGGTCCACCCATCTTGCCCTCTCTGGGGCCCTGTGGCCTGAAGCAGCCCACACTGCTGCCCTCTGACCCTGTTCCCTCAGCCAGGCCTAGGCTCAGGCCACCAGGGAGAGCCACCATCTTGTTTCTCTGCCCTGGCAGAGCCCCCTGCCTCTGCTCTTGTCACAGGTGTTACTCCTCTGGGTCTCCAAGGACCTTTTGCTGTCATCTGACCCTGGTCTGAGCTTGACCCCTACAGAGGAAGGATGGGAGGGAGGGTTGCTATCAGGCCCCATGCCCGGCTGATGCAGTTTTGGGGACTTACCCTCCTACTCGGCCTCCGTTGCCCTAAACTGTGGGTCAGACAGGGGTGTCAGACCAGGAGGGCTCCCTCCTCAACCCCAAGGCTGCCCACATCATGCCTGGCAAGGGCAGGGGGCTTAGCCTCACTTCAGGAGTCACTCACCCCCAGTTCCTTGTGTTGAGCTGGACACCCCTGGCACAGCGCCAGGGTGAGCAGAGGCCACCACCCTGCCTCAGGGACACTGAACTGGTGACTGGTTCCAAGGACCTTCTCAGCTCAGCAGTGCTTTAACACAAAACATTTGTCTCCCTCACATCCAGCCTTTAACATCTTCCTACCCCTTAGCACCATCTCAAGCACATCCCATTGCTTTCTGGTGACTTTCAGACATAAAAAAGCCCTGCCCCATCTGGTGCCAACTTGAACTCCACCTGATGTCTGGTCAAGCACTCCCCTCCTCCCTCCCTGGCCCACGGCCATGCCCAGGGACCTGTGAACAGGAGGGACCCAGGCCTTCCCCCCTCTGGGAAGGAGGGAGGGGTGAAGTGAGGGACCCTGTGCTTCACAGCATCGCCTCCCTGTGGGTGTCAGCGGCTCCCTGCTGTGTGGCAGCCACACAGCCAGCCTCTCGTAGAGTGATGGTGGGCTGGCAGGGTCCCGGCTGGGTCCCTGCCAATTCAGTGCCTTGACAGGGGACCCCTGTGCTGGCCCCAGCCCTTTTACCACCTCTCAGCTCCCACCTGGGGTCCAGCTCCCTCTCCTGCTGCTAAGGGCCCCTTGCCCAGCAGCCAGCCCTCCCTGGGGAGACAAGCAAAGTGGCTCTCATGCTCCCAGAGCCCACTTGGCCACAGCACACTCACTCATCCTGGCCTCACCAAGCAGGGGCCATGTAAGAGACCCCTGCTGTCCTCATCCCACCTGTCACTGCTCAAGTGGGCCTAGGGGAAGATTAGCCTGACCACTGAGGAGGCAAACATCCAGCCAGAGAATGCAATGTGGGCTCCCCTTTCTACAGGCACTCCCCCGACCCCCCCACCGCCAGGAGAGGAAGCCCTAGCATCTCCCCCGCCCCCCACCCATAGCTGGCTAGAGGAGTGAGAGAGGAAAGCCACCACCCTCTCTCCTAGGATTTCTCTAGATTTCCTAAATTCTGGCTTATATAGACCCAGATGGGAGTTGGGGGTAGGTAAGGAATTGGGGTAATAATACTAATATCAGAGGCAGGCACTGTGGCTCATGCCTGTAATCCCAGCACTTTGAGAGGCCGAGGCAGGTGAATTACTTGAGCTCAGGAGTTCAAGACCAGCCTAGCCAACATGGTGAAACCCAGTCTCTACTAGAAATATAAAAAATTAGCCAGGCATAGTGGCTCGTGCCTGTAATCCCAGCTACTCTGGAGGCTAAGGTCGGAGAATCACTTGAACCTGGGAGGTGGAGGTTGCAGTGAGCCGAGATTGTACCACTGCACTCCAGCCTGGGCAACAGAGCGAGACTCCATCTCAAAACAAAAACAAAAGCAATGCTAATAAAGGATACATTGCTTCTGAGGTCCTGGTCACTGTTCTTGCATTGATTTGTTACGGGATCCTCAGGGTATCACTTCACCAGCTGGAAACCTCTGTGGCTGTTGGCGCCTTTTCACAAGTTTTGCTCAGGCCCACTGGCTTGTTCTACCCACTTGGCCTGGCAGGCTGCATTCAGCTTTTGCTACCAGCCTGGATCCCATGCCTGCCAAAGGCGAGCCAGGTGCGGAGTGGCAAGGGGTGTGTGAGCGAGCAGGCACAGGGTCCGGCCACTGCGTACACAGCCGGGCACACCAGCTGCGGCGAGGCAGGCCGCTCCAGGCGCCAGCACAGGCACTGGCTCCCTGCTGCAGCTGGTCCAGACGTACCACAAGCAGCTTCCACTGTGGGCACCAGGGAACATGGTGGCGCCCAGAAGCTTGGAGATGCCAGGAACTGCAGAGCCCCAAAAAGCATGTCAAACCCTGGCTTGGGGAGCTCCCAAGCCTGGGTTCACCGAAGGGCTGAAGCTCTTCTTTCTTTCTCTCTTCAATCCTTCTTGTTGCTCGCAACATGGCAAGCAGGGTGCGTGTTTCAGCCCTGTTTGTGTAAGCAAGGTGAAGAGGTGCTTTACTGAGCGACAGTACAGCTCTCAGGAGACCCGGAGTGGGTAGCTCCTATCTGCAGGCAGGTCATCCATTGTCTGCCCAAGTCTGACCAAGTCTGGGGTTTTTAATGGGCTTCAGAGGGGAGGAAGTGTGTGCTGATTGGTCCATGGGCGGCCATGGGAGGCCTGGTAAAAGCACTATAAGTTCTTACTCCAGTCAGCAGAACTGGCAGCCTGGCCCCTAGACTTCAGGCTGTCCGTGGCTTGAAGGTGGGGTTTCACCAGGGATCCACCCCTTTCCACCCAGAAACCTGTCTGCCTCCTGCCACCATTCATGGTGCCCAGGCTGTTCATGTCGAGGGGCACCTGCAGGCCTGAGCCAACGCACCCTCAGCCCCACTTTGGACACCCTCCCATGCTTGTCAGCACCCAAAGTCTGGAGGGGGCCAAGGCGGCAGGGGGCTGGTGTGTCAGCACTGCACCAAGTGCATGCACACCCAGCTGGGTCATGACAGCACCCAGGCTCTGGGTGTGACAGCACCTGGACTTGGCCACAACTTTGCTGTGATATCAGAGCAGGCAGTAGAAGTGGGGAGAGGCCAGGCAGTGGGAGCAGGCACTGCCGAGCCTGCGGGGGTGGAGGGGTTTCCCAGGGCCCTGAGAGCACAGGGATGCTGGGGTCCACAGTTGTGGCTGGGCGGCTGCAGCTGTTCCCACCCTAACAACTCAGAAGGGGGCGCAGCTCCCGCCTGTTTCTGGTTCCTGCTGGCTCCGTGGAGCTAGCAGCCCCGGTCATGCCTCCCCCACTGCAGCCAGAGTCTTTTCAGCAGCCACTCCAGACGGACCACTACCACCATCAGACTCACTTAATCCTCACAGCAACCCTAAAAGGTGGGTACTACGCAGGGTACAGTCACTCACACCTGTAATCCCAGCACTTTGGGAGTCTGAGGCAGGCGGATTACCTGAGGTCAGGAGTTCAAGACCAGCCTGGCCAATACAGTGAAACCCCATCTCTACTAAAAATACAAAAATTAGCCAGGCACTGTGGCGGGCACCTGTAATCCCAGCTACTCAGGAGGCTGAGGCAGGAGAATCACTTGAACCTGGGAGGCAGAGATTGGGAGACACAGCAAGACTCTGTCTCAAAAAAAAAAAGGTGGATACTATTATTATCCCTATTTTACAGGTGAGGTGCCTGAGGCACAGGGAAATTAGGCAACTTCACCAGTTACTTAGTTTAGGAACACGCCATCCTTGCTGGTAACTGGCAGAATGTTCAGGAGAAGCAGAACTGGTTCATCCACCTTTTAACAGGTCCTGGAGGAGTCTGCCACACGGTAATGTCCACGTTCTCTAGACTATGAGTCTTAATGCTTCTTTGTCCCAACTGTGATTCTAAGTGACAACAAGAAAAGCCTGATTCAATATGCTTTTACACAATTTGGGACTGTCAACACCTACCATTTAATCTTTCCTTCTCCCCCGACATCATAGTTGGATTACTGAGCCAATGCTCGCACTCTGTACATTGTGTCCAATCCTTACAACAACGCTGCAGAAGGTTACCTATTGTTGCACCCACTTTACAGAAGAGGAAACTGAGACTCAGAGAAGCCAAGTATCTCAAAGCATCCCGTATCTTTTTTTGACTCATTCTGATTGCACTAAGCTGTGTGGAGACCTCAAAATCTGAGTCTGGGCTGGGTGCACTGGCTCAGACCTGTAATCCTAGCACTTTGGGAGGCCAAGGCAGGAGGATTGCTTGAGCCCAGGAGTTCAAGACTAGCCTAGGCATCACAGCAAGACCTCGTTTCTGTGAAAAATAAAATTAAAAAATTAAGGCCAGGCGCAGTGGCTCACGCCTGCAATCCCAGCACTTTGGGAGGCCAAAGCGGGCACAACACCTGAGGTCAAGAGTTCGAGACCAGCCTGGCCAACATGGTGAAACTCTGTCTCTACTAAACATACAAAAATTAGCCAGGTATGGTGATGCATATCTGTAGTCCCAGCTACTTCGGTGGCTGAGGCATAAGAATTGCTTGAACCTGGGAGGTGAAGGTTATAGTGAGCCGAGATAGTGCCACTGCACTCCAGCCTGAGTGACAGAGCAAGACTCTGTCTCAAAATAATAATAATAATAATAATAATAATAATAATAATAATAATAAATTAGCCCAGCAGCTGGGCGCAGTGGGTTATGCCTGTAATCCCAGCACTTTGGGAGGCCGAGGCAGGCAGATCACTGAAGTCAGGAGTTTGAGACCAGCCTGGTCAACATGGTGAAACCCCGTCTCTACTAAAAATACAAAAATTATCCAGGCGTGGTAGTGCACACCTGTAATCCCAGCTACTCTGGAGGCTGAGGCAGGAGAATCACTTGAACCCGGGTGATGGAGGTTGTAGTGAGCCAAGATTGTGCCACTGCACTCCAGCCTGGGCAACAGGGCGAGACTCCGTCTCAAAAATAAAATAAAAATTTGAGGTCCGCCGGGCACGGTGGCTCACGCCTGTAATCCCAGCACTTTGGGAGGCTAAGGAGGGCGGATCATGAGGTCAGGAGATCAAGACCATCCTATCCTGGCTAATACGGTGAAACCCTGTCTCTACTAAAAATACAAAAAATTAGCCAGGCGTGGTGACTGGCGCCTGTAGTCCCAGCTACTCGGGAGGCTGAGTCAAGACAATGGCGTGAACCCGGGAGGCGGAGCTTGCAGTGAGCCAAGATCGCGCCACTGCACTCCAGCCTGGGCGACAGAGCGAGACTCCGTCTCAAAAAAACAAAAAATTTGAAGTCCAGGCCAGGTGCAGTGGCTCACACCCATAATCCCAGCACCTTGGGAGGCCAGGGTGGACAGATCACCTGAGACCAGGAGTCTGAGATCAGCCTGGCCAACATGATGAAACCCCGTCTCTACTAAAAATACAAAAAGTAGCTGGGCATGGTGGTGAGAGCCTGTAATTCCACTCGGGAGGCTGAGGCAGGAGAATCACTTGAACCTGGGAAGCAAAGATGGCAGTGAGCTCGTGCCACTGCACTCCAGCTTGAGCAACAGAGTGAGACTCCATCTCAAAGAAAAAAAAAATGAGGTCTAGCATAAGTCAATCAAAAACATTTCTTGGCAGTTCAGTGCTGGGTGCCAGGGACACCAGGGTGACTGAGCAGTCCCTCAAACAGTACAGCCTTGTGAGGGGGAGTCAGAGGCAGAGGCTGGCACAGGGCAGGGAGCTCCAAAGCCACTGTTCCACCATCAGGGACACCACAGACACTTGGCACAAACAAGCCCAGGCTGTCTTTCATGCGGATGGCATGCTGCTCCCTCACCATCAACAGAAGGACATACAACTCAGTCCTCAACCACTTCACAGGTCCCTGCTTTAGCCAAACCCAATGTGTGATCTCACTTTACAGAAATCAACTGGGGTTAGGATATTTTCTTCACCAAAGAAATGAAAGCAGGATTTTTAGATAACACTTTTTAAATTAATAATACTTCCTTATTTTTAAAAAATATACAGACGGCCAGGCACACTGACTCACGCCTGTAATCCCAACACTTTAGGAGGCCAAGGCAGGAAGATTGCTTGAGGCCAGAAGTTCAAGACCAGCCTCGACAACATGGTGAGACCCTGTCTCTACAAAAATTTAAAAATTAGCTGGATGTGGTGGCACGCACCTGTAGTCCCAGCTACTCAGGAGGCTGAGACATGAGGATCATTCGAGTCTGGGAGGTCAAGGCTATAGTGAGCCACGATTGCACCGCTGCACTCCAGCCTGGGCAACAGAGTGAGACCCTCTCTCAAAAAAATATAGATAGATAGATAGATAGAGCATTTTAAAACACAGAAAAGCAGAAAACAAAATAATCACCATCCATCATCTCACTATGTAAAAACCAAGACCGCAAAAGACAGAAAACCCAAGCAACAAGGGCCGAATATTCTGGCTCACGTGATCAAACCACAGATCATACAGGAAATGCTGCAGCTTCCCCTGTCTCCCACCTTCTCTCATCTCTCAGCATGCGGTTCCATTCTCGGCAGGCTTTCTCCCCATGTGTGGGAAGCATGACTGCCACCCTCACTGAGCTCACATCCTTAAGATGCTGCCCCAAAGAGGAAGAAGCTTCTCTTACCACTCTAATTCAGAAAATCCCAGGGAAGGACTCCAGTTGGCTATCTTGGGTCATGTGACCCATGGCCAGTCAGAGAAGTAGAAAAGGAAAGTATTAGAGGTTCTCAGCCATTGTGGCATCATGACTGAGAACAGTTAAACCCTGAACAGCATAATTTTTTTAGATGTAGCTGATCTGACAAGAGATAGGGTATGTTTCCAAAAATACTACCTCCCAGACAAGGAAATGGGGACTGGCCAGGGCTGAAGCGGCAGGCAGTTAGGTAAATTGCCGTGTTGTGGGGAAACTGAGCCTTGAGCCAGCTCAAAATTGAGAAAGGGAGTCTGGGACTTGTTCTTTCAAGGGGATATGAAGTAATCTCAGATCACTTCCTGATACCAACAGAAATAGAAATGCAAATGCTGTCTGCAAAACTCTTCCCCAAACTGAGACTTCTACAAATTTTAAACAAACAATGAACTCACAAAGATCACCAGCACACAAGGAGGTGAGGTACTCTGTCCGTGAGGTGGCAGAAACAATGAACTGCAGATCCCTAAGGACTAAAGATTTGAGGATTTTCAGATACAAAATGTCAAGTAGATATTTATGACATACTTAAAGAAATAAAAGATGTATTTTAAAAAAATACACTCAACAAAAGACCATTAGGAATGAATAGATAGATTTTTACATGGAACTTTGAGAAATAAAAAATATAAAGGTTGAAATGTAAAATCTTATTAAAAGTATATTAGTTATAGCTGAAGAGACAGTTAGTGAGCTGAAAATACTTCCAAAGAATTTGCCTAGAAAACAGCACAATGAGGCAAGAAAATGAGTTTGAAAAAGATTTTAAGAGCCGTAGAGGATAGAAGAAGATTTAATATATATTTGATCAGCATCTGAAAAAGAAAGAATAGAGAAAAAGAAGGAGATGAGATATTTAAAGAGATAATGATGGCTGGGTGCAGTGGCTCACGCCTGTAATCCCAGCACTTTGGGAGGCCAAGGTGGGTGGATCACCTGAAATCAGGAGTTTGAGACCAGCCTGGCCAACATAGTGAAACCCTGTCTCTATTAAAAATAGAAAAAAATTAGGCCGGGCGCAGTGGCTGACACCTGTAATCCCAGCACTTTGGGAGGCCAAGGCGGGCGGATCACTTGAGGTGAGGAGTTCGAAACCAGCCTGGCCAACATGGTGAAACCCCGTCTCTACTAAAAATACAAAAAATTAGCCGGGCATGGTGCCAGGTGCCTGTAATCCCAGCTACTCAGGAGGCTGAGGCAGGAGAATCGCTTGAACCCAGGAGGCGGAGGTTGCAGTGAGCCGAGATCGCGCCACTACACTCCAGCCTGGGCGACACAGCGAGACTCCGTCTCAAAAAAAAAAAAATATATATATATATATATATATATATAGTAAAATAAATTAACCGGGTGTGGTGGCGGGTGCCTGTAATCCCAGCTACTCAGGGGGCTGAGGCAGGAGAATCGCTTGAACCCAGGAGGCAGAGGTTTCAGTGAGCTGAGATCATGCCACTGCACTCCAACCTGGGTGACAGAGCAAGACTCCGTCTCAAAAAAAAAAAAAAAAAAAAAAAAGAGATAATGACTATGAAACCTGGAGAAGTGATAAGCAACATAAATCCACAAAAAGAGCACATATGCCAAGCAGCTAAATAAAGAAAAGCCCACGCCTCGATACCTTGTAGTAAATACACCCTCCCCATCATCACTGCAAGACCCCATTGCTGTTGTCCCTTTACCTAAAAAATAAAAACAGGCCGAGTATGTTGGCTCATGCCTATAATCCTAGCACTTTGGGAGGCCGAGGTGGGTGGATCAGAGGCCAGGAGTTCAAGACCAGCCTGACCAACATGGCAAAACCCTGCCTCTACTAAAAATACAAAAATCAGCTGGGCATGGTGGTGCACACCTGTAGTCCCAGCTACTTGGGAGGCCGACGTGGGAGAATCACTTGAACCTGGGAGGCAGAGGTTGCAGTGAGCCGAGATAGTGTCACTACACTTGGGCCTGGCAGCCTGGGCAACACAGTGATACTCTGTCTCAAAAAGAAAAAAAATTTAATTAATTTATTTTTTTTTAAAGTAAGGCTAGATTCTGTGCCTGGCAAAACTACCTTTCAAGGACTAGGATGAAATAAAATTGTTTTCATATAAATAAAAACAGAGAGAAATTTATAATCTGACAAGACCACGTGTTGTCAAGGATGTGGTAGGAGTGTAAATGGGTGCATAGGTGTAAATCTGGGCATTATCTGATGAAACTGAAAATATGCCTAACCTATAACCCAGCAAGTCCAGTCCTGAGTCTATACACTGGACTGGAGAAATGCACCCGCCCACACACATACACATGCACAAGGGACATGCTGAAAGTGCTCACAGCAGCCTTGTTCATGACAGCCCCACTGTAAACAATCCATAGGCCCATCAGCAGAGGCCTAGATAAATTATGGCATAGTAATATGATAAGATACAATATGGTAATAAAAATAAGTGAATTTCAACTACATGAAACAATCTCGATGAGCCTTACTAGCAATGCTGAGAGAAAGAGCCAGAGGCAAAAAGCTACATGCAGAAAGATTCCACCTGTAGAAGGTTCGAAATTAGATCCTTCGATATACTAATCTCTAGTATATCATCAGATGCATAAGTAGATGGAACTATGACCGGACGCAGTGGCGCACGGCTGTAATCCCAACACTTTGCGAGGCTGAGGCGGGTGGATCACCTGAGGTCAGGAGTTCAAGGCCAGCCTGGCCAACATGGCAAAACCTTGTCTCTACTAAAAACACAAAAATTGAGGCCGGGTGTGGTGGCTCACACCTGTAATCCCAGCACTTTGGGAGGCTGAGGCAGGCTGATCACGAAGTCAGGAGATCAAGACCATCCTGGCTAACATGGTGAAACCCCATCTCTACTAAAAATACAAAAAAAATTAGCTGGGCATAAACCCAGGAGGCGGAGCTTTCAGTGAGCTGAAATTGTGCCACTGCACTCCAGCCTGGGTGACAGAGCAAGACTCCATCTCAAAAAATAAATAAATAAATAAATAAATAAATACAAAAATTGGCCAGGTGTGGTGGGGTGCATAATCCCAGCTACTCAGGAGGCTGAGGCAGGAGAATCGCTTGAACCTGGGAGGCGGAGGTTGCAGTGAGCCCAGGTTGCGCCACTGCACTCCAGCCTGGGCGACAGAGAAAGACTCCATCTCAAAAATAAATAAACAGACCGGGCGCAGTGGCTCACGCCTGTAATCCCAACACTTTGGGAGGCCGAGGCGGGCAGATCACAAGGTCAGGAGATCGAGACCATCCTGGCTAACACGGTGAAACCCTGTCTCTGCTAAAAACACAATAAATTAGCTGGGCGTGTTGGCGGGCACTTGTAGCCCCAGCTACTCAGGAGGCTGAGGCAGGAGAATGGCGTGAACCCGGGAGGTGGAGCTTGCAGTGAGCTGAGATTGCGCCACTGCACTCCAGCCTGGGCAACAGCGCAAGACTCCATCTCAAAATAAATAAATAAAAAAAAATAAGTAGATGGAACTATAAAGAAATGCAAGGACATGATTAACAAAAAAGGATAGAGACTGAGACATGATCCTAAAGGGACACAGGGCCAGGTGCAGTGGCTCATGCCTGTAATCTGAACACTTTGGGAAGCCGAGACAGGAGGATTGCTTAGCCCAGGAGTTTGAGACCAGCATGGGCAACATAGGAAGACTCCATCTCTACAAAAATTCAAAAATTAGCCAGGCGTGGTGGCGCATGCCCATAGTCCCAGCTACTCAGGAGGCTGGGGTGGGAGGATCACTTGAGTCTGGGAAGTCAAGGCTGCAGTGAACCGTGATCAGGCCACTGCACTCCAGCCTGGGTTGACAAAGCCAGACCTCGTCTCAAAAAAAAAAAAGTAGGGGGGCAGGACACCAGTGGTGCTTCTAGTGTTCATTTTATAATTATTCTGTCCATTTTTGTCTTATGCATTTTTCTTTTTTCTTTTTTCTTTTCTTTTTTTTTTTTTTTTTTTTTGAGACAGAGTCTCGCTCTGTTGCCCAGGCTGGAGTGCAGTGGCGCCATCTCGGCTCACTGCAAGCTCTGCCTCCCGGGTTCACGCCATTCCCCTGCCTCAGCCTCCAGAGTAGCTGGGACTACAGGCGCCCGCCACCACGTCCAGCTAATCTATTGTATTCTTAGTAGAGACGGGGTTTCACCGTGTTAGCCAGGATGGTCTCGATCTCCTGACCTCGTGATCCACCTGCCTCGGCCTCCCAAAGTGCTGGGATTACAGGCGTGAGCCACTGCGCCTGGCCTGTCTTATGCATTTTTCTATGTGTGTTGTATTTTATAATTATTTAAAAGTTCCGGGCACAGTGGCTCACGCCTGTAATCTCAACACTTTGGAAGGCCGAGGCAGGTGGATCACAAGGTCAGGAGATCGAGACCATCCTGGCTAACACAGTGAAACCCCATCTCTACTAAAAATACAAAAAATTAGCTGGGCGTGGTGGTATGCTCCTGTAGTCCCAGCTACTCGGGAGGCTGAGGCAGGAGAATCGCTTGAACCCGGGAAGCGGAGGTTGCAGTGAGCTGAGATTGCACCACTGTACTCCAGCCTGGGCGACAGAGCGAGACTCCATCTCAAAATAAATAAATAAGTAAAAATTTTTAAAAGTTCCAAACAAAATGAAACCGGGAGTGCTTGCCACTATCAGATCTACAGGTGGAGGATGTACTGCAGGAGGAGGCAAAGCCATCCCAGAAGGGAAGCCTGAGCTGCAGGAAGAAACAGTGAACAATCCCGTGGTAAGCGTGAGGAAATTCAAACAAGCCCCATCGTCATAAAGTAACAATAGTAAGGTAGAATTTGAGGGTGCAAAAAAGAGGACAGACCTAAAATACACAACAAGCCAGGCAAAGGAGGATGGCCAGCACTGAAGTTTTCTGAGGTCTTTCTTGCAGTATTTAGGAAAGGGGATAATATATTGTTTAATTATACATTCTGTTAAGCTACATATGCATTTTTTAAAAGCCTGCTATATACTGTTTATAAAAGACACATCGAAGTCATAAGACACAGCAAGTCTGAAAGTCAAAGGATGAAAAAAGATATAGCGGGTAAATATTAACATTCCCCCCAAAACTTTAGCATATCTTTTTTTTTCTTTTTTGAGATGGAGTCCCCCTCTTTCTTCCAGGCTGGAGTTCAGCGGCAGGATCTCAGCTCACTGCAACGTCCACCTCCTGGGTTCAAGCAATTCTGCTGCCTCAGCCTCCCGAATAGCGGGGACTACAGGCATGAACCACCATGCCCAGCTAATTTTTGTATTTTTAGTAGAGACAGGGTTTCACCATGTTGGCCAGGCTGGTCTCAAACTCCTGATCTCAAGTGATTCACCCGCCTCAGACTCCCAAATTGCTGGGATTACAGGAGTGAGCCACCTCGCCCAGCCCTTAGCATATCTTTATTAATATCAGACAAGAATGGAGTTTGCAGCTGCTGTTGTTGTTGTTGTTATTGTTGTTGTTACAAGGTCTTGCTCTGTTGCCCAGGCTGGAGTGCAGGGCCACGATCACGGCTCACTGCAGCCTCGACCTCCTAGGCTCAAGTAATCCTCCTGTTTCAGCCTCCCGAGTAGCTAGGACTACAGGTGTGCACTGTCATGCCCAGCTAATTTTTTTAATTTTTTGTAGAGACAGGGTCTCACTATGTTGCCCAGGCTGGTCTTGAATTCCTGGGCTCAAGTGATCCTCCTGCCTCAGCCTCCCAAAGTGCCGGGATCACAGGTGTAATTCACCCCGCCTTCCAACTACTAATAAATAAAGAAGATAAAAAGTCAGCAAAGGTATAGAAGACTTGAATGACAAAATTAACAAACTTTAGTATGTAGAAGCCTGCACCAAACAATTGGAGAATACACATTACTCTCAAACACACATGTCACATATACCAAAAATGATCACACGCTAGTCACAGAGCAAGTCTCAAGTAATATTGGCAATTCAGTATCATGCAGACCATAATCTTTGACTATAATGCAATTATGTTATTAGTTATTAGCAAAAAAAGATAAATAAAAACTTTCCATACATTTGGCTGGGCATGGTGGCTCATGTCTGTAATCCCAGTACTTTGGGAGGCCGAGGCAGGCAGATCACAAGTTCAGGAGATCGAGACCATCCTGGCTAACATGGTAAAACTTCGTCTCTATTAAAAATACAAAAAAGTTAGCCAGGCGTGGTGGCAGGCACCTGTAGTCCCAGCTACTTGGGAGGCTGAGGCAGGAGAATGGCATGAACCCGGGAGGCGGAGCTTGCAGTGAGCCAAGATCATGACACTGCACTCCAGCCTGGGCGACAGAGCAAGACTCCGTCTAAAAAAAAAAAAAAAAAACTTTCCATACATTTGAGAATTTAAAACACAATGTTTCAAAATAAATCCGGTCTGGGAATTGGAGGAGTATATGGGAATATAGATTTTAAAAAGACTGGCCATGTTAATAATGCTGCTGAACCTGGCTAACAGGTACCCACTGCGGTTCATTATATAATCTCTTATCTTTTATATATTTCCTTTTTTCCATAACAAAAAGCTTTTTAAGCATGGTAGTGTGCACCTATAATCCCAGCACTTTGGGAGGCTGAAGTGGGAGAATCATTTGAGCCCAGGAGTTCAAGATCAGGCTGGGCAACATAGCTAGTCTCCATCTCTAAAGAAATTAAACAGGCCCTCGGCAAAACCTGAGTCCTGTCCTCTCGCTTTCTTCCCTGGACAGCATGAGCTTCACCACTCGCTCTACCACCTTCTCCACCAACTACCAGTCCCTGGACTCAATGCAGCCGCCCAGGTACAGCGCCCAGCTGGTCAGCGGCACAGCCAGCGTCTATGCAGATGCTGAGGGCCCAGGCTCTCAGAGGGCCCAGGCTCTCAGATCTCTGTGTCCCACTCCACCAGCTTCCAGGGTGCCTTGGGGTCTGGAGGCTTGGCCACATGGATGGCCAGGGGTCTGGCTGAAATGGGGGACATCTAGAACCAGAAGGAGACCAATCAAGGCTTGAACGGCTGCCTGGCCTCCTACCTGGATAGAGTGAGGAGCCTGGAGACTGAGAATCGGAGGCTGGAGAGCAAAATCCAGGAGTATCTGGAGAAGAAGGGACCCCAGGTCAGAGATTGGGGGCATTACTTCAAGACCATGGAGGACCTGAGGGCTCAGATCTTCGCAAATTCTGTGAACAATGCCAGCATCATTCTGCAGATTGACAATCCCCATCTTGCCGCTGATGAGACAGAGCTGGCCATGTGCCAGTCTGGAGAGCGACATCTGTAGGCTCTGCTAGGTCAAAGATGACACCAATGTCACTCGGTTGCAGCTGGAGACAGAGATCAAGGTTTTCGAGGAGGAACTGCTCTTCATGAAGAAGAATAACATGAGGAAGTTAAAGGCCAACAAGCCCTAATTGCCAGCTCTGGGTTAACCGTGGAGGTAGATGCCCCCAAATCACAGGATCTTGCCAAGATCATGGCAGACATCCAGGCCCAATATGACAAGCTGTCTCAGAAGAATCGAGAGAAGCTGAACCAGTACTGCTCCCACCAGACTGAGGAGAGCACCACAGTGGTCACCACGCAGTCTGCCAAGATCAGAGCTGCTGAGATGACGCTCATGAAGCTGAGACGTACAGTCCAGTCCTTGGAGATCAACCTGGACTCAGTGAGAAATCTGAAGGCCAGCTTGGAGAACAGCCTGAGGGAGGCGAAGGCCCACTACGCCCTGCAGATGGAGTAGCCCAGTGGGGTCCTGCTGCACCTGGAGTTGGAGCTGGCACAGACCCGGGCAGAGGAGCAGCGCCAGGCCCAGGAGTACAAGGCCCTGCTGAATATCCAGGTCAAGCTGGAGGCCGAGATGGCCACCTACCACCACCTGCTGGAAGACGGCAAGGACTTCAATCTTGGGATGCCCTGGACAGCAGCAATTCCATGCAAACGACCACCATCCAACAGACCACCCTCCCCCCGCCGCCAGGATAGTGGATGGCAAAGTGGTGTACGAGACTAACAACACCAAAGTTCAGAGGCATTGAGCCAGCAGAAGCAGGGTACCCTTTGGGGAGCAGAAGGCCAATAAAAAGTTCCAAGGTCATTGTGGAAAAAAAAAAAGAAATAATAAATAAGTAAATAAACAAAAAGTTTTTTAAAAAAAAACATATTCTTATCAAACAGTTAAAAGTAATTTAAAAATACTTAGACATAGGCCAGGTGCAATGGCTCACACCTGTAGTCCCAGCTACTTGGGAGGCTGGGCAAGAGGATCCCTTGAGCCCAGGAGTTTAAAGCTGCAGTGAGCCATGATTGTGCTGGTGCACTCCAGCCTGGGTGACAGAACAAGAGCCTATCTCTAAAAAATAAAAAATAAAGGCCAGGCGCAGTGGCTCACGCCTGTAATCCCAGCACTTTGGGAGGCCGAGGCGGGCGATTTTCGAGACCAGCCTGACCAAACCCCATCTCTACCAAAAAGACAAAAATTAGCCAGGCGTGGTGGCAGGCGCCTGTAGTTCCAGCTACTTGGGAGGCTGAGGCAGGAGAATCACTTGAACCCAAGAGGTGGCAGTGGCAGTGAGCCAAGATCATGCCACTGCACTCTAGCCTGGGTAACAGAATGAGACTCTGTCTCAGGAAACACAAAAAAAGTCCGGTTACGGTGGCTCACGCCTGTAATCCCAGCACTTTGGGAGGCCAAGGCGGGCGGATCACGAGGTCAGGAGATCAGGACCATCCTGGCTAACACGGTGGAACCCAGTCTCTACTAAAAATACAAAAAATTAGCCAGGCACGGTGGCAGGCACCTGTAGTCCCAGCTACTCAGGAAGCTGAGGCAGGAGAATCGCTTGAACCGGGAGGCGGAGGTGGCAGTGAGCCGAGATCACGCCATTGCACTCTAGCCTGGGCGACAGAGCGAGACTCTGTCTCAAAATAAATAAATAAATAAAATAAAAAATAAAGTAAACAAATAAAGTTGGGGAGGGGTGCGGTAGCTCATACCTGTAATCCTATCACTTTGGGAGGCCAAGGCAGGCACATCACCTGAGGCCAGGAGTTCATGACCAGCCTGGCCAACAAGGCGAAATTCTATCTCTATTAAAAATACAAAAATTGGCCGAGCACCATGCCTCACACCTGTAATCCCAGCACTTTGGGAGGCCAAGGTGGGTAGATCACCTGAGGTAGGGAGTTCGAGACCAGCCTGACCAACATGGAGAAACCGTCTCCACTAAAAATACAAAATTAGCCGGGCATGGTGGCGCATGCATGTAATCCCAGCTACTTAGGAGGCTGAGGCAGGAGCATTGCTTGAACCCGGGAGGTGGAGGTTGCGGCGAGCCAAGATCGTGCCATTGCACTCCAGCCTGGGCAACAAGAGCAAAACTCCATCTCAAAAAAAAAAAAAAAAAAGACCCTAAAACTTAAAGTATAATAATAATAATAATAATAATAATAATAATAAGAAAGAAAGAAAAAAAAGATAAAGATAAACAACCTAAACTAAAAATAGGCAAAGGATCTGAACAGGCTTTTCAAAGAAGAGGAGGCCACTCATGCCCAATATACATGAAAAGCTGTTTAGTCTCACTAGTAATTAGGGAAATGCAAATTAAAACAAGATTGAAATACCATTTCACACCCAACAGACTGGCAAAAATTAATACACCCAATAAGAGTAATTGAAGAAATGGGAGTTATATAGTTTGTCCATGGGAGTGTAAATTTGTACAACCACTTTGAAAAGCAATTTGACAAATCTTTGTCAAGGTGAAGATGCATGAGCATCATGACCCAGAACTTCCATTTCCAGTTGATACTGTAGATAAACTTTTGTTTCTTTTCCAAGGAGATGTGCTCAAGAAGGTTCTCTGAGGCATTGATCATAATTATGACATTTTACAAGCAACCTATTCTCAGCAGGAGAGTAGTTAAAATGAAAGACACACAGAGATTACAATGAATGGATTAAATTTACAAAGATAAGCACTGATAGATCTCAAAAGCATAATGTTGAGATAAAGTAATTTGCAAAATGATATATAACATTATGACACCATTCATGTAAAATTTTAGAACATAAAGCAATACCATATATTGTTTAAAGATATATACCTGGGCCAGGCACAGTGGCTCACGCCTGTAATCCCAGCCCTTTGGGAGGCCGAGGAGGGCATATCACAAGGTCAGGAGTTTGAGATCAGCCTGGCCAACATGGTCAAACCCTGTCTCTACTAAAAATACAAAAATTAGCTGGGTGTGGTGGCGTGCACTTGTAATCCCAGCTACTCGGGAGGCTGTGGCAGAAGAATTGCTTGAACCCAGGAGGCAGAGGTTGCAGTGAGCCGAGATCACGCCACTGCACTCCAGCCTGGGTGACAGAGCAACACTGCATCTCAAAAAAAATAAAAAATAAAATAAAGATATATACCTATTGGGTAAAAGTTTTAAAACATGTTTGAGAATAAAAAATACAGACTGGGCACAGTGGCTCACGCCTGTAATCCCAACACTTTGGGAGGCCAAGGGGGGTGGATCATGAGGTCAGGAGATTGAGACCAGCCTGGCCAACATGGTGAAACCCTGTCTCTACTAAAAATACAAAAATTAGCCGGTCATGGTGGCCCGTGCCTGTAATCCCAGCTACTCGGGAGGCTGTGGCAGGAGAATCGCTTGATCCCGGGAGGCAGAGGTTGCAGTGAGCCGAGATCGTGTAACTGCACTCCAGCCTAGGTGACAGAGCAAGACTCCATCTCAGAAAAAAAAAAAACAACTTCAGGGAAGGGAGAGGGGAGAGGCCACAAGGGTGGGCTTTAGTTATTTCTGTGACATTTTATATTAAAAAAAAAAGAGGTCAGGTGTGGTGGCTCACACCTGTAATCCCAATACTTTGGGAGGCCTAGACGGGAAGATTGAACCCAGGAGTTCGAGACCAGTCTGAGCAACATGGAGAAATCCCGTCTCTACAAAAAATACAAAAATTAGGCCTGCCGCACGCCTGTAATTCCCAGCACTTTGGGAGGCTGAGGCAGGCGGATCACCTGAGGTCAGGAGTTCGAGAGCAGCCTGACTAACATGGAGAAACCCTGTCTCTACTAAAAAATAGAAAATTATCCAGGCATAGTGGTGCATGCCTGTAATCCAGCTACTTGGGAGGCTGAGGCAGGAGAATCGCTTAAACCCGGGAGGTGGAGGTTGCAGTGAGCCGAGATCACACCTGGGCAACAAGAACAAAACTCAGCCTCAAAGAAAAAAGAAAAATTAGTTAGGCATGGTGGCACAACCATGTTACCAGCTACTCTGGAGGCTGAGGTGGGGGGATCACCTGAGCTGGGGTGAGGTCGAGGCTGCAGTGAACTGTAATCACACCATTGCACTCCAGCCTGGGCAACAGAGTGAGACCCAGTCTCGAAAAAAAAGAAAAAAGATGCCCGGGCATCGTGGCTCACTCCTGTAATCCCAACACTTTAGGAGGCTGAGGAAGCCAGATTGCTTGAGCCCAGGAGTTCGAGACCAGCCTGGGTAACAGAAGGAGACCTTGTCTCTACAAAAAATACAGAAGTTAGCAGGGTGTGGTGGCATGCACCTGTAGTCTCAGCTACTCAGGAGGGTGAGGTGGGAGGATTGCACTTGAGCCTGGGAGGTCAAGGTTACAGTGAACTGTGATTGCACTACTGTACTCAAAACTGGGCGACACAGTGAGATTCTGTCTCAAAAAAAAAAAGGATCTGAAGCAAATAGTCAAAATATTAAAAACAAAATCATCTTGTTGGAGGGTGTATGTGTGTTTTTATATCATTTTTTGTATTTTTCTTTATGAGTCAAATATTTTTAAATGAGTAATTAAAAGTAAAACAAACAGAAAGAGTGCTGGGATACCCCAGTGATGCTGCCTGGTGCCGGCAGGGCAGGGGAGCGACAACAAGAGGGCACTGTTTTCCATCCCTGCCTGGAATCCCAGGGTCTCTGACCTCCTCCACCCCCTGCCCTGTGTCCCTAGGACTCAGTGCCCCTACCTGACAACAGGGCTGGCTGGCACCACCCCAGATCCCTAGAGATCACCTACCCTCCAGCCAGAGGAAACTGAGAAGCAGAAATCCAGAGGGGCCTGCTCCTACACAGATGCCCGCTGGGCCCCCAGACACACACCTCGCTCTAGACCTGTAGGGAGCCCCCAGTTTTCAAGACTCATTATCGACCTCACCCACTGACTTTTCCAGAAGGGGCTTTTGTCCCCTCTCAGGGTAGCTGAAGGCTGACTGGGACCAGAGGCTCTGTCCAGCGGAGGCTTCATCCAACAGCACTAGCAGTGCCCGTCTCATTCGCAGACAGACCTGTGCTTCTACCCAGTTTTTATATTGACCGCTTTTTCATTCATTTATGTGCAAAACCTTCCTGATTAAAGTATCTAGGTTTACATGTTGGCTGAAGAAGAAAAGAGTGGAGAAGAGAGCATGACCCACCGGCGTAAGGGACGCGGGTGTACAGAGCAAGACAGGCAAGGGCTACGGAGATGGAAAGTTTGAGGTGGAAGCTGCAGGAGGTCAAGCCAGGGAGGTGGCCCTAGGTCTCACCCTCTACCGTGGGGACCCATGAGACAGATGAGGGCTGTGACTTCAAACTGCAGACCAACAGATGCCCACAGCTTCTCCTGAGGGTCGCTCCTGGACTGCCCCTTCTCTCCAACAGGGACCAGAGCAGCCCCTGGCACTGCTGTGAGGGTGCTGGGGCATCCTGGGGAATCTGGGGGACCCAGAGTCCCCCACACTGCTGCCCAGCCACCCTTGGCTGCCTTAATCATGTTGCCAGCTTGGAGGTGTCTCAAGGCAAAAGATAGACGCTGGCTGCTGGCACTGAGCCACCAAAGCCATGGGAGCCCCACTGCTGAGGAGGGCTGGCCCGGGAGCTCGTCTCAGTTCCACAGTCACACTCCGGGTCCCTGGTCCAGGACAGGAGTTAGGGCCAAGCCCCAGCTTCCGCCATCTGTCTGCAGTGGTCAGGAGACAGTGGACCATGCTTCAAGCCCATCTCCACGCCTGGGTATCCAGCCTGGGCCGCAGATTTACAACTGAAAGGCTGCGGGACTGGACGGTGGAATCTGAGCCATGGTGTGGACGCTGGGCGGCCTCCTGAGCTCCAGGAGGGTCCTTCGTCCCAACCTGCCTCACTGGGTGTTTCCTTCCCAGCCTTCCCGGCTCGCCGCAGGCCTCAGAGGACCCTCAAAGCCTTGGTTTTCCCTCCCTCGGAAGACAGGAAACGGGGTTGGGAGTTTGTCGCAGTATCGCAGCCCAAGAGCCCAAATTGTCCCAAGCCCAGTCCACCCGCGCCCTCCAGCAGCTCCGCTGAATAGGCGCGGCGAAGCGGGCCACGACCGCGAGGGGGCGCCAGGCAGCCACGCGAGACTCCCAGGGTCAGGCCCACGCGGGCCACCAGCCGCACTACTCTTCCGCTTCCCAAGTCGGCACACACGGCGCCCGTGCCTCCACGCTGCTGACTGCTGCAAGTCGAATCCCTCTCAACTCCTGTCCGCACGGGAACCCCAGTTTACAGGGGAGCCGGCTGCCTGGCATCCCGGTGCGGCCACAGAGGCGTCCTTGTGGAAGGAGCCTGGGGACCGCTGCGGCCCATCAAGTGTGCTGCACGCCCTCCGTGCGCGGCCCGTCGGAGTGCACCTTGCGCCTCCTGCATTGTGAAAGGGAGCGGGGAGAACGGAACATGGACCCAAAGACACTGGCACTGGCAGAGCTCCGCCTGGGGCCGATGCCTTAGGCAGTACAGTACTGGTCATCTTGATTGGGGTGCACCTATGGCCTGCCGTTGTATGTGTGGAGAAACCAAAACCTGGAGGGATTTTCTGCCCTGCCCAGGCTGCACAGCTCACCAGTGGTGGGGCTGGCATTGGAGCTCCCGGTCCACACCTGGGCTCCTCCATCCCATGGAAAGGCAGAGGTGCTGACCAGGAATCAGCCCAGGTACCTGGCACGTGCCTGACCGGAAGCCCAGGCTCCTGCTGCCTGAGCAAGCTGGATCCCCAGGATAGGCGCGCCCCAGTACTGGAGTCCTCCCCATCGACCCCACCCCCCTACCCCTCTCAGCCCCCCTACCCCCCTCAGCCCCCCCCCCGCCCCCCCCCACCTCCCCGACACGCCCTGTCCTAGGAAGAGGAATCATAGAAAGAACAGGGGCTTTGGAGCCTCAGAGATCTGGAGATCTGGACTAAAGCGGGTTCTGCCACTACTGGCTGTGTGATCTTGGACACATCATTTAACTTTCCTCATGCTCACCCTGGAGAAGCGAAACCATATGCATGACATAAAATACCTGTTGTGTGTGGACGCTCAATAAACTATGATTATTCCAGGAGTATTAATTGTTTTTTTCTTTTTCGAGACAGTTTCGCTCTGTCGCCCAGGCTAGAGTGCAGTGGCGGGATCTCCGCTCACTGCAAGCTCTGCCTCCCGGGTTCAAGCCATTCTCCTCCCTCAGCCTCCCGAATAGCTGGGACTATAGGCGCCCGCCACCACACCTGGCTAATTTTTTTGTATTTTTAGTAGAGACGGGGTTTCACCGTGTTAGCCAGGATGGTCTCGATCTCCTGACCTCGTGATCCGCCCGCCTCGGCCTCCCAAAGTGCTGGGATTACAGGCGTGAGCCACCGCGCCCGGCCTCCAGGAGTATCGATTAACTCCTATTTTGTGCCAGGCCCTCTGCTGGGGTTCAGGGAACCCCAGAGATGAATGAGATGTGACTGCCGCCCTCCAGGAAGGACTGTTGGCCAAGATAAGGTTCTTTTCCAGAGATAAAGCGATCCAGGAGAGGGAGACATAGGTTTGCCTGAAGGGAACCAAGAAGGGGTGTTGACCTTGAATGTGCTGCAGGTGACGGTCACTGTCACTGCCTTTATGAAATGCATACTCTGTGCCAGGTTCTTCACCTACATTCGTTCAACAAATAGGTATTGAGGCCCTTTCGAGTGCCAGGTACTCTGCTGGGAGCTGGGCATAGCCATACACAGCAGTGACCACCCACTTGGAGTTGAGCAGACAGCCTAGTGGGGAACAGATCTCAAAGAAATAATGACATCCTCCCTAAAAATAAAGAACAGAGGGGAAAAAATGAAAAAAACAAATTGTGACACAATCACAGTCTGAACTCATAATTGAGGCAAGTGCCTCGAAGGAGAATGTCGGGAGTCAGAACCTCAGAGAACGCACCAGGGGTAAGTGGCTGCACATCCGCACTGATGCCAGCAATAAGAGGGGGTGTCGGTAACACATTTTCAAACAATAAGAAGGAGCTAAAAGCCAGTCTGCTCTTTAGGATCACTACACACAAGCGACTCTAAACAACGTTCTCCCCTGCAAATTATTTTGGTGGTTTAAAACCTCAACAATTGCTTCCCTTACTGTTGACTTTTAATAACCTATATGTAAGTCTCAAATTAACACAATTTTATTACTTATTCTTTAATAAGCATTGATTTTGCCTGGTAGTTAATTGAGAGAATTCCCTGTTATTTTAGCCAATCCCCAGCACAGGAGAACCCAGCTGCCCCTGTCCATATGGATTCAGAATTATTTACACTCACTGCAGAGAAAAGTTGTGTCTAGAATCCCTGTTGTACTATATTGTTCTGTGTTTAAACATTGGGTTTGAAACAAACATTGGTAGCATAATTTTATGTGGTCACTTGGGAGTTTGTATTTGTTTAAAGTTTTTCCACTGGGAAGATACTCGAAAGCTTTTACAATCAATCTCAAAGAAACACAGATATTGACAGTACTGTAATTTCTGGAATTTATTGTAAAATGATTTTTTTTCATTTTACAAAAATGAATGAATTTCTGCCAAACTTATCCTTATGTTTAAGGCTTTCCCTAACTATTTGTGTATCTATTGCCTCATGCGAAAAGAAACATTTCCAAGTAATTTTTTTTTTTTGGAAATGGAGTCTCACTCTGGCACCCAGACTGGAGTGTGCAGTGGCGTGACCTTGGCTAGCTACAACCTCCGCCTGCTGGATTCAAGCAATTCTCCTGCCTCAGCCTCCCGAGTAGCTGGGACTACAGGCGCGCGCCACTACGCCTGGATAATTTTTTGTATTTTTAGTAGAGATGGGGTTTCACCATGCTGGCCAGGCTCGTCTCGAACTCCTGACCTCAGGTGATCCACCCGCCTCAGCCTACCAAAGTGCTGGGATTACAGGCTTGAGCCACCGCGCCCGGCCCCAAATAAAAATTAGTAAGAAGTGTTTTTTGGTCAACTATGATAGAAGATAAACAAATCTTCTATGACAAATTTGCCTACACTAGAACACGAATATGCAAAGATCAGTTTTGACAAAGTCTTTGACAAATTTGCAGAAGGCTGGAAAACAAAATGTAATGTTATTCATTGCTGCAATAGATCTAGATATTCATTTTTCTCTTTTGTCAAAAAACGCATTAATATAATTTAAAAATATTAACCTAATACTTTTTTTTTTTTGAGACAAAGTCTCACTCTGTCACCAGGTTGGGGTGCAGTGGTGCAATCTTGGCTCACTGCAACCTCCACCTCCCAGGTTCAATCCATTCTCCTGCCTCAGCCTCCCAAGTAGCTGGGACTACAGGCACACGCCACCACACCCAGCTAATTTTTGTATTTTTAGTAGAGACGATGTTTCACCATGTTGGCCAGGATGGTCTCTATCTCTTGACCTGGTGATCCACCTGCCTCAGCCTCCCAAAGTGCTGGGATTACAGGCGTGAGCCACCGCGCCCGGCCTCTTTCTTTTTTTTTTGGTTCTATCATATTTGTTTTTTTTTTTTAACTAGGATAATTGTATATGTATGAAATCCAATAAAAGAAAATTTTTGGCCAGGCGTGGTGGCTCACGCCTGTAATCCCAACACTCCAGGAACCTAAGGCAAGAGGATGGCTTGAGCTCAGGAGTTCAAGACCAGCCCAGGCAACATAATGCAACCCAGTCTCTAGTAAAAAATACAAAAAAGTGCGTCTGTAGCTCCAGCTATTCAGGAGGCTCAAGTGGGAGGATCACTTGAGCCCCGGGTGGTTGAGGCTGCAGTGAGCTAGGATTGTGCCACTGCACTCCAACCTGGGTGACAGAGTGAGACCCTGTCTCAAAAAAAAAAAAAAAAAAAAAGGAAAGAAAGAACTTTATTTTACTGCATTTTTATTGGTCGTTATTATTATTCAAGTCATTATTATTATTGAAGGTAATGTTGAATAAAGGAGAGGTGTTAAAAAAAATATATACCTGCTCTATGCTGTCCAAAAAAACCTTAAGAAAATTATGCTCTAGGTATGAACTACTGTAGGTATGACCTTGCCGTCAAGGAAGGCTTCCTGGAGTAAGCAACATCCCACCTGAAAGGGTGGGTTGGAGATTACCAGGAAAGTGTGATGAGGAGGGTGCTGCAGGCAGAGGCAGGAGTATGTGCAAAGGCCCTGAGTCAAGAAGGTAGGTATGCAGAAGAAACTCAACACTACCACTGTGGCTAGAGCAGAGTAAGCAAGGGGAAGGGCCCAGTGGGGCCATGTGATTCAGGCAGGATTTGTTTGGGCTGTGAGAAAATGCAAAATAGTGACTCAAACAAGCTCAGTGCTTAACTGTTTTCCATAACCAAAGCCCGAAGGTAGGTAGGCGATCTAAGGCTAGTGTGTGTTCTTCTAAGGTAGTGCTCCCCCAGCCTCAGCAATCCTCCTGCTGGTCCAAGATGGCTGCTTCTCATGCTTATCAGCAGGCAAGAGGAAAGGTCAAAAGAAGTCCTGCCCCCTCCCTACCTAAGAACGTTACATTTCTGTCTGCATCCAATTGGCCAGGATTTAGTCACGTGGTCCCACCCAGTCACAAGGGAGGCTGGGAAGTGGAATATTTATTTAAATGGCTTTGTGCCCAGCTACAAATTGAAAAGAATGGACAAGGGAGGGGCAAGTGTTCTGCCACATCATTTAAAGAATGTTGGTCTTTATCCTAAAAGCAATGGCAAGCCATTGAAGATTTTTAAGAAGGTTAGTGTGATCATACTTGCATTTTAAGATAGAAAAGAGCTGGGTGCGGTGGCTCACGCCTGTAATCTCAGCACTTTGGGAGGCCAAGGTGGATGGATCACGAGGTCAGGAGTTCAAGACCAGCCTGGCCAACATGGTGAAACCCCGTCTCTACTAAAAACACAAAAATTAGCCTAGTGAAGTGGTGCGCACCTGTAATCCCAGCTACTTGGGGGGCTGAGGCAGGAGAATCGCTTAAACGGGGGGGGTGGAGGTTGCAGTGAGCTGAGATCACACCACTGCACTCCAGCCTGGGCAACAGAGAGAGACTCCTTCTCGAAAAAAAGAAAAAAAAAAAGATAGTAAGGAATGGATGGGCAAGCCAGGGTAGCTTCAGGGAGGCAGAGTAGGAGGCTATGGCAATAATCTGGTATGCAGGGGGATGGATGTGGAGGGAGAGGTAAAGGAAGGCATCAAAGGTGCCAACATTGCTAGCTGGAGGGTGGAAGCATTTACTGAGATTGCCGAGAGTGAAAAAGCAAGTTTGTGGGTGATGTCATGAGTTTTTGTTTTGTTTTGTTTTGTTTTTTACACAGGGTCTCACTCTGTGGTGAACTGGAGTACACTGATGAGATCACAGCTCACTACACTCTTGACCTCCTTGGCTCAAAGGATCCTCCTGCCCCAACCTCCTGAATACCTGGGACTACAGACGCATGCTACCATGCCTGGCAAATTTTTCATTTTTTTGTAGAGACAGGGGTCTCACTATTTTACCCAGGCTGGTCTCAAACTCCTAGCTGGGCTCTAGGATCCTGCCGCCTCAGCTTCCCATAATGCTAGGATTACAGGTGTGAGTCACCATGCCCAGCTATGAGTTCACTTTTAAACATGACATCAGGGTGCCTGTATGACACCCAAATGGGATGTGAGATGGGCAGCTGGATACACAAGCCCAGAGCACACAGAGAGGTCTAGGCAGATAGGAGTGTAACAGGGTCTTTAAGGTGTCAGTTTCAGGCCGGAAACCCCTGTGGCCCTGGCACCTTTGCCTGAGTTCTTGTCCTGTGTCCAGGTGCGTCCAGGAAGAATGAGGTACGCAGACAAGCGAAGCGTGAAGATGAAGATGAGCTTTATCAAGTGTTACAACAGCTCAGAGACCAACAGTGGGTAGCTCCTCTCTGTAGGCAGGTCATCCCTCGAGTTTTCAGCTCTCAGAGAGGAGGCCCTGGAGAGGGTGGCTCTTCTCTGCTGGCAGGTTGTCTCTGCAGCTCTCAGCAGAGAGGGTAGCTCTTCTCTGCAACTGGTCATTCTGTCATCTCCAGCTATCAGCAGAGAGAGCAGCTCCTCTCTGCAGCTGGTCATCCTGCCATCACTCTGCCCTCTTCATCCTCTGGCCATCCTCTGCCCTGTTCTGGCTGAGCCCGGGGCTTTTATGGACCTCAGAGGAGAGGAAGTGCATGCTGATTGGTCCATGGATGGCCGTGGGCAGCCCAGAGAGGCACCACAAGTTCCTACTCCAGTCCTTGGGACTGGCAGCCCCGCCCCCAGACTTCAGGCCCTCCTTGGCCTGAAGGTGGGGCCTTACTGGGGACCCACCCACTTCCACTCAGGAATCAGCCTCCCACTGCCATTCAAAGCCCCTGGGGCTCTGCCCCAACCCCTGCTCCAAGATCTGAGCAGGCCCTGGGAGTGGAAAGAAGCTAGGCAGCGGGAGCAGACACCCCCGAGCCTGCAGGGACAGAAAGGGGGTGGGTTCTTCCTGAGGCCCCGAGGGTGCAGGCTGCAGAGATGCCCGGGTCCTGCGCCAGGGAAGGTGGCTGCAGTTGCACCTGGGAGCTCCCACCCCACCAGCTCAGAAGGGGCTCAGTTCCTGCTTGTCCCCGGCTCCTGCCTGCTCCATGTAGCAAGAGGTCCAGGTCTGCAGCCACCGGTCAGGTGGTTGCAGCTGCACCCAGGAGGGCAGCTCCTGCCTGCTCCTGACCCCCTCCAAGAGCACAGGGAGGCTCCGATCCGCAGCCACAGTTTGGGTGGCTGTAGCCCCGCCCAAGAGGGCGGGGCTTCTGTCGGCTCCATGGAGCCGGAGGCCCGGGTCTGCCTCCGTTTGGTTTGGGTGGCCATGGTTTGGGTGGCTGCAGCGGCACCCCAGGGCGCTCCTGCCCCCAACTCAGAAGGGGCGGGGCTCCCACTGGCTCCATGGAGTGTGCAGCCCCAGCCGTACCTCCCTGCTGCAGCTGGCGTGATGGCAGCAGCCACCGCCAGGAGTGTGGGGACATGGCAAGAGATGATATTTAATTTGAACCAGCAAACACAGGTGCAAGTGAGCACCTGAGGAACTCTGGAAGTGACAGGCTGGAAAGAAAAGGAAGCAGAGAAGGAGCCTGAGGAAGAGAGGCCAAAGACCTGAAGAACAGCAGGAGAGAGAGGACTCAGGAAGCCAAAGGGACTGAGTGTCTTGAGAAGAGGATGTGGCCCCGCACGCCAAGGCCAGTGGGAGGCTTCACCTGCCCACAGCCTAACCTGATCTGTATTGATGCAGAAGCAGGAAAAGAATGGAAGAAAACTAAAGTCAGGAGTCAGCGGCCTGGGTTCTGGACCTGGCAGCAATACCGCCCACTCTGGAACCCAGTCCCTATCTATAAAATGCGGACACAGCACTAACCCTACCATGGCAGATACTGCTGTTGTCTCTCCAACACTATTCCTCCTGACTCCCTAGTAGAACCCCAGATTTATTGGGGTAACTGTGGCACAGACCACCAATTGCCCCAGTATACATTCTCCATTCTTAGGTAGAAATGAAAACTTTAGGCCAGGTGCAGTGGCTCATGTCTGTAATCCCAATACTTTGAGAGGCTGAAGAGAGAGGACCGCTTGAGCCTAGGAGTTTAGACCAGCTTGGGCAACATAGTGAGACCTCAACTCTACAACAACAAAAAATAATTAATTTTAAAAATAAATTTAAGTAGCTGGGCACGGTAGCTCAGGCCTGTAATCCCAGCACTTTGGGAGGCTGAGGCAGGCAGATCACCTGAGGTTGGGAGTTCGAGACCATCCTGACCAACGTGGAGAAACCCCATCTCTACTAAAAATATAAAATTAGCCAGGTGTGGTGGTGCATGCCTATAATCCCATCTACTCGGGAGGCTGAGGCAGGATAATTGCTTGAACCTGGGAGGCGGAGGTTGTGGTGAGCCAAGATTGCCCCATTGCACTCCAGTGCAACAACAGTGAAACTCCGACACACAAAAAAAATAAAATAAGTAAATAAATAAATAAATTTTAAAAGCCAGGCATGGTGGGCCGGGCGCCGTGGCTCACGCCTGTAATCCGAGCACTTTGGGAGGCCAAGGCTGGCGGATCATGAGGTCAGGAGGTCGAGACCATCCTGGCTAACACGGTGAAACCCCATCTCTACTAAAAAATAGGAAAAACTAGCCGGGCGTGGTGGCAGGTGCCTGTAGTCCCAGCTACTCTGGAGGCTGAAGCAGGAGAATGGCGTGAACCCGGGAGGCGGAGCTTGCAGTGAGCCGAGATCGCGCCACCGCACTCTAGCCTGGGCGACAGAGCGAGACTCCATCTCAAAAAAAAAAAAAAAAAAAAAAAAAGCCAGGCATGGTGGTGTGTACCTGTGTGGTCCCAGCTACTTGGGAGGCTGAGGTTGAGGCTGCAGTGAGATGTGATGGCACCATTGCACTCCAGGCACCATTGCACTCCCCATTGGGCAATGGGGCAAGACTCTGTTGCAAAAATACATACATACATACACACATACATACAAGAAATGGAAATTTTAGCTAAGCACATGACTGTCTAGTTAAAGATTATATTTCCCAGCATCCCTTGGGGTGAGGTGTGGTCATGTGACTGAAGTGGGCTATTACAGGGGAGGAAATTTTTTTTGAGACAGAGTCTTGCTCTGCCACCCAGGCTGGAGTGCAGTGGCACTTCTCAGCTTACTGCAATCTCCACCTCCTGGGTTCAAACGATTCTCCTGCCTCAGCCTCCTGAGTAGCTGGGATACAGGAGTGCGCCATGACGCCCGGCTAATTTTTGTATTTTTAGTAGAGATGGGGTTTCACCATGTTGGCCAGGCTAGTCTTGAACTCCTGACCTCAAATGATCTGCCCCTTCGGCCTCCCAAAGTGCTGGGATTACAGGCATGAACCACTGCGCCCAGCCGGGAACCTGAATATTTTATAATGGGACCTAAGCAAACCTGCCCTTTGGTTGGAGGAAAACATTATCTTCCAAAGCTGTTCACTATATAAACCTCCTTGAAAAGATAGGAAAAAGACAATCAGAATATGTACAGCTATTGCTTACAAAGAAAACACAAAAAAGACAGAAAAAGACACTCTCTGCTCACCTGATATGCAGAAACATGAGAGAATCATGGAGAAGTAATTGTCTCCCAACATTGCACTAATATCAGATTATGAGAGCAGTGGTGTAATTGTGGCCACTGAAACAGGAGGACATATTGTTGGCAGCTCCTGGGAAGGCTGCTCTCTTTTCACTTCATGTTGTCATGTCTAGACATAGTGCCTGGTGACAGGCAGCCATCTTGTGACTATGAGAAAAAACATGGCCTACCCTTTGGCAATGGCAGAAATGAAAGCTAAAAACAACCTCAGTCCTTGATGATGCTGTTGAGTCACTCAATTAATCAGCATGGGAAACACCCCACTCCGGCCACCTTGTTACCAGAGAGTATAAATGTCCTCATCGTTGGAGCCATTTGAGTCAAGGTGTCCAGGGATAGGCAGCCTGAATCTTGCTCACCGGTACAGCACTCCTATCTCCCTCCTGGGCATGTTGTGAGACAATCCCATGCAAAAGCCCCAGGTGAGAAGCACTTCCCCATGAGAGAGATTGCTGGTATTATCCAGGGAGGTGGATAATACCACCAATGAAATAGCTCATTCAAAACCATGGACAATCAGCAGTCCCTTGCCTGCCTAACAGCAGGGGACTGGACCAACTGACTTCTTGGGGTTCCTTGCAACTCTGAGCCCTGTGGCTGTATGACCCCACCTTACTCTACCCCAGCACAGCTGCACCTGCATTCCATGGGCGAAGACTCAGGACAGGGCCCTACATTCCTGCCAGGGTAGTGTGTGGGGAGAGGAGTGGAGGTGGGGGCATTTCCTCTCAACGCTCTGAATAAGAGCTTATCCTGCCTCAGGTTGTTCCCCACCAGGAAGCCCCAGGAGGGCCCTGAGGACAGCCCTTGGCCCTCAGAGGGGGAGGCTCAGGAGGGGAGATGACCATGGGGATGGAGTCACTCAGGGGAGAATCTGGACCATGATGGGGTGACTTGGGGGCCTGAGGGGAGGACCCTGAGGAAGATAAAAAGCTGGTGCCACCCTAGGCAGTTTCACAGTGTGGCTTAGGGCTGTGGGTGACAGACGGTTTGTCAGATCAGTTAATCGGGACTCATGGGCCCTTTGTTACCCTCCCACGGAACACACTGGGTGCAGGTTGGAACGGGAGCTTTCTGGAGATGCCAGCTTTTAAGCTGAACACGATTCTACTAGGAGGATTTCAGGCACCTTGAGCAAGCTGGTATGGAGTTTATTTGGGGGAAAAGCAGGGATTTTATTACCCTCAAATGCTTAAATTACACTTTTCCCAACTAAATTCAAATTTTAATTTAACTATTGAGCACCTAAAGTGTGCAGATGAAAAAGACTCAATTTCCACCCTTTGCTGGCTGGACATCCTGAAGGGGCGGGAGGGAGGGGCACTACTCATCACCTCCGGGCAGCCTTCCTGGGGCAGTTCTCCCCTTTCTCGCTGCTTCCCGTCTCAGTGGGTTACCCTCCTGCTCCCCAGTCAGCCCAGTTAGCCCCCGGTGACCCTCATCTCAGCTGAGTCATTGACACAGTCCCTGTGTGGATTTCCACCACCCCAGGCTGTGCCCAGCATGTCTCCAGGCACAGGGAACAAGGCAGGGACATGCCTGAGAGACATAAAGTGCTCTGGGATAAAAAGCAGGTGAGGCCCTATCTGGGAGACCCCGGGGGAAAGGCTTGGGGAAGAGATGAACAGAAGGAAGAGGCTGGGCAGGGGGATGGCCTGTGGGGTGGCGGGAACGGGGTCGCACAGGCGTGGAGATGAAATTCAGTTGGCAAAGCTAGGTCAGGGAAGGCTTCGAATGCCCTTGGTGATGCAGGCTAGGGGAAGCCGCTGAGAATTCTGAGCAGAGAAATTAACCATCAGAAAGCTTTATTTGAGTAATTCTGATATGCCAGGCACTGTGTCGGCATTTTACATGTATTTCCTCCCTCAATCCTCACAACGCCCTGTAAGATGGATATTGGCATCCCCATTTGATGGCTAAGGCACTGCAACTACCAAGCGACAAAGTGGGGACTTGACCCTCAGTCTTTCTGACCCTGTCCTCACCAGGAGCTGACTTTGTTGTTGTTGTTTGAAACAGGGTCTCACTCTGTCACCAGGGCTGGAGTGCAGTGGCAGTGGCACGATCTCAGCTTACTACAGCCTCAACCTCCTGGGCTCGATCCTCCCACCTTAGCCTCCTGAGTAGCTGGGACTACAGGCACACGCCCAGCTAATTTTTGTATTTTCTGTAGATACGAGGTTTCACCATGTTGCCCAGGCTGCTCTTGAACTTCTAGACTCGAGCGATCTGCCTGCCTCACTCTCCCAAAGTGTTGGGATTATAGGTGTGAGCCACTGCACCTGGCCTCAGGAGCTGACATTTAGTGAGCACTTCCTGTGGTCCCTTTGCCTTTTACACATTATTTCTCTTAATCATCAAAACTGCCTTTGCTGGAACTTCTCAGAGGCCACATAGCCTTCAAAGGCCCTGCCTGCACGTCTAACCACCATGTGACACATGCCCAGGAAGTGGCATCAATCTTTGCTCCCATGAAATGTTCGGCACATGGCAGGTCACCAGAGCAGGTCAGCTCTGGTCTCCTCCAGCCCTTACTGATCCTCCCTATGTGGTAGCCAGCCTCAAGATGAGGCCCAAGGGTCCCCATCTCCTGGCACTGACACCTTTGTGTGGTCCCTCCCACATGGTATAAGGTGACCTGCATAACCAACAAGATATGGCAGAACTGACAATGTGTGGCTTCCAAGGAGGTCATAAAAGGCATCACGGTAACTGCCTTGCTTGCACTCTGGATAACTCACTCTGGGGAGACCCAGCCACCAGGTCATGAGGAGGCCCACACAGCCCTAGGGAGAGGCACACGTGGTGAGAAACTAGGGCCTCTGCCTACAGCCATGTGAGTCAGCCACCATGTAAGTGGCTCCTCTAGCCCCCATCAAGCCTTCATATGACTGCAGTCCTGGCCAAGATCTTAACTGCAATCTCAGGAGAGAACCCCCAAGCCAGAACCACCTAGCTAAGCAGATCCCAGATTTCTGACCTCCCACTCATTAAGGTTTTGTAGTAATGTGCTACTCTTTAATAGATAACTAATATGCACTCCATTCAGAGTCCAGCCCTCCTGGCCATATTACCAGGGGCATCTTTACCTCTCTGAACGTATCTCTTTTCTCCAGTTCAGACCTTTCTACTGAACTTCAGATCAACTCAATCAGCAGCCCTTGTGAAGGCCCTCAGGCCCTGGGAGCTTGGCATGTCCCAGACAAATATCTCTTCAATCCATTCTCTGCCACTGTTCAGGCCCCTGGTCTCTTCCCTCAATTATTGAAACAGCCTCCTCACCAATTTTCCTACCTTGTATACAGCTGCAAAGAACAAAATCCCCAAATATCTGTAGATTCTGCTAGACAGAGGTGTATTTCTCTCTCCTGTTTGAGAAGGCCCAAGGCAGGCAGTCCAGAGCTGGCATGATGTGCTACAGTGCCAGGAACCCAGGCGAGTACCTTCCATCTCGTTGCTCTGCAGTGGGCAGCTTTCATCCCCAAGGCTACCTCATAATCTAAAATAGCTGCATGTACGCCAGCCATCATGTCCACATTCTAGCCATTAGAAAGGAGTAACTGGAGAAAAACAAAACATCCCTTGCCTTTAAAAACATTTTGTTTGTTTTCCACTAACCGTATCTAGCAAAGGAGGCAAGGAAAAGCAGTCTATTTTGAGGGTCAAAATGTGTCATGTGCTCAGCTAAAAATACAGAGGTTTAGTACTCAGGAAGAAAAGGAGATCGGGCATGAGGGACAGTCTGCAGTGCTCTCCACACTGCTACCCAGTAACAGGGTTTTATTATTACTTTCATTTGCTTATTCTTCATTATAAAATATTACAGTTTAGGAAGCTGAGGCCCAGAGAGGAGTCACAGAGTTGGTGGCTGTGCCAGAGGTACACCCTGACCCCTGCAGTCCCTCCCTACTCTGGCCTTAGTTTCCTCAGCTGGTATTATTTTATAATCAGGGAGCTGAAACACACAAACGTACAACAACAGAGGTTTGACCTATGTTACAAAAGAAATTGAAAACGAGTATTTATAGTTATATCTTTTAAAATAACAAAAAAGGGCCAGGTGCAGTGACTCACGCCTGTAATCCCAGCAATTTGGAAGGCCGAGGCTGAGGCAAGTGGATCACCTGAGGTCAGGAGTTCAAGACCAATCTGGCCAACATGATGAAACCCCGTCTCTACTAAAAATACAAAAAATTAGCCTGGCGTGGTGGCAGACTCCTATAATCCCAGCTACTCGGGAAGCTGAGGAAGGAGGATCCCTTGAACCCGGGAGATTGAAGTTGCAGTGAACCAAAATCATGACACTGCACTCCAGCCTGGGTGACAGAGCAAGACTCTGTCTCAAAATATATATATATATATATATATATATATATATATATATATATATATATATAAATATATATATATATAATTAAATTAAATTAAAATAAAATAAAATACAAAAAAAGGGTGACTCCATGTTTCAAGGAGGCAAATTTTCCTGGTCCAATTCTCGGAACCAGAAGTTATTGCACTTTACATTCTCTTCACTTCAGGATCTGTGCCTTGAACCTATAGAATAGAAGCCATTTTCTGGCCAGGCACAGTGGCTCACGCCTGTAATCCCAGCACTTTGGGAGGCCAAGGCAGGAGGATCATGAGGTCAGGAGATCGATACCATCCTGGCTAACACGGTGAAACCCTGTCTCTACTAAAAATACAAAAAATTAGCTGGGCGAGGTGGCGGGCGCCTGTAGTCCCAGCTACTCAGGAGGCTGAGGCAGGAGAATGGCGTGAACCTGAGAGGCGAAGCTTGCAGTGAGCCGAGGTGAGCCGAGATCTGCCACTGCACTCCAGCCTGGGCGACAGAGGGAGACCCCATCTCAAAAAAAAAAAAAAGGAAGCCATTTTCTTTCTTTAAACATAGAACTTATTGCTAAGTGATGTTAATAATGGGAAATAAAAATAAAATATGTTGGAGCTGCCTAGTTTTTGTTTTTGTTTGTTTGCTTGCTTTTTACTTTTTTATTATTTATTTATTTTTAGATCGGAGGTCTCAGGTCTTTTGGTGTGGCCCAGGCTGGCCTGGAACTCCTGGGCTCAAGTGATCCTCCCACCACAGGCTCCTGAATAGCTAGAACTATAGTATAGGCGTGCACCACCACACTCGACTTAATTTTACTTGTTTTAACTGACAAATAAAAACAGTATATAAGAGCTGCTTAATTTTGAAAAGATGACAAAATATGAAAGCAACGAACCTGAATGTAAGATTTAGCCTTTAGGGCCAGGTGTTGTCGCTCCCGCCTGTAATCCCAGCACTTTGGGATGCCAAGACAGGTGGCATCCCAGCACCTGCCTCAGGAGCTCCTGCCTCAGCCTCCTGAGTAGCTGGGACTACAGGCGCCCGCCACCTCGCCCAGCTAATTTTTTGTATTTTTAGTAGAGACAGGGTTTCACCGTGTTAGCCAGGATGGTATCGATCTCCTGACCTCATGATCCTCCTGCCTCGGCCTCCCAAAGTGCTGGGATTACAGGCGTGAGCCAATGTGCCTGGCCAGAAAATGGCTTCTATTCTATAGGTTCAAGGCACAGATCCTGAAGTGAAGAGAATGTAAAGTGCAATAACTTCTGGTTCCGAGAATTGGACCAGGAAAATTTGCCTCCTTGAAACATGGAGTCACCCTTTTTTTGTATTTTATTTTATTTTAATTTAATTTAATTATATATATATAATTTGAGACCAGGAGTTCAAAATCAGCCTGGGCAATATGGTGAAACCATGTCTCTACAAAAAATACAAAAATTGCTGGGTGCAGTGGCTCACCTGTAATCCCAGCACTTTGAGAGGCCGAGGCAGGCGGATCACCTGAGGTCAGGGGTTCGAGACAAGCCTGGCCAACATGGCAAAATTCTGTCTCTACCAACAATACAAAAATTGGCCAGGCACGGTGGCTCACGCCTGTAATCCCAGTACTTTGGGAGGCCAAGACGGGCGGATACAAGGTCAGGAGTTCGAGACAAGCCTGGCCAACATGATGAAAACCCATCTCTACTAAAAATACAAAAATTAGCCGGGCTTGGTATCACGTGCCTGTAATCCCAGCTACTCAGGAGGCTGAGGCAGGAGAATCATATGACCCAGGAGGGGGAGGTTGAAGTTAGCCGAGATCACGCCACTGCACTCCAGCCTGAGCAACAGAGTGAGACTCCATCTAAAAAAAATACAAAATACAAAAATTCGCCAGGTTTGGTGCCAGGCACCTGTAATCCCAGCTACTCGGGAGTCTGAGGCAGAAGAATTGCTTGAACCCAGAAGGTGGAGGTTGCAGTGAGCTGAGATCACGCCACTGCACTCCAGCCTGGGTGACAGAGCAAGACTCTGTCTTGAAAAAAAAAAAAAAAAACAAATTAGCCAGGCTTGGTGGCTCACACCTACATACAGTCCTAGCTACTCAGGAGGCTGAAATGGGAGGATTACCTGAGCCTGGGAGGTCGAGGCTGCAGTGAGCAGTGACGGCACCACAGCACTCCAGCCCGGCAACAGAGCAAGACCCTGTCTCAAAAAAAAAAAAAAAAAAAAAAAAAAAATATATATATATATATATATATATAATATATAGCCCTTAGAATATACACAGATTATTAACAGTGTCAGGAGTAAGCATGAGGGATTTGCCCTTGGGAGATTCAGATTGCTGTATCATTTGAACTTTACAACAAGTATGCATTGCACATGTAAATTTGTTTAAAAAGCATTTTAAAAATATAGTTTATAATCTCCCTAAATAATATATGCCGGTTATAGAAAACACATGAATATAGGTCAGGCGCGGTGGCTCCCGCCTGTAATCCCAACACTTTGGGAGGCTGAGGCAGGCAGATCACCTGAGGTCAGGAGTTTGAGACCAGCCTGGCCAACATGGTGAAACCCTCTCTCTACTAAAAAAAAAACACAAAAATTAGCTGGGTGTGGTGGCAGGCGCCTGTACTCCCAGCTACTCTGGAGGCTGAGGCAGGAGAATCGCTTGAACCCAGGAGGCAGAGGTTGCAGTGAGCCGAGATCGTGCCATTGCACTCCAGCCTGGGTGACGAGAGTGAAACTCCGTCTCAAAAAAAAAGGAAAACAAAATAAAACACATGAATATACAAAAAGAAATTTGTAATCACCTGCATTTTCACTCTTCAGCAAGATCACCACTGATAGTATATTGGCATAATACCTTCACTCTTTTCCCTACACATATAGGGGTAGATAAGTAGAGAGAGAAGAGAGTTGTTTTTTTTTGTTTGTTTGTTTTTTGAGACGAAATCTTGATCTCTGTCGCCCGGGCTGAAGTGCAGTGGCGCGATCTCAGCTCACTGCAACCTCCTCCTCCTGGGTTCAAGCAATTCTCCTGCCTCGGCCTCCCGAGTAGCTGGGACTACAGGCGCCCACCACCACGCCCAGCTAATTTTTTTTTGTATTTTTAGTAGAGATGAGTTTTCACCATATTGGCCAGGCTGGTCTCGAACTCCTGACCTTGAGAACTGCCTGCCTGAGCCTCCCGAAGTGCTGGGATTACAGGCGTGAGCCACTGCACCAGGCCAAAAGAGAGATTTTTAAAACAAACTCAGTGCCATTGTGGATATAGACTTTTTTTCAACATTTTATTATGAATATTTTCAAACAGCAAAGCTAAAAGAAATGTTTGTTGAACACTCATCCCCACCACCTGGATTCTCCCATTAACACTGTACTAAACTTGCTTTATCACACAGTTATCCAACTGGATATGGGTTTTTTTTGTTTTTGTTTTTTGGTTTTTTTTTGAGACAGAGTCAGGCTTTGTCACCAGGCTGGAGTGCAGTGGTGCCATCTTGACTCACTGCAACCTCCTCCTCCCAGGTTCAAGTGATTCTCCTGCCTCAGCCTCCGGAGTAGCTGGGACTATAGAAGCCCACCACCACGCCCAGCTAATTTTTTTATTTTTAGTAGAGACAGGGTTTCACCATGTTGGCCAGGATGGTCTCAATCTCTTGACCTCGTGATCCGCCCACCTTGGCCTCCCAAAGTGCTGGGATTACAGATGTGAGCCACCTCACCAGGCTGGGTTTCCTTTGAATTATCATACAGTCATGCTGACCTCTTTTGGTATATAGTTCTATGAATTTTACTTGTACAGATGCTTGTAACCACCTTGACAATTAAGATTCTGAACAGTTCCATCACTCCCAAAAAACTCGCTAGTTGTTATTCCCTGTGGCCACACCTTCCTCCATCCCTAAACCCTGAGAAGCACTAATCTGTTCTCATCACCATTGTTTTGTCTTTTCTAGAATGTTACGAAAATGGAATCATGCAGCATGTAAACTTCTCAGTCTGACTTCTTCTATCCATAATGTTATGTATATCAAAACAGTTCATTCCTTTTGATGACTGAGCAGTATTCCATGAATGGATGGACAGTTTGTTTATCCATTCGCCCAATTTCTATTGCTTACAGTTTTCGGTGATTATGAATAAAGCTGCTTAAACATTCTCACATAAGTCCAGGCATGATGACTCACGCCTGTAATCCTAGCACTTGGGGAGGCCGAGGTGGGAGGGTCACTTGAGGCCAGGAGTTTGAGACCAGCCTGGGCAACACAGCAAGACACCCCCTTCCCCCATCTCTACAAAAAATTTAAAAATTTGCTGAGTGTGTTGGTGTGGATCTGTAGTCTCAGCTACTCAGGAGGCTGAGGTGGGAGGATTGCTTGAGCTCACGAGTTCAGGACTGCAGTGAGCCATGATCACACCACTGCACTCCAGCCTGGATGACTGAGCAAGACCCTGACTCAAAAAAAAAAAAAAAAAAAACAATTCTTGTACAGGTTTTTGTGTGAATATAAGTTTTTTTCTTTATTTCTCTAGGGTAAATAACTAGAAGTGTGAATGCTGGGTCATTGTGATTTGAATTTGCGCACTCATCCAGTGGCTAATGATGTTGAGCATCGTTCTTTCTTCTTTTTCTTTCTTTTTTTTTTTTTTTTTGGAAACAGTGTCTCACTCTGTTGCCCAGGCTGAAGTGCAATGGTGTGATCTCGGCTCACTGCAACCTCCACCTTCCGGGCTCAAGCAATGCTCTTGCCTCAGCCTCCTGGGTGGCTGGGATTACAGGCGCCACCACACCTAGCTACTTTTTGTATTTTTTGTAGAGATTGAGTATAGCCATTTTGCCCAGACTGGTCTGGAACTCCTGAGTTCAAGCGATCAGCTCGCTCGCCTCGGCCTCCCAAAGTTCTGGGGTTACAGGCATAAGCCACCATGCCTGGCCAATGTCTCTCACGTGCTTTATATTCTGCACATTTGTATATTCTTTTTGGTGAAGTGTCTGCTCATTTTAAAATTTGTTGGTTGAAAGAGGGGTTGTGGAGGTTAACCCCCTCCCAAACAAAATTATTTGTTTATTTTCTTACTGTTGAGTTTTTAGAGTTTTTTTCTTTTTCTTTTCATTTTTAGAGAAGATCTCACTGTGTCGCTCAGGCTGGAGTGAAGCGGTGTGACCACAGCTCACTGCAGCCTCACCCTCCTGAGTTCAAGGGATCCTCCCATTTCAGTGTCCTAAGTAGTTAGAAGAGGTCTTGTTTTTGTTTGTTTTGTTTGTTTTTTTTTTTGAGACAGAGGCTCTGTCATCCAGGCTGGAGAGCAGTGTCATGATCTTGGTTCACTGCAACCTCAGCCTCCAGGGTAGCTGGGATTACAGCTGTGCGCCACCACCCCTGGCTAATCTTTGTTTTGTTTTGTTTCAGTAGAGACAGGGTTTCGTCATGTTGGCCAGGCTGGTCTTGAACCCCTGGCCTCCAGTAGTGATCCACGCATCTTGAACTCCCAAAGTGCTAGGATTACAGGCGTAAGCCACCGTGCCAGGCCTGGGAGAGTTTTTAAAATATATTCTGGATACAAGTCTTTTGTCAAATATGTGATTTGTAAATATTGTCTCTCAGCCTGTAACTTGTCTTTTCATTCTCCTAATGGTGTCTTTTGCAGAGCAAAAGCCTTTAATGTTGATGAAGTCCAATTGATCAATTTTTATTCTTTTGTGGATCCTGCTTTTAGTGTTTTTTGTTGTTGTTGTTTGTTTGTTTGTTTGTTTGTTTGTTTTTTGAGACGGAGGCTCACTCTGTCACCCAGGCTGGAGTGCAGTGGTACGATCTCGGTTCAACCTCCACCTCCCGGGGGTTCAAGCAATTCTCCTGCTTCAGCCTCCTGAGTAGCTGGGATTAGAGGCGCCCACCATCACACCCGGCTAATTTTTGTATTTTTAGGAGATACAGGGTTTTTACCATGTTGGCCAGGCTGGTCTTGAACTCCTGACCTCAGGCGAACCACCCGCCTTGGCCTCCCAAAGTACTGGGATTAC
Source organism: Homo sapiens (assembly GCF_000001405.40). Taxonomy (NCBI): domain Eukaryota; kingdom Metazoa; phylum Chordata; class Mammalia; order Primates; family Hominidae; genus Homo; species Homo sapiens. The sequence continues at coordinate 34,215,825 of NC_000006.12, forward strand.
AGGCGTGAGCCACTGTGCCCAGAATTTTTTTTTTTTTCTTGAGACAGAGTCTCGGTCTGTCGCCCAGGCTGGAGTACAGTGGTGTGATCTCAGCTCACTGCAACATCCGCCTCCTGGGTTCAAGTGATTCTCCTGCCTCAGCCTCCTGAGTAGCTAGGATTCCAGGCGCCCGCCACCACACCTGGCTAATTTTTGTATTTTTAGTAGAGACAGGGTTTCACCAAGTTGACCAGGCTGGTCTCAAACTCCTGACCTCAGGAGATCCACCTGCCATGGCCTCCCAAAGTGCTAGGATTAGAGGCATGAGCCACAGCACCCGGCCTAGTGTCACGTTTAAGGACTCTTTAACCCCAGATCACAAAGATTTTCTCCTATGTATTCCTCCAGATGTTGTATAGTTTTAGGCCTTACATTTAGATCTCCTTCCTTCCTTCCTTCCTTCCCTCCCTCCATTCCTTCCTTCCTTCTTTCCTTCCTTTTTTTTGGACAGGGTCTCACAATTTTGCCCAGGCTGGTCTCAAACACTTGGTTCTAGCAGTCCTCCAGACTTGGCCTCCCAAAGTGCTGGGATTACAGATGTGAGTCATGCATATTTTGTATATGGATGTCTGCTTGTTCAAGCACGATTTGTTGCAAAGACTATCCTTTCTCCATTGAATTGCTTTTGCACCTTTGTCAAAAATCAATTGGCTGGCCAGGCACGGTGGCTCACGCCTGTAATCCGAGCACTTTGGGAGGCCAAGGCAGGCGGATCACGAGGTCAGGAGATTGAGACCATCCTGGCTAACACAGTGAAACCTCGTCTCTACTAAAAATACAAAAAATTAGCCAGGCGTGGTGGCAGGCGCCTGTAGTCCCAGCAACTCGGGAGGCTGAGGCAGGAGAATGGCGTGAACCTGGGAGGCAGAGCTTGCAGTGAGCCGAGATTGTGCCACTGCACTCCAGCCTGGGCGACAGAGCGAGACTCCATCTCAAAAAAAAAAAAAAAAATCAATTGTCCATACTTATGTGGGTCTATTTCTGGACTCTCTATTCTGTTTCATCGATCTATGTGTCCATTCCTCTGACAATACAATACCATCCTGTTGCTATATAGCAAATCCTAAAACCAGGTAGCGTAATTCCTCCAACTTTATTCTTCTTTTTCAAAATTGTTGTAGCTATTCTTTGCCTTTCCATATAAGTTTTACGATTAATTTGTTTTTATATATACAAATTCCTGCTGGCATTTTTATTAGAATTGTGTTAAATCTACAGATCAGCGTTATGGTTTGAATTGTGTCTCCCAAAAAGGTATGTTGGGCCTGGCACAGTGGCTCATCCCTGTAATCCCAGCGCTTTGGGAGGCCAAGGTGGGAGGATCACTTGAGTCCAGAAGTTTGAGATCAGTCTGGGAAATATAGTGAGGCCTCATATCTACAAAAAATTTAAAAGATTAGTGGCCAGGCGTGGTGGCTCATGCCTGTAATCCCAGCACTTTGGAAGGCCGAGGCAGGTGGATCATCTGAGGTCAGGAGTTTGAAACCATCCTGGCCAACATGATGAAACCCCGTCTCTACTAAAAATACAAAAAATTAGCCGGGCGTGGTGGCACATGCCTGTAATCCCAGCTGCTCAGGAGGCTGAGGCAGGAGAGTCACTTGAACCTGGGAGGCAGAGCTTCCAGTGAGCTGAGATCACGCCACTGCACTCCAGCCTGGGTGACAAGAGTGAAACTCCATTTAAAAAAAAAAAAATTGGCCGGTCACGGTGGTTCACACCTATAATCCCAGCACTTTGGGAGGCCAAGGCAGGCGGATCACAAGGTCAAGAGATCGAGACCATCCTGGCCAACCAACATGGTGAAACCCTGTCTCTACCAAAAATACAAAAATTAGCTGGGCATGGTGGCGCACGCCTGTAGTCCTAGCTACTTGGGAGGCTGAGGAAGGAGAATTGCTTGAACCCAGGAGGTGGAGGTTGCAGTGAGCCCAGATCGCGCCACTGCACTCTAGCCCAGGTGACAGAGGGAGACTCCATCTCAAAAAAATAAACAAAATAAATAAATAAATAAATTGGTCGGGCGTGGTGGCTCATGCCTGTAATCCCAGCACTTTGGGAGGCTGAGGCAGGTGGATCATGAGGTCAGGAGATCGATACCACCCTGGCTAATACGGCAAAACCCCATCTCTACTAAAAATACAAAAAAAAAAAAATTAGCTGGGTGTGGTGGCAGGAGCCTGTAGTCCCGTCGACTCGGGAGGCTGAGGCAGGAGAACGGCGTGAACCCGGGAGGCGGAGCTTGTAGTGAGCCTAGATCAAGCCACTGCACTCCAGCCTGGGGGACAGAGTGAGACTCCGTCTCAAAAATAAATAAATAAATAAATTAATTAATTAATTAATTTTAAAAAAAGATTAACCAGGTGTGGTGGCCCACATCTGTGGTCCCAGCTACTCAGGAGGCTGAGGCAGGGGATTGCTTAAGCCTGGGAGGTCAAGGCTGCAGTGGACGGAACTGTATTTGCGCCACTGTACTCCAGCCTGGGTGACAGATGGAGATCTTGTCTCAAGAAAGGAAAAAAAAAAAAAGATATGTTGAAGCCCTAACCCTCAACACCTTGAAATATGACCTCAGTTGGAAATAGACACATTGTAGATGTAGTTAAGATAAGGTCAGCCCTTAATCCAATATGTTTGATATTCTTATAGGAGGAGAAGAGACACAGAGACACAGAGAGAACGCCAGGTGACAACTGAGGCAGAAGTTAGAGTGCTTCTGTCACAAGCCAAGGAACACCAGTGACTGCAGGCAAGCCACCAGAAGCTGGAAAGATGCTGAAAAGAATCCTCCCCTGGAGGCTTAAGAGAAAGCACCGCCCTGCCCACATCTTAATTTCAGACTTCTGGCTTCCAGAACCGTGAGACAATAAATTTCTATTGTTTTCAGCCACTTAGTTTGTGGCACTTTGTTATGACAGCCCTAGGAAACTAAATTCAATTAGTTTGGGGAGAAATAACATCTTTACTATGTTGAGTCTTCCAGTCCACGAACATAGTATGTTTCTCCATTTGTGTAGATCTTTGATTTCTTTCATCAGCATTTTTTTGTAGTTTTCAGCATAGACATCCTGCATATATTATGTTAGAACATCCTGTGTATGTTGTGTAGGTTTAGTTATACCCAAATATTTCCTTTTTTGTTTCTTTCTTTTTAGAGCTATTATAAATAGTATTGTGTTCTTAATTTCAGCTTCTAATTACTCATTGCTAACATATAGGAACACAATTGAATTTCATGTGTTGATCTTATATTCTGTGGCCACGAGAAACTCAGTTATTACTTCTAGGAGTTCTATAATAGGTGTCCAGCATTCCTAATGGCATTTACTCTGAAAAAATTATATTCATTGCTATAAAATATTCCATCATCTGGCCGGACACAGTAGCTCACGCCTGTAATCCCAGCACTTTGGGAGGCCGAGGCAGGTAGATCACATGAGGTCAGCAGTTGGAGACCAGCATGGCCAACATGATGAAACCCCATCTCCACTAAAAATATAAAAACTAGAGAGAGTGGGGACGTCCGGCTTCAGAGCGGGAGTCTTCGTTGCGCCAGCGACTAAAAAGAGAATTAAATATGGGTGATGTTGAGAAAGGCAAGAAGATTTTTATTATGAAGCGTTCCCAGTGCCACATTGTTGAAAAGGGAGGCAAGCATAAGACTGGGCCAAATCTCCATGGTCTCTTCGGGCGGAAGACAGGTCAGGCCCCTGGACACTCTTACATAGCCACCATTAAGAACAAAGACATCATCTGGGGAGAGGATACACTGATGGAGTATTTGGAGAATCCCAAGAAGTACATCCCTGGAACAAAAATGATCTTTGTCGGCATTAAGAAGGAAGAGGCTGGGCACGGTGGCTCACGCCTGTAATCCGAGCACTTTGGGAGGCTGAGGCAGACAGATCACGAAGTCAGGAGATCGAGACCATCCTGGCTAACACGGTTAAATCCCGTCTCTACTAAAAATATAAAAAATTAGCCGGGCGTGGTGGCAGGTGCCTGTAGTCCCAGCTACTCTGGAGGCTGAGGCAGGAGAATGGCGTGAACCCGGGAGGTGGAGCTTGCAGTGAGCCGAGATCGCGCCACTGCACTCCAGCCTGGGTGACAGAGCGAGACTCCATCTCAAAAAAAAAAAAACAAAAAAAAAAAAAAAGAGGAAGAAAGGGCAGACTTGATAGCTTATCTCAAAAAAGCTACTAATGAGTAATAATTGGCCACTGCCTTATTTATTACAAAACAGAAATGTCTCATGACTTTTTTATGTGTACCATCCTTTAATAGATCTCATACACCAGAATTCAGATCATGAATGACTGACAGAATATTTTGTTGGGCAGTCCTGATTTAAAACTAAGACTGGCTTGTGGTTAAATGAATATGTTCAGTTTTTGATTTTAATAGTAACTCCAATTCAGTAAATGCTATCACTGTTTACCCCTTCTAAAGATATGATTAGACTTCGTTAGTAATGTTCAACTTTTCACAAAGATGGTGAGTGCCATCTTAAAACTTACTGGAGATTGGTTTTATATTTAGATTTCTATAACTGGTTATGTGAATATATTTAAATACTGGGGAAATTCCTACACTGTCTTAGAACCAAGCAAGATTCACCTGTGTTTTGTGTTCATTTGCCTCTTAAAGGCAAGGGTTGAAGATAAGTAAGGGAGCAATGTCTATAGTTTTGGCCTTAACTATAACAATCTAATTATAATTCCCTGTATTTAAAATGGTTCCTTTTACTTATTGAAAGGCATTTTAGTGTGGTTTATGTGTAATATTAAAGATTATTCAACACCTCTCACATCTTATAGATCTATAAGGTCACATGCTTTTAAAATAGTAGCAAGTTAAACTTCACTCTTGAATTCTTTACAATCTAAGTCAAACTAGGTTATAATTTAGGATTGTCTTTAAACAGCCATTCAGAAACATAAAACTGTAGAACTGTGTATTTGTGATTGGGAATGGTGCTTTTGCCAACTTAAAAGGATTAAAGTAATGGAGATATACACAAATTTTAAAATTATGTGTGATTACAAGACTAAAGATAATTAAAAAGAAAACCACACACACACACACACACACACAAAAACTAGCCAGGTGCAGTGGTGCGCACCTGTAATCCCAGTTACTCAGGAGGCTGAGGCAGGAGAATGGCTTGAACCTGGGAGGTGGAGGTTGCAGTGAACTGAGATCGAACCACTGCACGCCAGTCGGGGCGACTGAGTGAGATTCTGTCCCCCTCAAAAAAAAATCCATCATCTTTCACTCTTTTTCTTTTCTTTTTTTTTCCTGAGATGGAGTCTCGCTCTGTCGCCCATGCTGGAGTGCAGTGGTGCAATCTCAGCTCACTGCAACCTCTGCCTCCCGGGTTCAAGTGATTCTCCTTCCTCAGTCTCCCGAGGAGCTGGGACTACAGGCGCCTGCCACCACACCCGGTTAATTTTTGTATTTTTAGTAGAGACAGGGTTTCACCATATTGGCCAGTCTGGTCTTGAATTCCTGACCTTGTGATCCACCTGCCTCGGCCTCCCAAAGTGCTGGGATTACATGCGTGAGCCACCGCACCCGACCTCTTTTTTTTTTTTTTTTTTTTGAGACAGAGTCTGGCTCTGTCGTCCAGGCTAGAGGGCAGTGGCTCCATCTCAGCTCACTGCAACCTCCGCCTCCCGGGTTCAAGGGATTCTCCTGCGTCAGCCTCCCAAATAACTGGGACTACAGGCGCACACCACCATGCCCAGCTAATTCTTGTATTTTTAGTAGAGACACGGTTTCACTATGTTGGCCAGGCTGGTCCCCAACTCCTAACCTTGTGATCCGCCTGCCTTGGCCTCCCAAAGTGTTGGGATTACAGGTGTGAGCCACCTCGCCTGGCCGTTCACTCTTAATATGTTTTACCAATTGCCTCCTGTTGGGCATTTATGTTGTTTTCTTTTATTGCTGTTATTATTATTACTATAATGATAGAATACATTTCAGATGCTGGGACATAAACCTTTGACCCCTTTTTAAATTATGTCAGAGGAGAGATTCCTAGAAATGGGATTAGCAGGCCGAAAAGCTGAACTCTTCTCAAGTCCTACACACGATTGAGCTGCTTGTCAGAAAGATCAAGCATGTTTCCCATTCTCATCAGCAACATGTGAGAGGACTCAGTGGGCTGAAACACAGCCAGCACTGAGACTGGTCATTTAAAAACTCTGCCAATTGGGCCGTGTGTGGTGGCCTACACCTGTGACCCCAACACTTTGGGAGGCCCAGGCGATTGGATTACTTGAGGTCAGGAATTCGAGACCAGCCTGGTCAACATGGTGAAACCCCGTCTCTACTTAAAAAATACAAAAATTAGACGGGTGTGGTGGCACTTGCCTGTAATTCCAGCTACTCAGGAGGCTAAGGCAGGAGAATCACTTGAACCTGGAAGGCAGAGGTTGCGCGTCTAAATGACTAATAACCCGTACCTGCTTCACAGACTCACCGTGATGATTTAAAGATTTATGGGGGCCACAAACAGTGGCTCGCAGAAGTAATCCCAGTACTTTGGAAGGCTAAGGTGAGAGGATCGCTTGAGGCCAGGAGTTTGGCAGGAGACCCAGGTCAACCCATAACAGACAGCATTACAAACAATGAAGGATGGCTTGAGGTCAGGAGTTCGAGACCAGCCTGGGCAACACAGTGAGACCCCTGTCTCTACAAAAAATTTAAAAACAAGCAGGCGGATCACTTGAGGTCGGGAGTTCGAGACCAGCCTGACCAACATGGAGAAACCCCATCTCTACTAAAAAATATAAAATAAGCCAGGCGTGGTGGCGCAGGCTTCTAATCCCAGCTACTCGGGAGGCTGAGGCAGGAGAATCACTTGAACCTGGGAGGCAGAGGTTGCGGTGACCCAAGATCACGCCATTGCACTCCAGCCTGGGCAACAAGAGTGAAACTCCGTCTCAAAAAAAAAAAAAAATTTAAAAATTAGCCAGGCCTGGTGGTGTGCACCTGTAGTCCCAGCTACCTGGGAGGCTGAGGTGGGAGGATGCTTTGAGCCTAGGAGTTCGAGGTTCCAGTGAGGTTCCATCATGCCACTGCGCTCCAGCCTGGGCAAGAGAGCAAACCCTTGTCTCAAAAAACAAAAAGAGCTTTTTTAGGCTGTGCATCATTCCCCTCATGATTATCATTTTTGCCCACACCCCTATTCTTGAAGAAGCAGGATGATGATGGTAAGAGCTGTGATTTATTGAGCACTTAATGGATGCTAAGTCCTGTGCTGCCTCACTTAGTGCTCACCCTGCTGTATAGCAAACAGGGCCCAGGCAGGAAATGGAATCCAACCAAAGGGTGCAAGAGGCTTTAATGGAAGGACGACAGGGGTGGGGGCAGGGTGAAGGGGATCAACCTGGGTATTGGGACCGGCAGTGATGACAAGACACTGCAACTTCTGGGCTGAAAGGGCAATGGGAAAATGCAGTGTTCCCGAGCTGACATCATGAGGGGGCATAGCCACAGTCAGACCAAGGACCAAAACAGGGCCAGGAGTACCCTGACTTCTCTCTCGCCTCCCCTCAGGTCGGCTGCATGGGTGCTGCTCAACAGAAAGCCAGCTGGTAAGGGAGCCCGGGCCACGAAGTCGGCATGGGAGGGGAAGGGGCGGGGCGAAGGAAGAATAACAAGCATAGGGAAGCAGGATTATCCTGCTCCATGCCATTTCGCAGATAAGAAGACTGAGGCCCAGAGACATGAAGTAACCTGCCGGCTGCCACAGAGCTGGGAAGGTGGAGCTAGAGGAGAGCCAGGCTCTGAGGCCCTCCGCCCAGCCTCCTAATACAATCCCAGCCTCAAGGCGCGAGCAGAGCGCGGAGCAGGCCAGCACCCCATGCTCCCGGTCTCCCTCCTTTCTCCTCCCTCCCCTCACTGCTCAGCTCTCCCACCCTCCCACCTTCTGTCTGCCTTAGCTGGGCCTCCCCTGGCCTCCTCTCAAGAAGGCTGTGGCCCCTTTCCTCTGTGTGCTTCCCCACTTTGTCTCTCCCTTTTTTCTCAGTCTTCTTGTCTCCCTCACTCAGTCGCTGTCTTCATTTCCCTCAGTCTTTCCCTATAGCAGGCTCACAAGGGTGCATCCTCCTAAGGCTCAGTTTCTTTGCCATTCCCGAGCTCCGCCCCCTCTGCCCGCCGTGGCCCCGCCCCTGCCGGGCCGCCCTCCCCTGCGCTGGGCGGCGGGCCGGGTGGCAGGCGGGGGCGGGGCCCGGGCTGGCGCGGCGCCGGCCTGAGTCACACGCATGAGGCAGCGTGAGTCAGGCGCGGAGGGAAGTCCCTGCGGAAGGGGCTTTCGGAGCTGCAGTCGAATCGCAGGGAAAGAGAAAGTGTTCGAAACGCTGCTTTGACACAGTGACCTTGTGTGAGCCCTAGCTGCACACACCCCCCCCACCCACGCCCTCCCCGCAGACAGCAGCACGCACACCCCCGGCCGGCTCACGGTACGCGGCCGCTGCCCGCACTCCCGGGTCGGGCCTGCGCGTCCCTGTGGGGTTGGGCGAGCGGGGTATCGAGGGTCCAGCAGCCTGGACCCGGCCCCTCCACAGGGCAGTCCCTTTTCCAGCTTCCAAAAGCTAGCGTTGCTCACCTACTGCCAGACCCCAGACCCACTTCTCCCACGAGGTGTAAAGAAGGACCCCTGAGGGTCTTCCACGTCACCTTGTGGAGCCTCGTGGAGTATGGCAGAAGGAGGAGGGCAATTTGAGGTCCTGCAGCGCCCGGGGGAACCAGGGATGAACTCCCTCCTGCCCCCAGGCTCTCCTCCTCATCCTAGAATCAATCGATGGGATTCAGTTACAGAAATATTTATTAAACACCGACTATATGCCAAGTTATAAAAACCTGGGACAAGATGGTAAACAAAGCAGGACAGTAAACAAAATATATTAACCCCTGCCTTTCAGGAACTGGCATTCTAGTTAGGTGAGGGAGATGATAAACAAAAAATAAGCAAATGATCTAGGCTAGTGCTGCCCGATAGAAATAGAAGGGAAGCCATGAATGTAATGTTTAATTTTGTAGTAACCATGTTAAGATGGTAAAAAGAAACACATGAAATTAACTTTAATTTTTTTTTTTGAGACCGAGTTTCGCTCTTGTTGCCCAGGCTGGAATACAATGATGTCGACTCACCACAACCTCTGCCTCCTGAATTCAAGCAATTCCCCTGCCTCAGCCTCCCAAGTAGCTGGGATTACAGGTATTCACCACCACTCCTGACTAATTTTGTATTTTTGGTAGAGATGGAGTTTCTCCATGTTGGTCAGGCTGGTCTCGAACTCCCGACCTCAGGTGATCCGCCCGCCTTGACCTCCCAAAGTGCTGGGATTACAGGCGTGAGCCACCGCGCCTGGCCAATTTTAATTTTTTTTTTTAAGGAACCGGGTCTTCTTAAAGGGTTCCTTAAGGAACCAGGTCTCTACTTTGTGGTCCAGGCTGGAGTTCAGTGGTGCGATCATACCTCACTGCGGCCTCCAACTCCTGATGCTCCTGCCTCAGCCTTCCAAAGCCCTGAGATTACAGGCGTGAGCCACTGGGCTTGGCCAAAATTAACTTTAATAATGTATTCTATTTAATCCAATATATCCAGATGTTACCATTTCAACATGTAATCAATATACAAAAAACTATTGAGTTTTTCTTTTTCTTTTTTCTTGTACTAAGCCTTGTAAATCCAGTGAGTACTTATACTTCCAGCACATTTCAGCTCAGCCTGAACACATTCCCAGCACTCAGTGGCCACATGTGCCTAATGGCTATAGCAATGGGCAGCAGAGTCTTGATGTTAGATGTGGGCTGTGGAACATAAGGAAAGTAGAGGCGGGCAAAGGGGCTGGGATAGGAAGCGCTAAGTGGGGGTGGTCTGCCCTGGGCAGCCCTGACCGGGTGGTGAGGACAGGAGTCGGGCCACAGATAAGACCTGCAGATTACCTGCAATCTGAATCCAGGCTTGGCCACTGGCCTTCGCAATTCACCTGACCTTGCTGAATAAGGGCATTTTCCTCCAGTGTGGATTGGAGTTATGCATCTGAGGCTATGAGGCACTCATTAAATGTTATCCTTATCTCACCTGTCTGCAACAGTAGGCAGGGCACAGGCCCCCAATCTCAGAGTCACATCCTTTCCACCCGCAACTCTTATGGCCACCAAAGGCGGCCTATGCCCCACCCCACCCCCAGACCCTCCATCTTTTATCCATTTCTACTCCTTGCTACAGCAAGATACTTAACCTTCTCAGGCTTCTGTTTCACTACGTAGTAGGTGCTTTAAGCTCTTCAAAGAAAAGCATTGTAGACTTCCAGAAGACCAAGCCACCCTCTTAAGATGGACCCAGGCCAATGCTGAGGTGGGTGGGGCCAGCAGGTTCCAGGTGCCAACCCCACCACACCTCTTTGGGAACTGGGAGAAAAACCGGCCCTCTTTTCCGGAGGTTGCGGTGAGCCGAGATCACGCCATTGCACTCCAGCCTAGGCAACAAGAGCAAAAATCTGTCTCAAAAAAAAAACGACTGGCCCTCTTTTCTGCCCACAACAGCCATCCTACCCTCAAAGCCCCTTCCAGCCAAGGACAAAAATGATATGAAAGGATGCATCTGAAATGCGCACAGATCCCAGGGAGCAGGGGTGGAGGAGAGGGCCCCAAGTCAAGAAGCTGCTTCGAGAGGAGCTGTTGATCACTGTTATACACTCCACCTCCACCTGGGCTGGTAGGCAACAGGCCCACAAACACAAGAGAAGTATTGGGATCAACAACCAGCCCTTCCTGGGGGACCTGTGGGACCAAGATTGAGACTGCAGCAAGGCTGGAGGTGGGAGATGAAAGCAGGCCCAGAAGTGCCCAGACAAGCAGCAGCAGGACCAGCCTTGGGATGCAGACCCGCCCTTGCCCCTCACCAAAAGCCGGGGATCTCAACAGGCCCCCTGTATGATGACACAGAAACCTGAATGTCAGCAGCTTCTGCCTGACACTGCCCATGGCGAGCTCCACTGCTCTTCCAGGGAGTCCCGGGCAGCTGCCAGCAGGGAAGGCCCTGGAGTTTCTCTACTCGCTAGCTTACCAGTCTCCCTTACAGATCCCACCCCAGACTGCAAGGCATGCCCAGTTCCCAGTAGCTGTATTTCCCGCCATCCAGCAGACCTCAGAGGGAAGGCAGGAGTTGGGAGGTGTCCCAGCCTGGGCTGGCCACCAGATTCACGCTGCTCACCCTCTAGGCCACTCAGGTATTCTAGAGACCCCCTAGTGGCTGGGTTCCTAGAAAGTAAGAAAATAAAGAGGCTCCAACCCAATTTACAGCGAGGACTAACTGGGTCTTAGAGGGTATATCGACCCCCGGGATTTATGGGTGGGGGAAAGACCTGAGGACTGGGTGAGCAGGGAGCAGGAGAGGAGGTTGGCGTGGAAGAGGGAGCCAGCTGGGCCGCTCCCCACCACCATCTCCTAGCCAGATTCCAGACCAGCAGGCTTGCCCAGCTTGGCCTGCCTCCCTCCTCCGCTCTCCCACCAGTGGCTACCTCCCCTCCCCCACTCTGCTTTCCTCCCCTCCCCCAGCTACCCACTTCCTCTACCCCTCCCCCAGCCCTTTTCACTCTCATTCAACCATCCATTCACCAAACTTTTGCTGAGCGCCAAGTTCCCCTTAGGCCCTGGTGCGAAGCTTGTGGGTGTGGAGAAGAACAAAACAAAGCCTTGGAGGCTTCCCACAAATCTCCAGCTTGGTGTTGGCCCCTTTCCCCTAGCCCACCTCCACCCCAGCCCAGACCCCCACCCCTCGACCTCCACCCGGCTCTCAGTTCCATCTCCTGACTTTGGCCCACAGCTTGTGGGGCTGTATGTCCCACCCCAGGTACCCCTGTGCTTCTGGTTTCAGGCAGGCAGCGTACCCTCCTGCCCCTTCTAGGACGGAGACCCCAATACCATACTCAGCCCTGAGAAAGGTTCGGGGTGAGGACGCAGGGTGGCCTGGAGTCCTGGTCTCACATGACTCCCTAATCAGGACAGTGTCCCCTAGCCGTGACACACCTTCAGTAAATGGTGCAGCCTGTAGAGGCAGAAGGAAATGACCCAAAACTCATGCAAACCCAGACAGCGGTGGGAGGGAGCCTGCCCACAGCTAATGATGGAGAACAGTCAGGCTTGGAGGCTCAGGGCAGCCAGACCTGGGGTCACTGTTCCCCCTCCACAGCCCACAACACATTCCCACCTGGCTTAGAAAGCAGGAAAGAGGCCAGGTGTGGTGACTCACGCCTGTAATCCTAGCACTTTGGGAGGCTGAGGTGGGTGGATCACTTGAGGTCAGGAGTTCACGACCAGCCTGGCCAACATGGCGAAATTCTGTCTCTGCTAAAAATACAGAAAAATTAGCCAGGCGTGGTGGTGCAAACTTGTAATCCCAGCTACTCAGGAGGCGGAAACATAAAAATTGCTTGAACCCCTGCCAGGCGCCGTGGCTCACGCCTGTAATTCCAGCACTTTGGGAGGCCAAGGTGGGTGGATCACGAGGTCGGGAATTCCAGACCAGCCTGGCCAATATGGTGAAACCCTGTCTCTACTAAAAATACAAAATTAGCTGGGCATGGTGGCACGCGCCTGTAATCCCAGCTGCTTGGGAGGCTAAGGCAGAAGAATCGGTCAAACCCGGGAGGTGGAGGTTGCAGTCAGCCAAGATCACACCACTGCACTCCAGCCTGGGTGACAGAGCAAGACTCCGTCTCAAAAAAAAAAAAAGAATTGCTTGAACCCAGGTGGCAGAGGTTGCCCTGAGCCAAGATCATGCCACTGCACTCCAGCCTGGAGCCTGGGTGACAGAGTGAGACTCTGTCTCAAAAACAAAAAAGAGGCTGGGCTCGATGACTCACACCTGTAATCCTAGCACTTTGGGAGGCCAAGGTGGGCAGATCACGAGGTCAGGAGTTCGAGACCAGCCTGACCAACATGGTGAAACCACGTCTCTACTAAAAATACAAAAATTAGCCAGGTGTGGTGCCGCAAGCCTGTAATACCAGCTACTCGGGAGGCTGAGGCAGGAGAATCGCTTGAACCTGGGAGGTGGAGGTTGCAGTGAGCTAAGATCGCGCCACTGCACTCCAGCCTGGGTGACAGAGTGAGACTCCATTTCAAAAAAAAGAAAAAAAAAAAAAGCAGGCAAGAAATAGAAACAAGAGAAATAAGTTAAAGACCATATGAGAATCCCCTGAAACTTCAGTCAGTGCCTGTTCCCTAGTGGGTGTGACATGGGTAGCAGCAGTGGCTAAAGTTACAGGACTTGACCCCCCACTTCCTAATGCTGGCTAGTGAGCTGACATGGACTTCCAATCCTGGTGTGTGGCCTGGGAGGCAAACCCAGCCCAGGCCTCAAGCTGGATTCCAGAAAACACGCCAGCACCTGGGTAATGGGGTCACATGTGTGTGCAGTAGCCATCCTAACAGGCTTCCTTCTACCGACTCACACGAATGGGGCTTTCACAGGCTACACAGCTTAGCAGTGCATGTGTTTTCAGCTGGTCCTGGGTGGAAAGGGGCATTGTGTTTAGGGGCATTTTACCTGCAGATCCTGTAACATTGGACTGTGGACTGCACGTTACTCAGACCAAAGGGAAACGATTTTGTTCCACAAAAAGCCAAAATCTTGCACTCATCCAGCCCAACTCACAGTCTGGTGAGCTGCCACCACTGCCTGGTCACCAACAAGCAAACCAGCCAGTCTGCCCCAACCAAAGGGACAAAGTGGTTGTTGTCAGATGGCTGCCAGCTCCTGTGACTAAACCTGAGATCAAGTGAAAAAAACAATTTCCTGGGCCGGGCGCCGTGGCTCATGCCTGTAATCCCAGCACTTTGGGAGGCCAAGGTGGGCGGATCACCTGAGATGAGGAGTTCAAGACCAGCCTGACCAACATGGGGAAACCTTGTCTCTACTAAAAATACAAAATTAGCCAGGCGTGGTGGCACATGCCTGTAATCCCAGCTACTTGGGAGGCTGAGGCAGGAGAATCACTTGAACCTGGGAGGCAGAGGTTGGGGTGAGCCAAGATCGCTCCATTGCACTCCGGCCTGGGCGACAAGAGCAAAACTCCACCTCAAAAAAAAAAAAAAGCGCCTATCTCTGGAAGGTGCAAAAGCCTTCCCACCTGTCTCAGGCTTGGCCACCCTGCCATTCCCATGATGATTGCTGGGTTCCCTGACCTCTTCTTTGCCTTGAGGTTTGGGGACAGATGCCCTGTGGCTTGGCCTTTGCGGATAACAGAAACCACTCTGGCTAATCATTCTTCATTCAACGCATTTTTTTTTTTTAGTTTGAACACTACGCTAGGCCCTAGGGATACCCCAAGGAACACAAAAGATAAAATTCCGTAACCTAATGGAGCTGGCTTTCCAGTGGAGGGAACTACACAGAAAATACCACACATATTTATACTCGATAGCAGTTAAATAGATGAGTTTATTTATGTCAGAAATTGATAAGCGTTACAAGAGAAAAAGCATGATCAAGTGGATGAGGGATTGTAAGGGAAGATGTACAGGTTGTTTGTTTGAGACAGAATCTAGATCTGTCCCCCAGGCTAGAGTGCAGTGCCCTGATCTCGGCTGACTGCAACCTCCGCCTCTTGGGTTCAAATGATTCTCGTGCCTCAGCCTCCTAAATAGCTGGGATTACAGGCATGTGCCACAACGGCTGGCTAATTTTTTTGTATTTTTAATAGAGACAGGGTTTCATCATGTTGGCAAAGCTTATCTCAAACTCTCAAGTGATCTGCCCACCTCAGCCTCTCAAAGTGCTGGGCCTGGCTAGAGATGTACAGTTGTAAATAGTGTAGATGAGTAACACTGAACAGAGACCTGAAGGCAGTGAGAGGGCAAGCCCTGAGGACATCAGGGGAAAAGCATGCCAGGCAGAGGGCACAGCAAGTGCAAAGGCCCTGTGGCGGGCTCATGCCTGGCAGGCCTGGGGAACATCAAGCAGCCCATGTGGCTGAAGCAGAGAGAGCAACAGGTAGGAGATGAGGTCAGAGGGCAGACTGCAGGGCCTTGGAAGCCTCTCTTTTTACTGTATGAGATGAGACACCCTGGAGGAATCTGAGCAGAGGAGAAACATGCCTTAGGTTTCATGTAGAGAGATTGAATGCCAAGAATTAGGTGCTTACAAAACCATTGGAAGAACTGGAGGAGCCGGCTCCATGCTGGGCCCACTGGAACATGATTGAACTGCCAGCCTGGCCTCTGCCCTGATGAGGAGGGTACAGAATCAGGAGGCCCCACGGGCATGGTTGAGATCTGATCTAGGGTCAGGAGGCCTTGTGCCACTGCACCTGCCTCTTGAACACCATGAAGCTAGTGATTAGATGCTGGATGTCTTGTAGAAAACCCGTATCTCCACAGCCCACACAGCAATATTTCCCTCTGCACTTCCTCACAGCAATATTTCCCTCTGCACTTCCTCCCACCAAATTTCACTTTATTATTTTTATTTTTTTTGAGACGGAGTTTCGCTCTTGTTGCCCAAGCTGGATAGCAATGGCACGATGTTGGCTCACCACAACCTTTGCCTCCCGGGTTCAAGCAATTCTCCTGCCTCAGCCTCCCGAGTAGCTGGGATTACGGGCATGCACCACCATGCCCAGCTAATTTTGTATTTTTAGTAGAGACGAGGTTTCTCCATGTTGGTCAGGCTGGTCTCGAACTCCCGACCTCAGGTGATCCAGCCGCCTCGGCCTCCCAAAGTGCTGGGATTACAGGCTTGAGCGACTGCGCCCAGCCACTTTATTATTTTGTTTATGTTTTTGAGACGGAGTCTTACTCTGTCGCCCAGGCTGGAGTGCGGTAGCATGATCTCAGCTCACTGTAACCTCTGCCTCCAGGGTTTAAGCAGTCCTCCTGCCTCAGCCTCTCGAGTAACTGAGATCACAGGCATGCGCCACCATGCCTGGCTACGTTTTTTGTAATTTTAGTAGAGATGGGTTTCACCATGTGGTCAGGCTGGTCTCAAACTCCTGACTTCAAATGATCCTCCCGCCTCGGCCTCCCAAAATGCTGGGATTACAGGCATGAGCCACTGTGCCTGGCCCCAAATTTCTTTCTTTGATGGAACCCAATTCATATCCAAAACTTGCTTCAAAGGAATGTAGGGCATGGTGCATACCAAATACCTGCCCACCGCATCTCTCACAGGCCCAAGTCCAGCCCCATGCCAAACACCCTACTGCTCCCACCTGCCTGCTTCCTAGGCCTCCTGGGATGCTCCACCCACACCCTGGGCCCCTGCCCTGTGCTTCCTCAGGCTGGCATTACAGCATGTACCACGCTGGTGGAATTGCCTGTGTACTTGTCTATCCCCTCGTGCACCCCACTCAATGCAAGCCCCTTGAGGACAGGAATGTAGCTACCCATTTCAAGGCCACACCCTTGGTGGTGGTACGTGGAGGGATCCATCTGGCCAGGCTGGGAGGAGGCAGCAAGCCCATCCAGCCTGGGAATAGAAGCAGTAGAGCGGAAAGAGGCAAAATCCTTAGCTATTTATATTTAACTGCCCCAAGACTT
This sequence comes from Homo sapiens, assembly GCF_000001405.40. NCBI lineage: Eukaryota > Metazoa > Chordata > Mammalia > Primates > Hominidae > Homo > Homo sapiens. The sequence continues at coordinate 34,232,421 of NC_000006.12, forward strand.
GTTTGGTTATTTTTTTGAGAGGGAGTCTCACTCTGTTGCCCAGGCTGGAGTGCAGTGGCGCCATCTTGGCTCACGGCAACCTCTACCTCCCAGGTTCAAGTGATTTTCCTGCCTCAGCCTCCCGGCTAGCTGGGATTACATGCACGCGTCACCAAGCTCGGCTTATTTTTGTATTTTTAGTAGAGACGGAGTTTCCCCATGTTGGTCAGGCTGGTCTCGAACTCCTGACCTAAGGTGATCCGCCCACCTCAGTCTCCCAAAGTGCTGGGATTACAGGCTTGAGCCACCACACCCGGCCAAGACCTGGTTTTAATACCTGTGAAATGGGGCAACAGTATCACTCACCAGTAGGGATGTGGAGGATCTGAGAGAACATGTGCATTCAGTATATGCTTATCAACTCCACTCTCTCCTTAGATTTCTTCAGGGGTTGGAGAGGAGCTGGGCTTCCTTGGGGATTTAGCCCTGAAGAAGTAAGCTGACAAGTCCATGGCATCTTGGGGCCATGCAAGGTGGGTCATTAGCTCACAGTAGGAAGGCGGAGAGGGCCCTGATTCCTGGGCCCTCCTTTTCACTTGAGAGTTTTTCCCTCGAAAGTTGGAAGCAGCAGAGGCCCTCCTCCCCTTCTAGGCCTGCCAGCCTTGCTGGCAGCAGAACTTGTGGTCAGCAGAGCCTGGAAGCCTGATCCTGCCAGATGACCAGATGCACTAGTAGCTGGGTGACTCTTGAGGAGAGTGGTCAAACATTGTGTACCAGGGTAGCCCCACCTCCTACCGGCCTGGGTCAGTCCTGGTTGATAGGGGCCAGGTCAGGTTTATGCCTGTTGTCTGGCCATAAGTATTAATAGTGCCGCTTTCACTCTGAAGTGCCCTGCTCGTCTGCTGAAGCTGAGCATACACATCCTGTGATCCAATAATTCCTCTCCTAGGCACGTACGCAACAGAAATTTGCACATCTACTCACCTATATTCTAGAACATTCATGGCAGCACTATTCATAATAGCCCCCCGCCAGAAACTATCCAAATGTCCTTCAACAGAATGGATATAAAATTGTGGTACATTCATATCACATCACTAAGCAGCCCTGAGAATGAACATTCTGCAGCCACACACAATAGCATGGATGAACCTCACAGACATAAGGGTAAGCAAAGGAAACTAACCCAGGAGAATACATAATGTAAGACTCCATATCCCTACGTGTGCACGAACAGGTGAAACGAAGCGCTGCTTAAGTTGAGATGGTGGTTACACAGGGGTACTGGAGATGTTGTATTTCTTGGTCTGCATGCTGGTGACACAAAGGTGTTCACTTTGTGAAAATGCATCAAGCTGAATACTTAATAGAACTAAATGGAACCATCCACATTAGTTTTTTCACCTACTCATCTAGAAAATGAGCTTAAGAGTCAGCGTCCCAAAATATAAAGTTGACTCAAACTCCCCATTCCCTGGACATTCCCATTGGGTTCACTGAAGCTCACTGGGTCGTCCTTGAGCAAACTGTATAGACTGACTCCAATAACAGAAAATGCTTCCTGTGGGGAAGACGGGTTCTGGTATCGACCAACTCAACCCCCCGGGCCTTGACCATGTCCTTGGCCTGGAATAGCTCCCTCTTCCTGCTTGCCCTGTCCCCAACTCCTCAGCCACCCACCTATCCAAGTCTCACGAAGGCCTGCTCAAGCCCGTCTCCTCCAGGACTTCCCTGACCACCCTGGGCTCCCATCCTCTCCTCCTGTATTTCCTCCTAAGTCTGTAAGCGCCTGACCCCTTGGTCCAAGTTTCAAGAGTGCAGGGGACTTTGTTCATTAATTGTACCCCAAGAATTTGGCCCAGTTCCTGCTACAGAGTAGGTTCTCAATAACTACTGAATGAAATGTTTTCTAACATGGCATCTCCTGTACTGCTATTCAGTTTTCTCTAGTGCAGGCCTGATTCTGATTTCCCTAGACGTGAAATTCGCTGGGACAAGGACTAGATCCTACCCATCTTTTTATCTCTACCACTCGCTCTTCTGCTTAATACTTATTTAAAGGGGAAAGAAAGGAAAGACAGTGAATTCAGGGCATTGACAATCCAGAAAGCGTGGAGGTGGGGGTCAGTGAGTAGAGAGTTATTTGGATTTCAAGGGTGTGGGTAATCCTGGAGAGGAACAAGCTACTATATTTATTTGCCTACGAATTTATTTATACCTGCCTCCTTCCAGAAAGGGTTTGAGGTGGCTGACAAAAATACACACAATACAAGGTAAAAAACAAGTCGCTGAGGAAATCAGGCCGAGAGGAAAATAAGAGTAGGAAAAATAAGATCGAGTCGGCTTGCTACAAGTGGGCCAAAAAGTTGGCCAAGTTTTCCACAGCCCACTCGAGGCGGAAGTCCCTCTCCCCTCCCCGTCTCAGGGGCGGCCACACGTCCCACACGGACGGGGAGAGATGTACCCGAGAGAGAGGGCGGACAGGACCCTCTCCGCACCTCCCCAGCCGCCAGGCCGCCAGCCCGGTGCCCGGGCCTAGCAGCCTCCGCGGCCTTGGAGAGCGCGAAGTGGAGGGGCGCGCGGCTCTGGGGGGCAGCCCGAGCCCAGACCTGGGTCCCAAGGTGCTGGCGGGGAGCCTGTGACCTGGGACGGGGTGCTGGAGGCTGAGGAATCGCGCCTCCATGCCACGCCGCAGAGGTTCCCGCGCTCGAAACCGAACGCCCTCCAGCCACCACCACTCACGGCCTACTAAGCGCGCGCTCCGGGCCCAGGGCACAAAGATGGAGGGAGCGGCGCGATCCACCCGCCCCACCCCCACCCACCAGACAAAGGGGCAGGCCGCCCCTCCCCCAGCCTTCTTCGCGGGCCCCGCCGCCCTCTGCTCCCCTCCCCTCGGGCCGCCCTTTGGTGACTTCCTTTCCCCTCCAAGGGCGGCCCCGGGACTTCTCAGGAACTGCGTTTCACCTGGACGTGGGGCGGGGAGCCGGCGCGCAGAGGGCGGCCTCCGGGCCCACCCCTAGGCCGAGCCGGCCCCAGGCCCGCGCCCTCCCCTTTGAACCCGCGCTCCCGGCCCCTGGCGCCTTCCCGCCCAGGCGCCCCCGCCCCCACCCGGTCAAGCACGTGCTGCCCGGGCCCCGAGCGCTTCCCGCCGCACGGGTGGGGGCTGGGCCCACCCCCCGCCCGCTCCCCACCCCCACCGGAAACATTCCTGCCACATTCCTGCAACTGCAAGGCCCAGCCCGCCGCTCCCCACCCCGCCTCCGCGCCGGGCCCAGGGCTTTCCTGCGTCCCCTCCACCGCCGGCTCGCCCCCTGAGGAGGGGGCTGGGCCAGGGCCTCGGCTGACCGGGGAGGAAGAAGGGGAGCAGAGAAAAACATGAGTCACAGCCGTGTGTCACTGGAGCGCATTTCAATTCCCTGCATCACAGGAGGTGTGGAAGGCCGCCTCGGGGACCGGGCGCGGGAGGTGCGCCCGAGAAGGCCCCGGGCCGGCCTGCAGGGCGCGCCGCTCCGCCTGCGCCCTTTCCTCCCCCACCGCCCTCCCCGCCATCTTCCCCTTTGGCTTCCTTCTCGCTCGGTGCAACAAGTCTTTGTTAAGCCGGGCGCCGGGCGGGCCAGGCGTGGCGGAGATGGCCTGCGTGCTCGGCCCCTGCCCTCAAAGCGCTTCCAGGCGACCTCTGGCCCACCTTTTATTTTTATTTACAGTCCCAACGGAAGGGCCCAGGTCCCCAAGTGGGCCTGCGTATCTCCAGAACACCATCTAAGTCACCTCAAGGTATGAAGCCTCCCTTGGGTGTACCTGCCAACGAGCCAATCGTTGGTTTCGCTGGAAGGCTCCACCTTGATCATGGCTCGCTGGTGGCCATTAATAAAACACTTTGGATTTCACAAGTTTCACGTTTGAATTTCACAAGACTTGTATCTCACCAATCAGCCACACGCGGGTTGACACTGAAAGGCACATGCTGACACCTGTCCGCCCAGGGGAAATCTACCATCTCTCTATTTTAGTTAGGGGGCGGCGTGTAGGCCGCGGAATTCTCTAACGAGCGCGTTTCTCTTCACCCCCTGGGCCCGCGTGGACCCCCGTCCACCCCCACACGCCCTGGGGGGGGGGCCGGGCCCACACGCCCTGGAAGCCCCTAGAGGTGACTCTCCCTGGGACCCCTGTACCAGGGAGGAAGGATACCGCCACCCGTCACCACCCCCCGCCAGAAGCTCCTTCGTGACTCCTCTGCGCGTGCCTTCCCACACCTCCTCCGTCCGGGACTGCGAGGAGTGGGCGGTCGACTCGAGTTCGCAGCCCAGGCCTCCCACACGCCCCTCCCTGCCGTCAGCACCCACCCGCGCGGCAGCGGCGGCGGCGGCTGGCGGGCGGCCGCCCTTTTAAATCCCCGGGCTCATTTGCATGGCCCCGCCCCCTGAGTGACACGGCTGGCGCGGGCGGGCCCGTCCCCCCTGCCCCTGGGTCGCTCTTTTTAAGCTCCCCTGAGCCGGTGCTGCGCTCCTCTAATTGGGACTCCGAGCCGGGGCTATTTCTGGCGCTGGCGCGGCTCCAAGAAGGCGTGAGTTCGCGGCCGCTCCGGTGGCTTCTTTTTTTTATATCTATAATTTAATTAAATTATTTATTTATTGAGGCCGCGCACGGGCCGTGCCCAGCTTCCTGCCCCTCGCCATCCTTCGGGGGAGGGGGAATATTTTTGTCCCCCCGCCTGGCTGTGACACATAAATACCCCGCGGGGGCCTGGGCGGCGAGCACGCGGCGGCGGCGGTCTCTGAGCGCCTCTGCTCTCTCCCGGTTTCAGATCCGCATTTGCTACCAGCGGCGGCCGCGGCGGAGCCAGGCCGGTCCTCAGCGCCCAGCACCGCCGCTCCCGGCAACCCGGAGCGCGCACCGCAGGCCGGCGGCCGAGCTCGCGGTGAGTCGTCCCCGGGGCCCGCGGCGGCGGCGGCGGAGGGGGGCGCCCGCGCCCCCGCCCGCACGTCGCCCCTCCTGCGAGCCGCCCGGGGCTGCAGCGCGCGCCGCCGGCTTTATTCCCAGGCCGGGGCGGCGCGAGCCGGCGGCGGGGGAGGGCCGCGCGGCGCGGGGGCGGGCGGCGGGGCCCGGCGGCGCGGGGAGGACGCCCGCACCCCTTCCCCCGCGCCGCGGGCGCCCTGCGGGGGGCGGGGACCCGGGAAAGGCGCGCGGTGGGGGAGGGGGCGCGCAGCTGCGGCGAGCGCGAGTTGTGCACCCGGCGGAGCCCGGAGGAGCCCGGCGCACCTCGCGCGGCGGCCGCTCCCGCTGGAGCCGGAGCCCGAGCCCGAGCCCGGGCCCGGGTGAGGGGCGGGGAGAGACACGGGCTGCGGCGCGGCAGGAGAGTGGGGGGTCGGGCGCCCCCCGCAGCTCAGGGAAGTTCTGGAAGTGAGGGAGATGGGGAGGAACCCCCAAATTCGGCCCTACGCCCTCTCGGCCTTTCTCTCGCGCCCCCTCCGCAGATGAGGCCGGAGCGCGGGCCTGGGTTTGGGGCTTCACCCCGACCCCACCTCTGGCCTGGCCCGCGCCTCTTCAGCCCCAGGGGCCGGGCCTGCCCTCCGCCCCCACAAACTGGTTTCGCTGCTTTGCTGGGCTCTGTTGGAACTAGTCCCTTTGACTCCCCGTTTCTATTTTATTTTCTTCTGGGGCTTTATTTTGCGGGGAGGGGACGGAGGGAGGGGGCTTTCTTCCTCTCCCCCGCGCCCGCGCGCGCCAGGTTTCCTGCCCCAAGGCGGGCTTGGGTGCCCCCTCTGGCAGGAAGTGGGGCCGGGTGCACCCGCGTGGCGGTGCATGCGGTCGGGGTGCGCTGCTTTCCCGCGCCTGCAGGAGCGGCCTGCGCCCCTCCCCCCGCGCGCCCTGGCCCCGGGTCCCGCCGGCCGGCCTGCAACGGCCGGGCGCAGACACTTGCAGAGTCACCCTCGGGCCGGGTCTGGAGCCTGATGCCTCGGGGGTTTAGCCCTAGCCGCTAGGCGGGTAGGCAAAGTGTCGGGTTGAAAGGGTCTCCGGGAACCTACTTCTTCCTGCTCGCCAACTTGCTGTGTGACCTTAGGCAACTCAAGGCTTCTCTGGGCTACTTTTTTACGGGGGACGGGGAAGAAAACAAGGGAACCCCCAAGATAATTTCCTAGGGCCTTTCCTGCAGAGTCCTTAAGTATTTGAGGAGCACAGTTTGCATGCACAGTGTATGGAGGAGACAGGCTTGAGGCCCAAGCGGGCTTATTACAAAGTGAGGGATTGGGGTTAGGCCCTAAATGTAGTTCCTCCAAGACAGGCCTCTGATGTTCAGAAACAGGTGGAAAAGACGAACGTTTCTTGGCCTCACTGGAAAGGGCCTCGGGCCTTCATTTAGTTCGTGGGGGGTTGGCTGAGGGGATTAAAGGGTCCCCAGCAGCAAGAGGTGGGGGGAGGCACCAGATGGTATGAGAGCTTCCAGGGAGACCCGCCAAGATCTCCAGGCAGGCCGGGCCAGGCTCTCTGGGATTCCGGACTGGCTTCGCCCAACTGGAACCCCCTCGATGAGGGGGCCCCAGGCAGACCTTATATGAGGTCAGCACTCGTTTAGTTGATTAATTTTGATGTTTAGTTTGAAGGGGGACCTGTGGTGTAATATAAGATTCTAATCACTGCCTGTAATTGCAGAGCAGGCCAAGCCACTAATGACGGAGCAGGATAAATCACCAACCACCTTGTTTAAAAGGGTCTCCAAGTCTGAAACATTATAAGATAGAATAATTACCAAAGTCCTGCTGTCTGGAGGGTCTCTTGATGCTTGAAAATGGAGGTCCTGGGCCCTCTAGAAATCACAAGTTTGCAAAAATGTTTTTTTCCTCTCATTGGGGTAAAAACTCTTTTTCTTCTTTTTTTTTTTTCTTTTAAATTAGACATGGGAGTCCCACCGTATTGTCCAGGCTGGTCTCGAACTCCTGACCTCAAGCAGTCCTCCTGCTTTGGCATCCCAAAGTGCTGGGATTACAGGCATGAGTCACCTCACCTGGCCCATAAATCATTTTCAAATGGTCTAGTTCTTATTTTGGTTAGAGTGAAGATTTCTTTCTATTATTTTAAGTTTTTCTAAACTATTACCTAGTTTGATCCTTGAAGCAGTCAGGAGGTAGTTCAGGCAGGTACCTTATAATTACCTTGATCTTACAGATTGAGAGGGGTTCAGAAGTGGAGCCGCTTGTCCCACCCCTTACCATGGCAGGCAGGGATTGGTTACTGGAAAAATGTGTAGCCTAGGCCTCCGGCGTCTCATCCATCTGTAGCCTGGGGATAAGGACTAGGATGAAGATGTGGAGGACTGTCCTTTTTAAGCCTGTAATACAGGGTATTCCCAAATACAGGTTGCAGGCCCTCCTTCCAATGAGAAGTTTTAGGAAAACTCAAAATTGATGGGGTTAATTAAACCCCAACAGGCCTCTAAGAAGAAGGAAGATGCTAGAAAATGACCAAGAAGGTTTTAGGATGAGCCCTAAACCTCATCCTAAAGGATGAGGGCCAGCCAGGGTCTGTTAGGCGGTGCATTTCAGTTGGAGAATTCCCTACCCATCTGACAAAGTCCCATCTGACTCCAGTTGGGCAGAGGAGGGGTAAGGGGAAAGAGGAGGGTGGCCTTTGGCTTTGGGCTCACTTTCCTCCCCCACCTCACCCACTAGCTTCAACCATCTCCTCCCTCCCTCAATTATACCAATCTGAATTCTCCAGGGATTTACCCTGGGTGAGAACAGAGAAGAGAGCTGGTGGTGGGCACCACCCCTGGCTGTGTGATTGGCTCTTTTTGGTCCTGAGTCTTGCACCTTGCCAGATAGGCAATATTGTCAGTGAGGTGGGCAGGGGATCAATGTCCATAGCTGCCAGATCGCAAGGTCTCATTCTTTCCATTTTCCCACTGAACTGCGTAGGCTGGATTTTCTCTTAAAGAGAAAGGGCAGCAGTTGACTACAGAAGGAGGGGATGCTGGCAATACGTCAGATCTCACCTCCCCACACCTTTGTCCCAGGGTGGCCTCACCCATGTAGCTAGGTCTGGGCTGGCTGTACCTCCTGGGACCCCCCCCACCACGCTGCACTGGGGCGGTGTTAAGGCAGGACAACAAAGAGCCCTTCTGAACAGGAGATAGATAAGAAGCTGATTAGGGCCAACGGCCCTTCCCCGCCCTTGGCAGCATCTGGGGGTGGGCAGACCCCTCCATCCTGGGCAGAGTAGGAGGCCTGGGGGCCCATGGGAGCACAGTTTTCTGCAGTGTGCCTTGAAGGTGTGGGTGATGAGGGGGTAGAAAGTGGCTGAAGCGAGATGTTTGTCTAAAAGCACTTTTCTGTCTCCCAGCATCCCAGCCATCACTCTTCCACCTGCTCCTTAGAGAAGGGAAGATGAGTGAGTCGAGCTCGAAGTCCAGCCAGCCCTTGGCCTCCAAGCAGGAAAAGGACGGCACTGAGAAGCGGGGCCGGGGCAGGCCGCGCAAGCAGCCTCCGGTGAGTCCCGGGACAGCGCTGGTAGGGAGTCAGGTGGGTGTCCAAACCTTTGCTTCACTTGGTTTACCCTTTGGGGCTAGGGAGGTGCCTGGAGTTTCATTCAGCAGGCGAGACCATGCATGGAGGGTGCAGAATGATTCTGCGCAGTAAGCGTGTGGGTGTGTCCTCCCACCTGTGTGTACTCCTGCCCCACTTGCAACCCTGGTCAGATCTCTATAGAGACCCCAGGAGAGAACCGGGGGCCGAGGAATTCAAGATAAATTCTGAAGCCAATGGCAAACAGTCCAAACCTAAAGCACCCCAGAGGTCACATGGCCAGTGCTTAAAACACTCGCCTTTTTCTTAATTTCCAATCCACTGTGGACCAGTAATTTTAAAATGCAGTAAAGACGAATGAACAAAAATGAACATAGAAGCCCAGGGTTTTTAATCATTAGATTCAGTGCACGTAAAATGATTTTTGTCAATTTGCTGTAAAGTTGCTGAATACTTATGGTCGATTCTTGTACTTCCTCATCCCAGGTGAGAAACGGGTGCCTGCGTGGGCCAGCACCTGTTTGTGCACAGGCCAGTTATGAGTAGTTCTGGAATGGGCATTGCCCCTGGCTCTTTAGATGGAAATTGAAGCCCAAGAAGTCAAAAATGTTGGGGAGTTGGTGGCAGTGACCCTCAGAACCCTGGTGCTGCTCTCCCCACAAAGTCCTCATAGAAGGATGAGGCTGCCAGCCTGGCGCTGTGGGGCACCCTAGGGAGCATGGCCATTTGGGCATGGGGGGGACCCCATATTGGCCTCTTACAGAGGCAGCTGTCACCCAAGTGAAGGGTGGCTGTTGGTGAAGCCCAGTTACTTCCCTTCCCTGGGAGAGAGGTAAGAGGAGTTGAGTTCGACCTCTGCCCCTTAAACATGATACAGGTTGTTCACCTGCAGGTTTTCCCTGTCCGTACGGTGGAGAGTGGTCTGTGCTGACCTGGGCCCAGGGAGACACGAGCTGTGAGGAGTCTGCTGTGTTGGAATTCAGAGCCTGGGGTGGGGTCATTTGTCCTCTTAGCCTAGCTCCCTCAGCCTCCCCTCCTACCCCACCTGTTAGCCATGGTCAGTGGGAGGTGTCAGGAGGGGTGCAGGGTTACTGGACCCTGGTTATAGACAGACCATGGGCGGCCCCCTAGGAAACAGTAGCTGGCGCGCCTTCACCACACACCTTATATGCATTATGCAGCAGCTTTTTATTCTATCTACGGCTTATTAAAATTTCAGTGGGAATGATGGCAGGGATCTCTGGAGTCCGGCTATAATTCCCCTTCTCTGGGGGCAGCCTGGATGGGCTCCAGGTTTGCAAGTGCAGGCAGGGAGTGTGTGTCCAGCATAGGTCATCTGAGAGGGTGGGCAGTGATCATGGCCCAGTGCTAGATAACCATACATTACCCATTTAATCTCCATGACACCCTGCAAGGGAAGTCTTCACCATTTATAGATGAGGAAACTGAGGCTCCAGCATTAAGTGTCCCACCCAAGATAAGTGTCAGAACTGAGACTTGGGCAGAGCCACCTAACTGTCTTTCTGTCCCCAGAATGCCTTTCCTAGGGGTCTTCTGGGCTCTTGTCATTTTGCATCTTAGAAACCTGCAGGGAAGCAAGGGGAGAGGTGGGAGGCACTTTGCAAAGATGCTCAAACTGGAGCTTTGGATCCTGAAGGGATTCCTAGGTCAGGGATGGTTTGTGGTTCTTGGTTCTTGCTGACTTAACCTTGTTGAGGAGGCAGAGGGCTGTGTCTTCTGAGGGGGTGGAAACAGGTGATGACTGTCCCTGACTACCCCCTCTGTCTTTACAGAAGGAGCCCAGCGAAGTGCCAACACCTAAGAGACCTCGGGGCCGACCAAAGGGAAGCAAAAACAAGGGTGCTGCCAAGACCCGGGTGAGACTTGAGATGGGACTACCCCTGGGTGGATGACTAGCAGAGGATCCTCTTGTTGGCACCATGGCCACGGCTGTGGGGAGGTCTGGGAAGGGGCTCAGTCATCTCAGTTGTGTACCCCCTTCCCTGGTACAGGGATGGCAGTGAGTCTTTGCTAACTGGGGAGAGTGGGGCGATGACTAAGGTCTTACTTCTGGGGGGTTGGTCCTGCCCAGGACACTGCGGAGATCAGGTCAGAAGTCCCACAGCTTTCCTGATCTAGAGAAGGGCAGAGTGGGGAGAATGGAGGGTCCCTGCCAGTCCCTGGGCTGAGAATGTTACCTTCTCTTGGGGTTCCCTGGAGCCTGAAGGGGTGGGGACAGGCAGCAAAGGCCAGATTCACAGTGACATTAGCCTTTCAGAAAAGTTGTTTTGTTTTTTATTTTATTTTTTCTAAGACACGACTCATATCCTCTGAGTCATGGGCGGAGGTGGGAGTAGGGGGCGTGTGTGTATGTCGAGGGGGCAAATGTGGCTGGCCAGTCATTGCCAGCTGGACTTGGGTGGGCCTGTTGGGTGAGAGTGTTGGGTCACCCTGAACAGGCAGGTAGGTCTGCCCCCCATCACTATTGGGCATCGGGTGAGCACTGATGAGCATTTTGGACTTAGGAGATATTTTCTCTAACCCTCTAGAAAACCACCACAACTCCAGGAAGGAAACCAAGGGGCAGACCCAAAAAACTGGTAGGTGAAGAAGCAGACTGCTGCTTGCCTCCTGGGCTCTTTTGAGTTGAGGGTGTTGAGTACACAGTACCTGATGCTATGCACCCCCTATGGAAAGGCTCTCCTTGACCTGCTGGGACATCAGATTTTACAGAAGTCCAGAGAGGGGAAGGTACCTGGCCTGGGCTGTGCCCATGAGAAGTGAGGGGTCCCAGGTATAAATCAGACCACATCCCCCTGCCCTGCCCTGCCCTAGTTGTGTGTGGGGGTCCCTCCCTCTCCTGCTCCTAGAATACTCAGAACTTCTAGGGGAGATCTTGGAAGTCATCTAGCCTGTGTCCCCCTCAATTAGAGATGAGGAAAGGAAGCCATAGGGGGAAGGTTTGTCCTTCCTATGAGCCTCTGCAGAAGAGAAACAGCGAAGGAGCTGGGCCCTGGGAGGGGTCGGTGCTGGAGTTCTGATGTGACCCACCACACTGCACTGGAGGGCACCATCCAATTCTGGGTCCCCAAACAGCTGGTGGAAAGGCTCGGTGGGCTGAGTCAAGAAGCTGCCTCTAGGGGGCCACTGCAGTTAGGGTCACCCCAGCCTTCCAGCTCCTGGCCCTCTCCTACCCCCAGCCTGCCCCCTCAAATCCCTGAAGCTGTCATTCCTTGAGCTGAGCCACTGCTGGGGTGGGGGGGTTAGGGGGTGCTGCTGGCCAGGCCCCAAGAGTGAGTAACAGGAAACAAGTTGTTTTGGAGTTTGTGCCTGGCACGGGGGCTGTAGCCCCGTGTGGTGTCCCGACATTCCCGCCCAGTGAGTGAGCCCCGGCGGCACACACTTCCCCTTCCTCCCCACCCCGGCCTAGGGTCAGCCCTCGGCCACCCCGGAGGGCCAGGGCACCACAGCACAGCATCTGCCCCTGTGGGCCAAGGACCTGGTTCCCCTGCACCCACCAGCGGGCTCTTGCACCTTCCAGCCACCCCTTCCCATTTCCTCCCCCAGCCACCTCTTCCCCCACCTCCTCTTCTCCCCTAGGGAGTCAGTCACATCCTGAAGCTCATTGCTGCCCTGAGCTCTGCCCTCCTGCCCTCCCTGGGCCTGGGGGCCAAGGGGGCTTGGCTCCTGGCTCTGGGTGAGAGCAGCATGTGTGTGGGGTTTTTTCCTCCTTTTAAATTCTTTTTATGAATGAAGCCGGGCCGTGGAGGTTGCTGAGTCACCCACACACTCAGCCCTGACTCATCCCTCTTCAGGAGAGCCAGGGAGTGCAGGGAGCGGGTGGGGCCAGCCTCTGGGGGTGGAAGAGGGGGACCGGGCCAGAGCTCACACCAACAACTGCCCACCTCACAGGAGAAGGAGGAAGAGGAGGGCATCTCGCAGGAGTCCTCGGAGGAGGAGCAGTGACCCATGCGTGCCGCCTGCTCCTCACTGGAGGAGCAGCTTCCTTCTGGGACTGGACAGCTTTGCTCCGCTCCCACCGCCCCCACCCCTTCCCCAGGCCCACCATCACCACCGCCTCTGGCCGCCACCCCCATCTTCCACCTGTGCCCTCACCACCACACTACACAGCACACCAGCCGCTGCAGGGCTCCCATGGGCTGAGTGGGGAGCAGTTTTCCCCTGGCCTCAGTTCCCAGCTCCCCCCGCCCACCCACGCATACACACATGCCCTCCTGGACAAGGCTAACATCCCACTTAGCCGCACCCTGCACCTGCTGCGTCCCCACTCCCTTGGTGGTGGGGACATTGCTCTCTGGGCTTTTGGTTTGGGGGCGCCCTCTCTGCTCCTTCACTGTTCCCTCTGGCTTCCCATAGTGGGGCCTGGGAGGGTTCCCCTGGCCTTAAAAGGGGCCCAAGCCCCATCTCATCCTGGCACGCCCTACTCCACTGCCCTGGCAGCAGCAGGTGTGGCCAATGGAGGGGGGTGCTGGCCCCCAGGATTCCCCCAGCCAAACTGTCTTTGTCACCACGTGGGGCTCACTTTTCATCCTTCCCCAACTTCCCTAGTCCCCGTACTAGGTTGGACAGCCCCCTTCGGTTACAGGAAGGCAGGAGGGGTGAGTCCCCTACTCCCTCTTCACTGTGGCCACAGCCCCCTTGCCCTCCGCCTGGGATCTGAGTACATATTGTGGTGATGGAGATGCAGTCACTTATTGTCCAGGTGAGGCCCAAGAGCCCTGTGGCCGCCACCTGAGGTGGGCTGGGGCTGCTCCCCTAACCCTACTTTGCTTCCGCCACTCAGCCATTTCCCCCTCCTCAGATGGGGCACCAATAACAAGGAGCTCACCCTGCCCGCTCCCAACCCCCCTCCTGCTCCTCCCTGCCCCCCAAGGTTCTGGTTCCATTTTTCCTCTGTTCACAAACTACCTCTGGACAGTTGTGTTGTTTTTTGTTCAATGTTCCATTCTTCGACATCCGTCATTGCTGCTGCTACCAGCGCCAAATGTTCATCCTCATTGCCTCCTGTTCTGCCCACGATCCCCTCCCCCAAGATACTCTTTGTGGGGAAGAGGGGCTGGGGCATGGCAGGCTGGGTGACCGACTACCCCAGTCCCAGGGAAGGTGGGGCCCTGCCCCTAGGATGCTGCAGCAGAGTGAGCAAGGGGGCCCAAATCGACCATAAAGGGTGTAGGGGCCACCTCCTCCCCCTGTTCTGTTGGGGAGGGGTAGCCATGATTTGTCCCAGCCTGGGGCTCCCTCTCTGGTTTCCTATTTGCAGTTACTTGAATAAAAAAAATATCCTTTTCTGGACTGGAGTCTCCTGTGGTGTGTGCCCCTAAAGCCTGGGGCAGGTAGGATGGGTGACACTTGTGTTCTGGCCCCCATCCTTCAGGCTGCAGGAAGGGAGGGGAAATAGCACTGGAATCACCTCCGGGGAAGGTCATTTTAAGCCTCTTGATGAAATCAAAACCCCTAGCCACAAAACATTTTATTTACAAAATATATACTGAATACTATACATCTGGCCCCATCACCATGGAAACAACTCCAAAGCCTGCCTGGGGATTTGTGCCCAAGCCCAGCCCAGGAGGGCTAGAGAAAGCAAAGGTGTCTACCAGCCGCCCCCATCCCAGAAGGAAAGCCTCTTCCCATGAGTGCCTGTGGGTGGGCGGTGAGCTCAACACCCACAAAGGGCAGAAGGCCTGGGGGCAGTGAGGTGATGGTGAGGGCATGGGAAGCAGATGCTGCTGAGGGTGGGTGGAGGGAGAAATGGAGACCCAGCACCCAGCAGGGGGAGCCAGGTGACAGCAGGGGAAGCAGATGGCAGGGCCCCAGGCAGTCCAGGACCCCAGGCTCTGAAGGGTGGGGCAAGGGGGTCAGGTCACGTCTTGACATCCAGCAGTGGCATCCGCTTGTGCTGGTAGCCACTCTGCCAGCCATGTACCACCTGTCGGGGAGGAGACCACACCACAAGGCTGGGCTGTGTTCCCTGGGAGTCTGCAGCACCCAGTTACAGCCCAAGTAAGCAGAACCAGGCTCTGGTTTCAGTGTGGACGAGTATGGCTGGGAACAGGGCTGACTCCCACCTTGCCTCATTCTCCCCCTGGCCCCCAAGTGCTCACCTTGGGGTCTCCCATGTCAGAGAGCAGCTCCTGCTCAGCCTCATGCAGTTCCTCAGCTGGGTCATAGCTGTACATGGGGAGCAGGTGATGGCGCAGCCGGTCCACCCTGGGGAGCAGGGGAGGGGACTCAGCTAGGAGGTCCCCCCAACCCTCATCAAACACCTGGCTGCCTCGTCTCCTCCCTTTCCCAGGCAGGGGCAATTCCAGTGGGTGCCTTTTGGGACACACTATACCTCCAAGAATACAACCCTGATTCTACAAAGGGGCTTTCCCCAGTGAGTAACCTGAGGCTGGGGCAGGGAAAACAAATTTCAGGCTTGTATCAGGATGGCTGAGGGACATCTTACAGAAAAGTCAGAGCCTATGAGCAGGAATTTCAGAACGGGTGTGGGGTTAGGGCGGGTGGGGGACAGGGACACTCACCGCTTTTTCTTCTGTACATACATTACCTGCAACAGAGACACAGCACTGTGGGGGCTGCTGAGCCCAGGAAGGCCCACAGGCAGAGAGAGGCCCACCTCCACACCCTTCACTCCCTTAACAGGACAGTGGGGACTCTGTGCAGACTGGACCAGGCCCACCCAGCCCCTGCCTTAGCAAAGCTGTGGGTGTCTGTGTGTATATGAGGGCTCCTTACCACAGCCACCACCACCCCGACCAGGGTGATGAGGAAGAAGGGCCCCAACACATAGCCCACCATGGAGTCGCTGTTGGCCTGGGGGGCATTGGGCACAGTGGTGTTACTCATGACATCAGCAGCCGGAGGGCTGGGTGGTCAGCATGGGCAGTGGCGCTTCGGGAGGGCGCCTCCACTGGGCTCCCTGGGAAGGAGGAAGGGAGGTTATCAGTTGCACCCAGGTGACATCCAGACTCTGGATCCCTCCCCCAGAGCTGAAGATCTATGAAAACTGGTCCCAGGTCAAATCCTGGGAGGAGGGATCCTCCAGGTAGATGTACTGGGTGTGACCCTCCAGTGAGTCTTGGCAAATCCTGGCAGGAAAGGGGATCAAGGGAAGGCCTGGATCCAGGGCTGAGTCTTGCCCAACTCCTATCCCTAAATCAGGGTGGGGCCCAGCTCAGATGCTGGCCAAACATTTACAAGTCTCAGCTTCTGGGGAAAGATTAAGTGCAGGTTTCAGGTGCCTGCCCCAGCCCTTTTGGGGCATTGGGCTGCCAGCACCTGTCCAGTGGAGCAAAATGGATAAATGAGGTCTAAAGGAAGGACCTGCACTGCAGCCAGGGGTGAGATGGGAGCATCTGAAGGAGCCCGCTTCCATCCTGGTCCAATCCCACTTCAAGCGATGGGCTCCATGCCTGAGTTCTATGCCCTTGTCCCTGGTGTCACCTCAGACATACAGCCCAAACACCCTCTCCCCCATCTGTCTCGTGTGCCAGGGTGGACACGAGTGGGTAAAGCTGGATTGTATCTTCAAGATGATGTCACCTTCCTCTTGTCTCCACCCGGGGCTCCGCCCAGGTCCCTCCCCTCCTGGCCTGAGCTGACAGGCAGAGGTGGAGAGGGTCAGTCCCCATCGACAGAAGCAAAGAGATCGTCCTGGGGCAGTTTGCACGCTGATGGCCCAAGGTCCGCGACCCAGGTTCGCTTGAGTCTCTATCAGAGGGCAAGGTATGAGCGACCTACCCCCGTGTCCGTAGGGCACGGGGCATCGAGCTTGCCCTTACCCAGTCGTATGCTCATCGTCCCAGGTCAAGGGGGCATGCCAGGGTGGGGAGGGCGTCAGGCCGCTGCTAGGATGCGGGCCAGCAACAGCGGACAGGAGGTGGTTCCCACGGCGCTGGGAGGCTCAGGCCGGAGGTGGGGGTGTTGGGGGATGCGGATGGGCCGCCCCGCGCCCGAACATCCTGGAAGCCCGTCACCCGAGGCGTGGACCCGTGCCGGCGCTCTGCAGCCCAGCCGGCCTGGCCATGCCTTACCTCCCGCCGCTGCAGCCCCGACAGGAACGCCCTCGGTTGGCTCCCGGGCCCCGGAAAAGCCGTCAGGCGCGTGATCAAAGGACCCGGGGAAATGGGCCGGGCCTCAGCACCCGGACGCAGCCAATCCGGTAGCGGAAAGCCGGTGGCCTGGAGATTTCTGGAGCCGCCAATCCGGAGGCGGGGGTGGGCGGTGCGAAGGCGGGGACAGCGGGGCTTGCAGGGTCCGCCCGGCGGCGGCAGGGGGCAGCCGAGGGCTGCGCAGTGGGGGAGGAGAACGCGACGCGGGGCCGGACGGGGTAGGGCGGGGCGCGCGCAGTTTTCCGGCGGCCCCTGGCCCGCCCGCGTCTGGAGCTCCGATTCTGGGAGGTCCCCGGCGCCCACTTCATTCACCCCTCTCGTTGCAGCCAGAATAGGGTCGCGCCACGCTCTAACGTTGAGCCCAGGCCCTTCGCGGCAAGACCCTGCTCCGGGCCCACTCGGCCTCCGTCTGTGTTTGTTCCCTGGCCTTCGGGCTGTGCTCGGCTGGTAGAGTACGGCAGGTCTGGGCTACCGAGGGCCCTGGCACGCCCACCCTCTCTGCGCCTGTCTTAACGTCTGTAAAACAAGCTGTGTGAGGATTATTATTATTACTTTTTTTTTGAGATGGAGTCTGTCTCTGTCGTCCAGGCTGGAGTGCAGTGGCACGATCTCAGCTCACTGCAATCTCTGCCTCCCTGGTTCAAGCTATTCTCTTGCCTCAGCCTCCCGAGTAGCTGGGACTACAGGTGTGCACCACCATGCCTGGCTAATTTTTGTATTTTTAGTAGAGAGGGGGTTTCAACATGTTCGCCAGGATGGTCTCTTAACACCTGACCTCAGGTGATCCACCTGTCTCAGCCTCCTAAAGTGCTGGGATTAGAGGCGTGAGCCACTGGGCCTGGCCGGATTTTACTTTCTTTTCTCCTAAGAGAGAACACCCTTGTGAGCTAGGCAGGGCAAGTGGAGCAATCGCAATTTGCAGATGAGTTAATTGATGCTCAAGCAATGAGATGACTTCTCAGGGCCCTTGGCCTGATCATTAAGGGCAGGGTGGGATGAGATGACAGGTGGGCCTCTCTTCTTGGACAGCTCTCTGCTGACAGCGGCCCCAGAGCTACATTTGAGGCCTGGTGTCTTGCTGTGTTCAGGCTTCATATCTGATGAGAGTACCTCCAAGTATAGCCGGGAAAACTGCAGCTCTGCCTTCCCTCTTCATGCAGCTACCGTTTCAGGAAGCGGGAGGCTAGGGTGGGGTTGAGGCTACATTGTGCTACCATGCTCGAGTTTTGACTGCCTCCTGATCCATGCTGCTGTGGTTAGTGCCTGGACTTGTCTGCCCACTTCAGCTAATGCCTCACTCATCCTCGTGTCCTCCAGCTCTGGATCCACTGAACAAACCATAAAAGCAAGACCTGAAAGGATTGAACTATTTTCAGTTAACTTTTAGAATGAAGCTCAAGAAGATTTATAGGAAGGCAAAAATATCCAGTTTTTATAATATCTGACATCCACTAAAAAATGGAACCTGGTGGCCAGGTGCGGTGGCTCATGCCTGTAATCCTAGCACTTTGGGAGGCCGAGGTGGTGGATCACCTGATGTCAGGAGTTCGAGACCAGCCTGGCCAAAGAGGTGAAACCCCATCTCTACTAAAAATACAAAAATTAGCTGGGCGTGGTGGCAGGAGCTTGTAATTCCAGCTACTCAGGAGACTGAGGCAGGAGAATCACTTGAACCCAGGAGGCAGAGGTTGCAGTGAGCCGAGATCATGCCATTGCACTCCAGTCTGGTGACAAGAGTGAAACTCTGTCTCAAAAATTAAAAAAAAAGGACCCTGGCTGGGTGCTGTGGCTCACACTTGTAATCCCAGCACTTAAGACAAGGAATGTATGAAAATATCCCAGTGATCTTCTAGAGATGAAAACTACAATATCAGATTAAAAAAATCATACTGGACAGGATTAATCACACTGGACAGGATTAATGGCAGGTTAGATATTACAGAAGAAAAGACAAGTGAACTTGAGGGCATAGCAATAGAAACTACCCAAAATAAAACCCAAAGATAAAAAAATCCAAAAAAAAAAAAAAAGAAAAATGAAAAAAGGATCAGTGAGTTGCGGGATAACCGTAAGTGGCCTAATATATGGATAATTAGAGGTCCAAAAGGAGAAGAAAGAAAGGACAGAAAAATATTTGAAGAAACCATGACCAAAAGCTTTCCAAACTTGGGCCAGGCGCAGTGGCTCACTCCTGTAATCCCAGCACTTTGGGAGGCCGAGGCAGGTGTATCACCTGAGGTCAGGAGTTTGAGACCAGCCGGCCAACATGAAGAAACCCCATCTCTACTAAAAATACAAAAATTTGCCAGGCGTGTTGGCACATGCCTGTAATCCCAGCTACTTGGGAGGCTGAGGTAGGAGGATCGCTTGAACCCGGGAGGCAGAGGTTGCAGTGAGCTGAGACTGTGCCATTGTACTCCAGCCTGGGCAACAAGAGCAAAACTCCCGTCTCAAAAAACAAAACAACAACAACAAAAAACTTTCCAAACTTAAAGATGGCTATAAACCTACAGACCCAGGAAGCACAATAAGCCCAAGCACAAGCAACATGAAGAAACTGTGCCAAAGCACATCGTAATCAAATTGCTCAAAGCCAGTGGTAAAGATGTTACACACAGAGGAACAAAGTTAAGAATGGCATAAAATTTCACTTGAAACAATCCAGGTGAAAAGATGGTGGAGCAACATCTTTTATTTTTTTATTTATTTTTATTTTATTTTATTTTTTTTTTTTGAGACAGAGTCTCGCTCTGTCGCCCAGGCTGGAGTGCAGTGGTGCAATCTCAGCTCACTGCAAGCTCCGCCTCCAGGGTTCCCGCCATTCTCCTGCCTCAGGCTCCCGAGTAGCTGGGACTACAGGCACCCACTACCACGCCCTGCTAATTTTTTGTATTTTTAGTAGAGACAGGGTTTCACCGTGTTAGCCAGGATGGTCTCGATCCTCTGATCTCGTGATACGCCCGCCTCGGCCTTGAAAAGTGCTGGGATTACAGGCGTGAGCCACCGCGCCTGGCTAACATCTTTTAACTACTTAAAGAAAAAACTCTCGATCTAGAATATTGGGGAAAAAAAATCTGTCAAAAACAAGAAATAAAGATGTTTTCAGGCCAGGCGTGGTGACTCACGCCTGTAATTCCAGCACTTTGGGAAGCCGAGGCGGGTGGATCACTTGAGCCCAGGAGTTTGAGACCAGCCTGGGCAGCATGGTCAAAGCCTGTCTCTACCAGAAATACAAACATTAGCCAGTCTCATAACCTGGTCTCAAAATAAATAAATAGATAAAAATTAAAACATAAAATTAAAAAATTTTTGAAAACGATGTTTTCAGACATACAAAACTGAAAGGAATCATCACCAGTAGACCTGCACTACAAGAACTGTTAAAGGAAATTCTTCAGGCAGAAAGGTAATTGTACCAAATAAAAATATGATCCCACAAGAGAAAGAAAGAGCATCCAAATCGGTAAAGAGGAAGTCATACTGTCACTGTTTGCCGATGATATGATCTTTGACAAAGCAAACAAAAACATAAAGTGGGGAAAGCACACCCTATTCAACAAATGGTGCTGGGATAATTGGCAAGCCACATGTAGGAGAATGAAACTGGATCCTCATCTCTCACCTTATACAAAAATCAACTCAAGATGGATCAAAGATGTAAATCTAAGACCTAAAACCATAAAAATTCTAGAAGATAACATCAGAAAATCCCCTCTAGACATTGGCTTAGGCAAAGACTTCATGACCAAGAACCCAAAAGCAGATTCAACAAAAGCAAAGATAAATAGATGGGATTAATTAAACTAAATAGCTTCTGCACAGCAAAAGAAATAATCAGCAAACAGACAACCCACAGAATGGGAGAAAATCTTCACAATCTATACATCTAACAAAGGACTAATATCCAGATTCTACAAGGAACTGAAACAAATCAGCGAGAAAAAACCAAACAATCTCATCAAAAAGTAGGCTAAGGAATGAATAGACAATTCTCAAGAAAAAGATATGCAAGTGGCCAACAAACATGAAAAAATGCTCAACATCACTAATGATCAGGGAAATGCAAATCAAAACCACAATGTGATACCACCTTACTCCTGCAAGATGGCCATAATTTTAAAAATCAAAAAGTAGGCTGGGCATGGTGGCTCATGTCTGTAATCCCAGCACTTTGGGAGGCCAAGGCGAGCAGATCATGAGGTCAGGAGATCGAAACCACCCTGGCTAACCCAATGAAACCCCGTCTCTACTAAAAATACAAAAAATTAGCCGGGTGTGGTGGCATGCCCCTGTAATCCCAGCTACTTGGGAGGCTGAGGCAGGAGAATCACTTGAACCTGGGAGGTGGAGGTTGCAGTGAACTGAGATCGTGCCACTGCACTCCAGCCTGGGCGACAGAGTGAGACTGACTCTGCCTCAAAAAAAAAAAAAAAAAAAAAGAAAGAAACACAATAGATATTGGCATGGATGTGGTGAAAAGGGAACACTTTTACGCTGCTGGTGGGAATGTAAACTAGTACGACCACTGTGGAAAACAGTGTGGATATTCCTTAAATAACTAAAAGTAGATCTACCATTTGATTGAGCAATCCCACTACTGGGTATCTACCCAGAGTAAAAGAAGTCATTATATGAAAAAAAGACACTTGCAGCTGGGCTCAGTGGCTCAGCACTTTGTAGTCCCAGCACTTTGGGAGGCCGAGGTGGACGGATCACCTAAGGTCGGGAGTTTGAGACCAGCCTGGCCAACATGGTGAAACCCCGTCTCTACTAAAACTACAAAAATTAGCTGGGCGTGATGGCACACACCTGTAGTCCCAGCTACTTTGGAGGCTGAGGCACGAGAATCGCTTGAACCCAAGAGGTGGAGGTTGCAATGAGCCGAGATCACGCCACTGCACTCCACTCCAGCCTGGGCAAAAGAATAAGACAGAGCGAGAACTTGTCTCAACAAAAAAAAGAAAAAGAAAGAAGACACTTGCACACACATGTTTATAGCAGCACAATTCGGAATTGCCAAAATATGGAACCAGCCCAAATGCCCATCAATGAATGAGTGAATAAAGAAAATGTGATATATATACATACCATGGAATACTATTTTATATATATATATATATATATATATATATATATATATATATATATATATATATACACACACCATGGAATACTACTCAGCCATAAAAAGGAATGAAATAATAGGATTTGCAGCAACCTGGATGGAGTTGGAGACCATTATTCTAAGTGAAGTAACTCAGAAATGGAAAACCAAACACCATATGTTCTCACTTGTAAGTAGGAGCTAAGCCATGAGGATGCAAAGGCATAAGAATGATACAGTGGACTTGGAGGACTTGGGGGAAAGGATGGGAGGGGGGTGAGGGATAAAAGACTACACATCGGGTACAGTGTACACGACTCAGGGGATGGGTGCACCAGAATCTCAGAAATCACTACTAAAGAACTTACCAAACACCACCTGTTCCCCAAAAACCTACTGAAAAAAAAAATTCAAAAAAAATATGGACCTATCCAAAGGAATGAAGAATACTGAAAATGGTAGCTATGTGAGTATGTATATATGTAAATATATATATATGTGTCAGTATGTATATATGTACAAACATATATGCACATATATTCCACACACATATACACATATATTCCCTCCACCACCACCATTTTTCTTTGTTTGCTTTTATTTATTTATTTTTTTGAGACAGAGTTTCACTCTTGTTGCCCAGGCTGGAGTGCAATGGCGCGATCTCGGCTCACTGCAACCTCCGCCTCCCAGGTTCAAGCGATTCTCCTGCCTCAGCCTCCTGAGTAACTAGGATTACAGGCACCCACCACCACGCCCGGCTAATTTTTGTATTTTTCGTGGAGATGGGGTTTCACCTTGGCCAGGCTAGTCTCAAACTCCTGACCTCAGGTGACCCACCCGCCTCAGCCACGCAAAGTGCTGGGATTACAGGCATGAGCCACCATGCCTGGCCTGTTTGTTTTTAGAGACCAGTTCCCCCTATGTTGCCTAGGCTGGTCTAGAACTCCTTGGTTCAAGCAATCCTCATGCCTCAGCCTCCCAAGTAGCTGGGATTACAGAAGCATGTCACTGTGCCCGGCTTGCCCCATCTGTTAGTTAAATCTTTTTAAAGAGGTAATTGAGGCCAGGTACGTTGGCTCACACCTGTAATCCCAACACTTTGGGAGGCCAAGGCAGGCCAATCACCTGAGGTAAGGAATTTGAGACCAGCCTGGCTAACATGGCGAAACCCCGTCTTTACTAAAAATAGCCGGGTGTGGTGGCACGCACCTGTAGTCCCAGCTACTCGGGGAGACTGAGGCAGGAGAATCGCTTGAACCCAGGAGACGAAGGTTAAAGTGAGCCGAGATTGTACCACTGCATTCCACCCTGGAAGACAGAGCAAGACTCCATCTCAAAAAAAGAAAAAAAAAAGTAATCGATTGTAAAAAACAAAACAAAAAGCCCAATACTGTATTGTGGGACTTTTGCACATGGAACATTTATCAAGACAGACCATATTCTGAGCCATAAAACAAGTCTCAGCCAGGCGTGGTGGCTCACGCCTGTAATCCCAGCACTTTGGGAGGCCAAGGCGGGTGGATCACCTGATGTCAGGAGTTCCAGACTAGCCTGGCCAACATGGTGAAACCTCGTCTCTACTAAAAATGCAAAAATTAGCCAGGTGTGGTGGCACATGCATGTGATTCCAGCTACTTGGGAGCTGAGGCAGGAGAATCACTTGAACCCGGGAGGCGGAGGTTGCAGTGAGAAGAGATCATGCCACTGCACTACAGCCTGGGTGACAAGAGTGAAACTCTGTCTCAAACAAAACAAAACAAAAAACAAGTCTCGATAAATATAAAGGATTCAATTTAATGTATTACTTTAATAGCATAAAGGTTGGGAAAGAAATGGGAATATACTACTGTATTCATATATATATGAGGTTGTATAATATCACTTAATGATAGACTGTGGTGAGTTAATGATGTATAGTATGAACCCTAAAGTAACTAATAAAGTAACAGAGTTATAGATACCAACAAAGAAAATAAAGTGGATATAAAATAAGAAATCTAAAAAAAAAAAAAAAGCAGAAAAAGAGGAACAGGGGAACCAAGAACAGATAAGATAATTAGAAAACAAATAACAAAGGCCGGCACGGTGGCTCACGCTGTAATCCCAGCACTTTGGGAGGCCAAGGCGGGTGGATCACCTGAGATCAAGAGTTCGAGACCAGCCTGGCCAACAGGGAGAAACCCCGTCTCTACTAAAAATACAAAAATTAGCCAGGCATGGTGGCAGGTGCCTGTAATCCCAGCTACTTGGGAGGCTGAGGCAGGAGAATCACTTAAAACCGGGAGGCAGAGGTTGCAGTGAGCCAAGATCATGCCACTGCCCTTCAGCCTTGGCAACAGAGCAAGACTCCATCTCCAAACAAACAAACCAAAAAACAAAACAAAACAAAACAAAAACAAGGCCGGGCATGGTGGCTCATGCCTGTAATCCCAGCACTTTGGGAGGCAGAGGCGGGAGGATCATGAGGTCAGGAGATCAAGACCATCCTGGCTAACACGGTGAAACCCCGTCTTTACTAAAAATACAAAAAATTAGCCGGGCATGTCGGCATGTGCCTGTAGTCCCAGCTACTCAGGAGGCTGAGGCAGGAGAAGGGCATCAACCCGGGAGGCGGAGGTTGCAGTGAGCAGAGATTGCGCCATTGCACTCCAGCCTAGGCAACAGAGCGAGACTCCGTCTAAAAGAAAAAAAAAATAGCAGGATGATAAAATGAAACATACTATATCAATCATTACATTAAAAGTAAATGGGGGCCAGGCACGGTGGCTCACTCCTGTAATCCCAGCACTGCGAGGCCGAGGCGAGCGCATCACGAGGTCAGGAGATTGAGACCATCCTGGCTAACACAGTGAAACCCAGGCTCTACTAAAAATACACAAAAAATTAGCAGGGCATGGAGGTGGGCGCCTGTATTCCCAGCTGCTCGGGAGGCTGAAGCAGGAGAATGGCGTGAACCCAGGAGGCAGAGCTTGCAGTGAGCCGAGATCTTGTCACTGCACTCCAGCCTGGGCGACACAGCAAGACTCTGTCTCAAAAAAAAAAAAAAAAGTAAATGGGAGCCGGGCACGGTGGCTCACGCTTGTAATCCCAGCACTTTGTGAGGCCGAGGTGGGCGGATCACGAGGTCAAGAGTTTGAGACCAGCCTGGCCAACACAGTGAAACCCTGTCTCTACTAAAAATACAAAAATTACCTGGGCGTGGTGGCACACGCCTGTAATCCCAGCTACTCGGGAGGCTGAGGCAGGAGTATCGTTTGAACCCAGGAGGCAGAGGTTGCAGTGAGCCAAGATCACACCACTGCACTCCAGCCTGGGTGACAGAACTAGACTCCGTCTCAAAAAAAAAAAAAAAAAAAAAAAAAAAAAAGGCCGGGCGCGGTGGCTCAAGCCTGTAATCCCAGCACTTTGGGAGGCCGAGGCAGGCAGATCACGAGGTCAGGAGATCGAGACCATCCTGGCTAACACGGTGAAACCCCGTCTCTACTAAAAATACAAAAAATTAGCCAGGCACGGTGGCGGGCGCCTGTAGACCCAGCTACTCGGGAGGCTGAGGCAAGAGAATGGCGTGAACCCGGGAGGCGGAGTTTGCAGTGAGCCAAGATAGCGCCACTGCACTCCGGCCTGGGCGAAAGAGCGAGACTCCGTCTCAAAAAAAAAAATAATAATAATAAAGTAAATGGGAGGCTAGGCGTGGTGGCATTTGCCTATAATCCAAGAACTTGGAGTGGCTGAGGTGGGAGATTTGCTTGAGCCCAGGAGCTCAAGACAAGCCTGGGCAACATAGGAAGACCCTGTCTCTACCAAAAAAAAAAAAAAAAAAAAAAAGCCCAGCGTGGTAGCACATGCCTGTAATCCTAGATACCTGGAGGCTAAGTTGGGAGGATCACTTAAGGCCAGGTGGTTGAGGCTGCAGTGAGCTGTGACTGCACCACTGCACTGCAGCCTGGGTAGCAGAGTGAGACTCTGTCTCAAGAAAAATAATAATGATAATAAAGTAAATGGTTTAAACAACCTATTTAAATATCAGAGATTTTTAGACTGGATAAAAAAGCAAGATTCAATATATGCTGCCCACAAGAATGCATTTATTTATTTATTTATTTTGAGACGGAGTCTCGCCCTGTCACCCAGGCTGGAGTGCAGTGGCACGATCTTAGCTTACTGCAAGCTCCGCCTCCTGGGTTCACGCCATTCTCCTGCCTCAGCCTCCCAAGTAGCTGGGCCTACAGGTGCCCGCCAACACGCCCGGCTAATTTTTTGTATTTTTAGTAGAGACGGGGTTTCTATATATATATTATATATTATATAATCTATTATATATCTATTATATATTATATAATCTATTATATATCTATTATATATTATATAATCTATTATATATCTATTATATATTATATAATCTATTATATATATTATATATAATATAGATATATATAATTATATATATAATTACATATATATATAGCCATCTCAAAAAAAAGGTTAAAATGGTAAATTTTATATTTTATATATATACACATATATACATGTATACATATATGTGTGTGTGTGTGTGTGTGTGTGTGTGTGTGTATATATATATATATTTTTTTTTTTTTTGAGACAGAGTCTTACTCTGTCATCCAGGCTGGAGTACAGTGACATGATCTCAGCTCACTGCAACCTCTGCCTCCTGGGTTCAAGCAATTCTCGTGCCTCAGCCTCCTGAGTAGCTGGGATTACAGGCACGCACCACCACGCCTGGCTAATTTTTGTATTTTTAGTAGAGATGGGGTTTCTCCATGTTGGCCAGCCTGGTCGCAAACTCCTGACCTTAAGTGATGCACCCACTTCGGCCTTCCAAAGTGCTGTGATTACAGGCATGAGCGACCATGTTTGGCCTATTATTTATATTTTACCACTCAGAATATAAGACAGAGATTGGCAGAATGGATTTTAAAATGATCCAACTACTCTTGAACAGACATTTATCCAAAGAAGAAAGACAAATGGCAAATAAGCAAATAAAAATATGTTCAACATCACTAATAATTAGGGAAATGCAAATCAGAACCACAATGGGTCAGGCATGTTAGTTCATGCCTGTAATTCCAGTATTTTGGGAAGCTGAGATGGGAGGATTGCTTGAGCCCAGGAGTTCAAGATCAGCCTGGGCAACGTTGTGAGACGCCCATCTCTACCAGAAAAAAAAAAAAAAAAAATCAGAACCACAATGAGATACCACTTCATACCCGTTAGGATGGATATTTTCTAAATAATACATTTTTTAAATAATATATTTTAAAAAAACAGAAAAAGTGTTCATGAGCATGTGAAGAAATTACAACCCTTGTACCCTGCTGGTGGGAATGTAAAGAGATGCAGCCACTAAGGAAAACAGTATGGAAGTTCCTCAAAAAATTAAAAATAAGCCAGGCGTTATGGTATGTGCCTGTAGTCCCAGCTACTTGGGAGGCTGACGTAGGAGAATTGCTTGAGCTCAGGAGTTTGAAACCAGCCTGGACAACATGGGAAGACCCCGTCTTTAAAAAAAAAAAAAAATAGAATTACCATATGACTCAGCAATTACACTTTTTTGGATATTGTATTAGTTCATTTTCATGCTGCTGATAAAGCCATACCCAAGACTGGGAAGAAAAAGAGATTTAATTGGACTTACAGTTCCACATGCCTGGGGAGGCCTCAGCATCACGGTAGGAGGCAAAAGGCACTTCTTACATGGTGGCGGCAAGAGAAAAATGGGAAGAAGCAAAAGAGGAAACCCCTGATAAACCCATCAGATCATGTGAGACTTATTCACTATCATGAGAATAGCACGGCAAAGACCAGCCCCCATGATTCAATTATCTCCCCTGGGATCCTCCCACAACACATGGGAATTCTGGGAGATACAATTCAAGTTGATATTTGGGTGGGGACACAGCCACACCATATCATTCTGCCCCTGGCCCCTCCAAATCTCATGTCCTCACATTTCAAAACCAATCATGGCTTTCCAACAGTGCCTGAAAGTCTTTTTTTGTTTTTTTGTGTTTTTTTGAGACGGAGTCTTGCTCTGTCACACAGGCTGGAGTGCAGTGGCACGATCTCAGCTCACTGCAAGCTTCGCCTCCCAGGTTCACGCCATTCTCCTGCCTCAGCCTCTGGGGTAGCTGGGACTAGAGGCGCCCGCCACTACGCTCAGCTAATTTTTTGTATTTTTTTGTTTTTATTAGAGACGGGGTTTTACCGTGTAAGCCAGGATGGTCTTGATCTCCTGACCTCGTGATCCGCCCGCCTCGGCCTCCCAAAGTGCTGGGATTACAGGTGTGAGCCACAGCGCCGGGTCTCAAAGTCTTAACTCTTTTCAGCATTAACCCAAAAGTCCACAGTTCAAAGCCTCATCTGAGACAAGGCAAGTCCCTTCCACCTATGAGCCTATAAAATCAAAAGCAAGCTAACTACTTCCTAGATACAATGGGGTTCACAGGTATTGGGTAAATACAGCTGTTCCAATTGGGAGAAATTGGCCAAAACAAACGGGTTACAGGGCGCATGCAAGTCTGAAATCCAGCAGGACAGTCAAATTTTAAAACTCCAAAATGATGTCCTTTGACTTCAGGTCTCATATGCAGGTCACGCTGATGCAAGATAGGGGTGCCCACGGTCTTGGGCAGCTCCGCCTCTGTGGCTTTGCAGGGTACAGCCTCCTGCTGCTGCTTTCACAGGCTGTCGTTGAGTGTCTGTGTCTTTTCCAGGTCCACGGTGCAAGCTGTAGGTGGATCTACCATTCTGGGGTCTGGAGGATGGTGGCCCTCTTCTCACAGCTTCACTAGGCAGAGCCCCAGGAAGGACTCTGTGTGGGGGCGCCGACCCCACATTTCCCTTCCACACTGCCTTAGCAGAGGTTCTCCATGAGGGCCCCGCCCCTGCAGCAAACGAATCAGATCTTGTGAGACTTATTCACTATCGCGAGAATAGCATGGGCAAGACCGGCCCCATGATTCAATTACCTCTCTCTGGGCCTCTCCCACATCACGTGGGAATTCTGGACGATACAATTCAAGTTGAGATTTGGGTGGGAACACAGCCAAACCGTATCTGATATTATCCCAAAGAAGTGAAAGCAGGGATTTGAACAGATATTTGTACACCCATGTTCACAGCATTCACAACAGCCAAAAGGTGGAAGCAACCCAAGTGCTCATCAACAATTGAATGAATAAACAAACTGTGGTATATACATACAATGGAATATTTTATTCAGCCTTCAAAAAGAATGAAATTCTCACACATGCTACAACAGAAATGAACCTGGAAGACAGTATGCTAAATGAAATAAGCCAATCAAAAAAAGAACAAAAACTGTATGATTCCACTCATATGAGGTACCTAGAATAACCAAATTCATAGAAAGAATAGGACTTTCCAGGGACTAGGAGGAGAGGAGAATGAGAGTTATTGTTAAATGTGTACAGAGTTTCAGTTTGGGAAGAGGAAAAAGGTTCCGGAAATTGATGGTGGCAATAGTTGTAAAGTGTGAATGTACTTAATGCCACTGAAATGTAGACTGAAAAATGGTTGAAATGTTTATTTTATTTATTTATTTATAGATGGAGTCTCGCTCTGTTGCCCAGGCTGGAGTGCAGTGGCGTGACCTTGGCTCATTGTAACCTCCGCCTCCTGGGTTCAAATGATTCTCCTGCCTCAGCCACCTGAGTAGCTGGGATTACAGGCATGGGCCACCATACCCACCTAATTTTTGTATTTTTTTAGTAGAGACAGGCTTTCACCATGTTGGTCAGGCTGGTCTCGAACTCCTGACCTCATGATCTGCCTACCTTGGCCTCCCGAAGTGCTGGGATTACAGGCATGAGCCACCACGCCTAGCCAGAAATGTTTTTTTTTTTTTTTTAATTTATTTTACTTTAGTTTTTGAGATGGAGTCTCGCTCTGTTGAAAAAAACAGAAAAAAGTGTTTTTTCTGAGCCACGATGCCCAGCCTTGAAACGGTTTTTAAAATCCAAGTGGCTGGGCGTGGTGGCTCAGGCCTGTAATCCCAGCACTTTGGGAGGCCGAGGTGGGTGGATCACCTGATGTCAGGAGTTCAACACCAGCCTTATCAACATGGTGAAACCCTGTCTCTACTAAAAACACAAAAATGAGCAAGGCATGGTGGCACGTGCCTGTAATCCCAGCTACTAAGGAGGCTGAGGCAGGAGAATCACTTGAACCAGGGAGTCAGAGGTTGCAGTGAGCCGAAATCATGCCACTGCACTCCAGCCTGGCGACAGAGCGAGACTCTGTCTCAAAAAAAAAAAAAGAAAAGAAAATCCAAGTACATTAAGTATATGCTATTTATAAGAAACTTTAGGCCGGGTGCGGTGGCTCACGCCTGTAATCCCAGCACTTTGGGAGGCCGAGGTGGGTGGATCACGAGGTCAGGAGATTGAGATCATCCTGGCTAACACGGTGAAACCCCGTCTCTACCAAAAATACAAAAAATTAGCCAGGCGTGGTGGCGGGCGCCTGTAGTCCCAGCTACTCAGGAGGCTGAGGCAGGAGAATGGTGTGAACCCAGGAGGTGGAGCTTGAGAGGCAAGAGAATGGCGTGAACCCGGGAGGTGGAGCTTGCAGTGAGCCGAGATAGCGCCACTGCACTCCAGCCTGGGTGACAGAGCAAGACTCTGCCTCAAAAAAAAAAAAAAAAAAGAAACTTACTTTAGACTCAAAGACACAAATAAATTGAAAGTGGAAGGATGGGAAAGGTATCCCATGAAGAGTGTAAAGAGAGCAAAAATGGCTATACTAATATTAGACAAAATCGATTTTAAGTAAAAAAGTGTTACACAAGATAAAGGAAGACATTTTATAATGATAAAGGAGTCAATTCATCAAGAAGATACGGCAAGTATAATAACATACATGTTGAACAACAGAGTCCCATAATATATGAAGCAAGTATTGGCAGAGTTGGGGGCAGAAATAGTTTTTAAAAAAGAAAGATATTTAATTTTTAAGAGAATATGGCACAACTGAAATTCTCATGCATCACTGGTAGTGGTGTGGCATGGTACAACCACTTTGGAAAACTGTTTAGAATTTTCTTATAGATTTTTTTTTTTTTTCTCAGCCAGGCGTGCTTTATGGACAATGCGCTCCTCAGGCCTTGACCGCGTACTTCCCCAGCGGGTACAGCCGCTCCTTCCGCTGCTGCTTCTTGGTCTTCGGGTTCTCCTCATGCTTGTTGAGCCGGCGGCGCATGGCGCGTGTCTTCTTAGGCCGCAGGTCCAGGGGCTTGTAGTTCCTGCCCTTGTAGAATTTCCTGAGGTTTTCTTTCTGAGTCTAGTTAATAACAGTGAGAACACAGGCAATGGATTTGCGGACGACTCGGATCTTAGAGAGCTTGGAGGCCGCACCGCCTGTCACTTTGGCGACGCGCAGCTGGGACAGCTCCACCTTCAGGTCGTCCAGCTGTTTCAGCAGCTCCTCCTTCTTCCCGCGAAGATCTCGAGCCTTGATCTTGGCCATTGCTGCACAGGCCGCCGACGCCGCCGCGCCGCCCGCTCCGAGGGAAAGAGCGTAGATTCAAATATAAACTTACCTAATGATACGGCAAGTACATGCCCAGAAAAAAATGAAAATATATGTCTTCAACAAATGTGTACAAAAATATTTATAGCAGATTATTATTTTTTGAGACAGGGTCTCACTCTGTCACTCAGGCTGGAATGCAGTGGCGCTGTCTTGGCTCACTGCAGCCTTCGCGGCCTGGGCTCATGTGATCCTCCCATCTTCACTTCCTTGAGTAGGTGGGATTACAGGTGTGTGCCACCATGCTTGGCTAATTAAAAAAAAAAAATTGTAGAGGTGAAGTCTCACTATATTGCCTAAGCCAGTCTAGAACTCTTGGATTCAAGTGATCCTCCCACCTTGGACTCCCAAAGTGCTGGGATTACAGGCGTGCACCATGGCGCCTGGCCTGTAGCAGCATTATTTTATTTAGTTACTATTTAAAATTTTTAATTTTTGACAAATTATAATTTTACATCTTTAAGGGGTACAAAGTGATATTATTATATATGTTTATAGTTTGGAATTATTGAATCAAGCGAATTACATATCCATGTCCTTAAATACTTACCATTTATTCCTCCTGTCTAACTGCAACTTTATACAATTTGACCAACATCTCTCCATTCCCCCTACGCGTGGCCTCTGGTAACCACCAATATACTCTTTGCTTCTTTTTTTTTTGAGATGGAGTCTCGCTCTGTCGCCCAGACTGGAGTGCAGTGGCGCGATCTTGTCTCAGCCTCCCGAGTAGCTGGGATTACAGGCGCCCGCCACCGCACCCAGCTAATTTTTTGTATTTTTTAGTAGAGACAGGGTTTCACCATGTTAGCCAGGATGGTCTCGATTTCCTGACCTCGTGATCCAGCCGCCTCGGCCTCCCAAAGTGCTGGGATTACAGGCGTGAGCCACTGCGCCTGGCCAATATACTCTTCACTTCTATGAGTTTGATTGTTTTATTTTCCACATACATAGGAACATGAGGTATTTGTTTAGAAATAGTTCAATAGTAGTTGGAGACTTCAATCCCCTACTCTCAATGGGTGGAATACATTCCTACAGAGATGATCAATAAGGAAACATAGGACTTGAAAACCAGTATAAACCATGCCGGGTGTGGTGGCTCATGCCTCCAATCCCAGCACTTTGGGAGGCAGAGGCAGGTGATCTCCTGAGGTCGGGAGTTCGAGACCAGCTGGACCAACATGGAGAAACCTCGTCTCTAAATACAAAATTAGCCGGGCATGGTGGTACATGCCTGTAATCCCAGCTACTCGGGAGACTGAGGCAGGAGAATCGCTTGAACCTGGGAGGCGGAGGTTGCAGTGAGCTGAGATCGCTCCAGCCTGGGCAACGAGAGTGAAACTGTCTTAAAAAAAAAAAAAAAGAAAGAAAAGAAAACCAGTATAAACCAACTAGACCTAACAGACATATACAAAACCCTCCACTCAGCAACAGCAGACTATACAGTATCCTCAAGGGCACATGGAACACACTCCCAGATAGACGATATGTTAGGCCACAAAACAGATCTTAATAAACGTAAAAACCTTCCAACAAAGAAAAGCCCAGAATTAGATGGCTTCACTGGTCAATTTTTTTTTGTAACCAAACATCTAAAGGAGAATTAATACCAATCTTTCCTAAACTCTTCCAAAAAATTGAGAGGAGAGAATATTTTCTAACTCATTCTGACTCAGTTTTTCCCTGATATCAAAAGCAGACAAAGGTGCAAAAGAAAACTACAGGCCAAAATCCCTTACTAACATAGGTGTTAGCCCATGGAAGAATTCTCAATTAATTTCAAAGGACTAAACTCATACAAAGTACTTTCTCTGACCACAGTGGAATGAAGCTAGAAATCAAATGTGGAAGAAAAACTGGAAAATTTGCAAATATGTGGAAAGTAAACCACACACTCTTAAACCAGCAAGTCAAAGAAGAAACCACTAGGGAAATATAAGATATTTTTAGACCAATGAAAACATACCAAAACTGATGGGATGTAGTAAAGGCAGTACTCAGAGGAAAATTTATAGCTGTAAATGCCTAAAGATCTCAAATCAACAACCTAGCTTTACACCTTAAGGAATTAGAAAAAGAAGAGCAAACAAAACCTAAACCCAGCAGAAGGATAGAAACAATAAAGATTAGATAACAGATAAATGATGTAGAGAATTTTTAAAAGTAGAATTGGCCAAGCTCAATGGCTCACGCCTGTAATCCCAGCACTTTGGGAGGCTGAGGCAGGTAGATTACCTGAGGTCAGCAGTTCGAGACCAGCCTGACCAATATGGTGAAACCCTGTCTCTACTAAAGATACAAAGAAGTTAGCTGGGTGTGGTGGCACGCGCCTGTAGTCCCAGCTACTCTGGAGGCTGAGACAGGAGAACTGCTTGAACCTGGGAGGCGGAGGTTGCAGTGAGCCGAGATCGTACCACTGCACTCCACCCTGGGCGACAGAGTGAGACTCCGTCAAAAAAAAAAGTAGAATCAGTAAAACCAAAGTTGGTTCTTTGAAAAGACCCAAGAAAAATTAAAACTTTAGACTAAGAAAAAGAGAGAGAAGACGCAAATACCTAAAATCAGAAATAAATGCAGAAATATTGCTACTGACCTTACGGAAATTAAGAGGATTATAAGCAAATACTATGAACAATTGTATGCCAACAAATAAAATAATCTGGATGAAATGGAAAAATTCCTAGAAACACACAAATTATCTAAACTGACTCAAGAAGAAATAAAAAATCTCAACAGACCTATAATAAAAGATAGAATCCGTACTCAAAAATCTCCCAACAGCTGGGCACGATGGCTTATGCCTATAATTCCAGCATTTTGGAAGACCAAGGCGGCTGGATCACCTGAGGTCAGGAGTTCAAGACCAGCCTGGCCAACATGGTGAAACCTCATCTGTACTAAAAATACAAAATTAGCCAGGCGTGGTGGTGCATGCCTGTAATCCCAGCTACTAGGGAGGTTGAGGCAGGAGAATCACTTGAACCCCGGAGGTGGAGCTTGCAGAGAGCTGAGATGGTGCCACTGCACTCACTCCAGCCTGGGCAACAAGAACTAAACTCTGTCTCAAAAAAAAAAAAATCTCCCAACAAAGAAAAGTCCAGGATCAGGTTGGCTTCATTGGCCAGTTCTATCAAACATTTAAAGAAAAATTAAGGGCTGGGCGCAGTGGCTCACGCCTGTAATCCTAGCACTTCGGGAGGCTGAGGTGGGTGGATCACGAGGTCAAGAGATCAAGACTATCCTGACCAACATGGTGAAACCCCATCTCTACTAAAAATACCAACAAAATTCAGCTGGGTGTGGTGGCACATGCCTGTAGTTTCAGCCACTCGGGAGGCTGAGGCAGGAGAATCACATGAACCTGGGAGGCAGAGGTTGCAGTGACCCGAGATTGTGCCACTGCACTCCAGCCTGGTGACAGAACGAGACTCCATCTCAAAAAAAAAGAGAAAAAGAAAAATTAAGGCTAGGTGCAGTAGCACATGCTTGTAATATTGACACTTTGGGAAGCCAAGGTAGGAGGATTGTTTGAACCCAGGAATTTAAGGTTACAGTGAGCTATGATCACACCACTGTACTCCAGTCTAGTTGACAGAGAGAGACTTTGTCTCAAAAAAAGAAAAAAAGTAGGTGGGGTCCAGTGGCTCATGCCTGTAATCCCAGCACTTTGGGAGGCCGAGGCGGGTGGATCACCTGTGGTCAGGAGTTTGAGACCAGCCTGGCTAACCAACATGGTGAAAACCTGACTCTACTAAAAGTACAAAAATTAGCTGGGTGTGGTGGCTCATGCCTGTAATCCCAGCTACTTGAGAGGCTGAGGTGGGAGAATCGCTTGAACCCGGGAGGCAGAGATTGCGCCACTGCACTCCAGTCTGGGAGACAAAGCGAGACTCCACAAGAAAAAAAAAAGAAAAAAAGAAAAGAAAAAAAAAAAGAATGGATACCAACCCTACACAGCCTCTTGCAAAAATTGAAGAGGATCCACTTCCTAACACATTCTATTAGGCCAGCATTACCTTGATACCAAAGCCAGAGAAAGAGTCCACAAGAAATTGATAGACCAATATTCCTTATGAATATAGATATAAAAATCCTCAACAAGCACCTATAGTCCTAGCCACTCAGGAGGCTGAGGCAGCAGAATCCCTTGAGCCCAGAAGTTCAAGGCTGCAGTGAGCTGATTGTACCACTGTACTCCAGCCTGGGCAACAGAGTGAGACACTGTCTGCAATCAATCAATCAATCAATAAAATAAAAATTTTTTTAGCCAGGTGTGGTGGCCCATGCCTGTAGTCCTAGCCGCTTGGGACACTGAGCCAAGACAGTTGTTTGAGGCTGGGTGTGGCGCCTCATGCTTGTAATCCCAGCACTTTGCCAGGCTGAGAGGGGAGAATCACTTGAGCTCAGGAGTTTAAGACCAGCCTGGGCAACATGGTGAGACCCCATCTCTACAGAAAATACAAAAAATTAGCTGGGCATGGTGGCATGCACCTGCAGTCCCAGCTACTTGGGAAACTGAGGTGGAAGGATCACCTGAGCCCGGGGAGGTTGAGGCTGCAGTGAGCCGTGATAGCACCACTGTGCTCCAGCTTGGGCAAAAGAGTGAGACCCTGTCTCAAAAAACAAAAAACAAAAAACCCTCAACCAACTACTAGCAAACTAGTATAAAAAATCCAGTAGCACATCAAAAAGGATTATATACCATGACCAAAGATTTATTCTAAGAATGTAAAGGTAGTTCAACAGAAACTCAATGTCATACACCACATTAATAGGACAGTGAGACAATAACATACCCCGTGTATGTTATTTCTTTCAATCTACTAATAATCTTTATGAGGTAGATGTCATTAGCTCCATTTTGAAGCTAGGGACTCTGAGATTAAGGTACTAAGTGACTGGAGGCTCCAAGGGTAGTGAGTAGTGGGGTCAGGGTACTCCACGCCAACCTGGCAAGGGTGAGCACAGGCAGTGTGACAGTGGGAAACAAGACTGCCCACATGATCGTCTCTCTCTTTTTTAATAAAAATATTTTATTATTTATGTTTGAGACAAAATCTCACTCTGTTGCCCAGGCTGGAGTGCAGTGGGATTATGTAGTATTGAGAGGTGACAGCATGCTGGCAGTCCTCAGAGCCCTCGCTTGCTCTCGGCACCTCCCCTGCCTGGGCTCCCACTTTGGTGGCATTTGAGGAGCCCTTCAGCCGCCCCCACTGCACTGTGGGAGCCCCTTTCTGGGCTGGCCAAGGCTGGAGCCCACTCCCTCAGCTTGCAGGGAGGTGTGGAGGGAGAGGCAAGAGCGGGAACCGGGGCTGCGTGCGGCGCTTGCGGGCCAGCTGGAGTTCCGGGTGGGCGTGGGCTTGGTGGGCCCCGCACTCGGAGCAGCCAGCCAGCCCTGCTGGCCCCGGGCAATGGGGGACTTAGCACCCGGGCCAGTGGCTGCAGAGGGTGTACTGAGTCCCCCAGCAGTGCCGGCCCACCGGCGCTGCGCTCGATTTCTCGCTGGGCCTTAGCTGCCTTCCTGCGGGGCAGGGCTCGGGACCTGCAGCCCGCCATGCCTGAGCCTCCCACCCACTCCATGGGCTCCTGTGCCGCCCGAGCCTCCCCAACGAGCACCACCCCCTGCTCCACGGCGCCCAGTCCCATCGACCACCCAAGGGCTGAGGAGTGCGAGCGCACGGCGCCGGACTGGCAGGCAGCTCCACCTGCAGCCCCGGTGCGGGATCCACTAGGTGAAGCCAGCTGGGCTCCTGAGTCTGGTGGGGACGTGGAGAGTCTTTATATGTAGCTCAGGGATTGTAAATACACCAATCAGCACCCTGTGTTTAGCTCAAGGTTTGTGAGTGCACCAATCGACACTCTGTATCTAGCTGCTCTGGTGGGGCCTTGGAGAACCTGTGTGTCCAAACTCTGTATCTAACTAATCTGACGGAGACGTGGAGAACCTTTGTATCTAGCTCAGGGATTGTAAACGCACCAATCAGCGCCCTGACAAAACAGGCCACTCGGCTCTACCAATCAGCAGGATGTGGGTGGGGCCAGATAAGAGAATAAAAGCAGGCTGCCCGAGCCCTTGTTGGTAACCCTCTCGGGATCCTTTCTACACTGTGGAAGCTTTGTTGTTTCACTCTTTGCAATAAATGTTGCTACTGCTCATTCTTTGTGCCCACACTGCTTTTATGAGCTGTAACACTCACTGGGAAGATCTGCAGTTTCACTCCTGAGCCAGCGAGACAACGAGCCCACCAGAAGGAAGAAACTCCGAACACATCTGAACATCGATCAGAAGGCACAGACTCCAGACGTGCCACATTAAGAGCTGTAACACTCACCGTGAGGGTTTGTGGCTTTGTTCTTTAAGTCAGTGAGACCAAGAACCCACCAATTCCGGACACAGTATGATCATAGCTCACTGCAGCATCAATTTCCTGGGCTCAAGTGATCCTCCCACCTCAGCCTCCCACGTAGCTGAGACTACAAGTGCATGCCACCATGCCCAGCTAAGTTTTTTTATGTTTTGTAGAGATGGGGGTCGCTCACTATGTTGCCCAGGCTGGTCTTGAACTCGGGCTCAAGCAATCCTCCAGCCTTGGTTTCCCAAAGTGCTGGGATTACATGCATGGGTCACTGTGCCAGCCATGATCATCTCAATGGATGCAAAAAAATGCATTTGACAAATCAACACCCTTTTATGACTGAAAAATCAGCACACCAGGAATAAGGATTTTAGCAAATGGTGTTGGAATAATTGGATATCTACATGGAAAAAAATCAATCCGGCTCTATACCTCACAACATATACAACATTTATGATGTATGATTTCATTTATAGAAAACTCTAGAACATGCAAACTCATGTAATGGGACAGAAAGCAGATTAGTGTTTGCCCAGGGTTAGGGGGCCAAGGGCCAGGGGAGAGGGCACAAAGGGGCACAAAAAACTTTTGGCAGTGATGGATATGTACGTTATCTTGGTTGTAGTGATAGTTTCATAGGCGAACATGTCATGACTTTTCAAGTTACGCATTTTAAATATGTGCAGCTTATTGTATGTTAATTATAGTTCAATACTGTTTTTTGTTTTCGTTTTTTTTTTTTTGAGACGGAGTCTCACTCTGTCGTCCAGGCTGGAGTGCAGTGGTGCGATCTTGGCTCAATGCAACCTCTGCCTCCCAGGTTCAAGCAATTCTCCTGCCTCAGCCTCCCGAGTAGCTGGGATTACAGGCTTTAGCCACCATGCCCAGCTAATTTTTGTGTTTTTTAGTAGAGACGGGGTTTCATCATGTTGGCCAGGCTGGTCTCAAACTCCTGACCTTGTGATCCACCCGCCTTGGCCTCCCAAAGTGCTGGGATTACAGGTGTGAGCCACTGCTCCCGGCCTCAATACAACTTTTTAAAAAATGTGATAAAGAGGTCGGGCACGATGGCTCACACCTGTAATCCTAGCTCTTTGGGAGGCCAAGGCAGGCAGATCACCTGAGGTCAGGAGTTCAAGATCAGCCTGGCCAACATGGTAAAACCCCTTCTCCACAAAAAATACAAAAATTAGTTGGGCGTGGTGGCAGGCACCTGTAATCCCAGCCACTCAGGAGGCTGAGGCAGGAGAATCACTTGAACCTGGGAGGTGGAGGTTGCAGTGAGCCAAAGTCGTGCCACTACA
This sequence comes from Homo sapiens, assembly GCF_000001405.40. Lineage (NCBI taxonomy): Eukaryota > Metazoa > Chordata > Mammalia > Primates > Hominidae > Homo > Homo sapiens. Next base: position 34,271,400 of record NC_000006.12, read on the forward strand.
CTCCAGCCTGGGTGACAAGAGCAAAACTGTCTACAAAAAAAAAAAAAAAAGTAATAAAGAATGCCTTTTAAAGTCGGGTGGGGTGGCTTATGCCTGTAATTCCATTATTTGGGGACGCCAAGCAAGAGGACTGCTTGAGCCAGGAAACGGGAGATTAGCCTGGGCAAAATAGTGAGACCCCCGTCTCCACTAAAAATAAAAAAAAAATTATCAGAATGTGGTGACGTGTGCCTTTAGTCCCAGCTGGACTCAAAAACCTGGGCTCAAGCAATTCTCTTGCCTCGGCCTCCCAAAGTGCTGGAATTACAGGCATGAGCCATTGTGCCTGTCCTAAAATTGTTTTAAATTTATTTTAAAGATTTTAAGTAATTAAATTTATTTTAATTAAAAAAATTTGTTTTAGAGACAGGGTCTCATTTTGTCACCCAGGCTGAAGTACAGTGGCACCATCATAGTTCACTGCAGCCTCGAACTCCTGGGCTCAAGGGATCTTCCTACCTCAGCCTCCCAAGTAGCTGGGATTACAGGCCCATAGCACCATGCCTGGCTAGGTTTTTATTTTTAGTAGAAAGGGAGTCTCAGTTTGTTGTCCAGGATGGTCTTTAACTCCTGGGCTCAAGCCATCCTCCCACCTCAGCCTCCCAAAGTGTTAGGACTACAGGTGTGAGCCACTGAGCCTGGCCAAAAAATTGTTTTTTAAAGAGTCTTTTAAAAATTAATTAGTGGAATTAATGACTGACAACTCCACAGACCAAGCTCCAGGGACTGGGAAGAGGCAGACACAGTAAGGAAGAGGAACTGAGACTGCCCGCAGACTCTTCCTGCCTGCCGCTTTGTTGCACAGGCCCAGCCTTGCCAGGCCAGCCCAGGGTGTCCTGACCCCAGGGGCGCCTTCTTCCAGGCTTTTCCCTACACTGGCTCACTTTTTTGCGAAATCACTTGTTCCTTGTGCAGCCCCTGTGTTTTCCCACTTTCCTACCTTCACTCGAGCGGTTTTCCCACCATCTCTGCCAGTTGGAAACCCGTTGGTCTCCTGTGGGAGGCTGGAGCTGGGGCCAGGTTGGCCTCGGGCTCCCACCCCACTCTGAGGTAAGGGGTCGGTGGAGCTGGGCAGGGCCAAGGCTAGGGGGAGGGAGGATGAGGTGCCCCATGCTGGGCCTGCATACCTCCAAGGGACAAGTGAGCGGGGACTAAGTGAGTCCTGAAGATTCAACGGAGGGAACCCCTCACCGACCAGCCCCTGACAGCACCAGAGGCCTGACTTGCAACATACTTGTTCTCCATCCCCAGCTTTCCTTCACCTTCCCAACCTGCTCCATATTCAACTGATTTTCCCTCCCGTCCTCCAGCCCCCTGCAGGCTTCAACTGCCTCTGCAGTGAGGTGTGGATGGAAGTACCTGCCTCTCAGGGTAGATGTGAAGGTCTGGGTCCTGGGCCCTGGGCCTATGCAGGTAGTAGGTGTTCAAGGAATGGTCTGAAGTGATGGGAGAGTGCTTTTTTTTTTTTTTTTTTTTTTTTTTTTTTGAGACGGAGTCTTGCTCTGTCGCCCAGGCTGGAGTGCAGTGGCGCAATCTCGGCTCACTGCAAGCTCCACCTCCCGGGTTCACACCATTCTCCTGCCTCAGCTTCCCAAGTAGCTGGGACTACAGGCGCCCGCCACCACGCCCGGCTAATTTTTTTGTGTTTTTAGTAGAGACCGGGTTTCACCGTGTTAGCCAGGATGGTCTCAATCTCCTGACCTTGTGATCCGCCCACCTCGGCCTCCCAAAGTGCTGGGATTACAGGCGTGAGCCACCGCACCCGGCCGGGAGAGTGTTTTATAAGTTGAAAAACACTAGAAAAATAATATTAGCTATTATAATTGGTCCACTCAACTTCCTCAGATGGAGTTCGCCCCAAGCAAAACAAATTTCCCTCAACTCCACCCCATAAACTGCAAGTCCCCATAACTGCCCCTCCTCTTCTCCTCCTTTCCAGGCTCACCCAAACTTGGCTTCCTCTGCCTGTCCCAGGCACAGGCCTGGCAGGAAGTGACCAGCCTCCCATTAGCTCTTGCCACAGGTCTGGGAGAGTTCACAGGCTGCTGAGCTGAGATAAGAGGACCGGCAGGAACTGAGGGTTTCCTCACCCTAGAAAAGCACCTCCTCCTACTACTCCTTTGCCCTCCAGACTCAAGGCAGGAAGAGAAACCTGGGGAAGGGGCCTCAGAGGAGAGGCCTCCATCATGTGTTCATTCTGACTGGTCAGTGGGTGCCACACTGTTTGAATGTCACCCTTGCCGCAAAGGAAGAGCCTCTTTGCATGGCTCTCCCCACCTCCTCCACCTGCTCCAAATGTCTCCCACACCAGGTCCCAGGGGACCTTGCATTTGCTTCCAGGGTTTGGGGGAAGTGAAAGGGGTATTTGGAGGGAGGGGGTTGAGGGGACCAGGTGACACTGGCACACATTTCTTGTGTGGTGGACATCCCCAAAATGTCATTTGGCTCTTTGCTTGTTCCAACCCATATTTCATTTCCAGGGTACCTGCTCTGTACCACTTAGCTGGATACCACAATGGAGAAATATCTTCCCTTCGTTCAGAAGGCACCTTCAGAACAGGGGCATGTCCAGGCGGACACACAGTCCAGCGTAGGGAGAAGTATCTCAGAGATCTTTCCCAAAGGAGGGCACAGAAGGTGTGAATTGTGAAACAGTGTGATGGTATAGGATGCATTTGGAGAACTGCAAGAAGTTCTATGAGGCCAGGAGAAAACAAGGATGAGGCAGTGGCAAGAAATTAGTCTGGTGAGGTGGGCAGGGGCTAACTCACAAAAGGTATTGGGTACTAATCTAAGGAGGTGGAACCTTACCCTGAAAGCTGTGGGTAGGAAGAGAACAAGAAATGTTGCCAAGGACACCACAGGATTTGGGGGCCAGTGGTCAGTGGTCAGATGAGAACTGACAAGTGACCTTTGGACTTGTCAATGTGGTAGTCACTGGCCATTGACAGGAAGCATTGGAGGCTGAGTGGAGGGGAGGCATGAACCCATAGTGACCCCATGGTGTATATGGTTTTCTCTGGGCAGGCTCAGCTCTCACATAGGAGGGGATAAAAATGGATGGATTATCCCAGCACTTTGGGAGGCCGAGGCGGGCGGATCATGAGGTCAAGAGATCGAGACCATCCTGAACCAACATGGTGAAAGCCCATCTCTACTAAAAATACGAAAATTAGCTGGGTGTGGTGGCATGTGCCTGTAATCCCAGCTACTCGCGAGGCTGAGGTAGGAGAACTGCTTGAACCCGGGAGGTGGAGGTTGCAGTGAGCCAAGATCGTGCCACTGCCCTCCAGCCTGGTGACAGAGTGCAGAGTGAGACGTCTCAAAAAAAAAAAAAAAAAGATGGATTAATTCGGGTCTGGCATTCTGAGGGAGACTACACTGGAAGGACATGGGGACAAGAAAGATGGAGTAATTAATGGTGAATGAGTGATGAAGTCATGGGCATGGGTCTTGATGTGGCACTGGCTGATAGAGTTTGGTGGCCAGAGTGGGATAACCTTTTTTTGGAGACAGAGTCTCACTCTGGCTTCCAGGCTGGAGTGCAGTGGTGCGATCTTGGCTCACTGCAACCTCCGCCTCCTGGGTTCAAGCAATTCTCATGTCTCAGCCTCCCGAGTAGCTGAGATTATAGGCATGCACCACCACACCCTGCTAATTTTTTCGTATTTTTAGTAGAGATGGGATTTTGCCATGTTGGCCAAGCTGGTCTCAAACTCCTAAGCTCAAGTGATCCACCTGCGTTGGCCTCCCAAAATGCTGGGATTACAGGTGTGAGCCACCACGCCCAGCCAGGATAACCATTTTAAAAAAGATTTTCATGTCAATAGAAACAGAGCAGCTAGCTATTTACAGCATGGCCAGTGATCTGTATTTTCCACTTAGAGTTCCAAATTAGAATACTGGTGAAATCCCTTCTCATTGTGTCTATTTCTAAATCTGTGAAACAGAGGATTGGACTAGATGATCCCTAAAATCCTTCCTGCTCTATCATGCAAGGATTCACTGCTATTGTTTTATCTGTATCCTCTTCACACCTACCTAAGCATAATGACCAGCCATCTGCCCTCAATAGATGTTTGTGTGGAGTACCTGATGGTCTCTCTCACAAAAGACACCTGTCAGCATCTAGGCCCATCACCACTGCCTGTTTATTGAGTGATGGTGATGTCATGAGGAAGTCCCTCCCTCTGCCTCCCTTGCAACCCTTCCTGTGAGGTGTGTAGGGACCAGGTGCAAATCCAGCCCTCATTCGCCCCTCCCCACCTTCAGTTTCTCCTTGCCCTGGTCCATCTTACAGTCTGAAAGGACCAAGAGAGAACTGCCAAGTGGGCAGGTTCTGGCACACCAGACCCCCATGCTGAACTGCACTTCTATTACCTTGGATATGTTACTTTACTTCCACATTTTCTTCTAAACGTTATGACTTTTTTCTTTTCTTTTTTTTTTTTTAGAAAAACCTTCCTTTTATTTGAGAACAAAATGTAAGTGAAAGAAGAATCAGGCTTAAAAAGTTCATATTTATAGTTCCTTTAGCTTAGATATTTCACAAATGACTCTTTTTTCATATTTGTGAATTTATTTTCATAAATGGTGTGAATGGAGGTAGGAATTTTTATTTTTACTTTTTTAGACGGAGTCTTGCTCTGTTGCCCAGGCAGGATGGAGTGCAGTGGCATGATCTCGGCTCACTACAACCTCTGCCTTCCAGGTTCAAGCGATTCTCCTGCCTCAGTCTCCCAAGTAGCTGGAATTACAGGCACCTGCCACCACGCCGGGCTAATTTTTGTATTTTTCATAGAGATGGGGTTTAACCATGTTGGCTGGGCTGGTCTTGAACTCCTGACCTCAGGTGATCTGGCCTCCCAAAGTGCTAGGATTACAGGCATGAGCCACTGTGACTTTTTTTTTCTTTTTCGAGCCAGGTCTCCCTCTGTGTCCTAGGCTGGAGCGCACTAGCGCAATCATAGCTCACTGTTGCCTCCTGCTTCTGGGCTCAAGCAATCCTTGTTACTTGATTGTCCCAACCCCACTTGCTAAAGATCCCTTCCTTTCCCTACTCAGGTGCATGGTTCCTCTGGCTCCTACCATATTCCCATGTATGTATGCACAGGTCTGTTTTTTGGTCCCCTGCTCACTTTTATTGTCTAATTGATTTCTATTTCTATCCAGCTATTCCATTTATCACATTTAGTTACTGTACCTTTATATTAAGTCTTGATACTGATTGAACATAGGATTTCCATTGTAGTCCTGTGTTTTCCCTGGCAGTTTCTTCAAATTGTCTTAGACATCCTTGGTGCTTTACCCTGTAGTTTTTAGATAAGTTTGTCTAGGTCCTTTAGAAAACAGCTTCCCTAAGCCTCCATTTCCTTTACCATGACCTATGCCTCACAGGCCTGCGAAGACTTAAGTGTAAAACAGTGACCACCACCTGGCCAGGAACACAAGAAACATTGAGTAGATAGTATCATCTTCCCCAAATGCCCAACCTGATGCAGTCACTGTTCTGTTAAAAACATTGTTGGCTTCCCAGGCATGCAGAGTAAAGTTCAAACACAGCCTGCTAAGCCACCTGACCCCAGCTAACCTTTCCTATGGCACCTCCTGCTTCTCCCTCCTCCCTGCCCACTATCCCTATCATGTTCCCTGAACACAGTGCTCTGCCCTCGAACATGCTGTCCCTTCACGCTGGGATCCCATGCATCCCTCATGGATCCTCTCAGACGATGCCTCCTTTGAGGAGTTAAGACACTCCCTCGGGCTTCTTGTATTGCATGTATCGCTTTGCATTGTGATTACTTGTGTCTGTTGTGACTTTGTGTCTTATTTAGTGAACTCAGCACAGGCCTTGGCATTTCCAAAGAGGTGCCACCATTTGATAATCACACACTGACTTTGGTGTCACACACACTCTTTCACTTATTTAACACACTAATCCTGCAAAGTAGACTTCTCCCCCACTGAACAGGAGGGAGCAGGGATGGTAATTTGTTCAAGATCAAAGAGCTTGTCAGCAGCGGAGCAGAGACCTGGGCTAATTCCCAACATTCGTATCTTCTATTACACCAGGCAGCCTTCGGATGAATGACTGTCCTTCTTCCCTTTTCTGAATTTCTTATCTCCGTCTCATCCTTCCATGGTCCTCCCACCCAAGCTCTCTCTGATATTGCTCCTTCCTACTTCACCCCCCACGTGGCTTACTTTTCCCAGGCTGTCACCTCTCCCATTTCATGCCATCTGTCACCCAAGCAGGTGCCTCTGTGAGGACTGTGTGTCCTAGGTTTAGCACACTGCTGGTATTCAGAACACAGAACATGGAACCTCATGGCTACATCCTCAGATGCTGAGATGTTAGCTGGGTGTCACAAGATCAAGGACATAAATAAACCCTTCACAGCCTAAATCTGTTGGAAACCAGAAAGCAAGCAAGGCCATAGCTTGTTAACACCAGGCTTTCTTGGAACAGTTATCAGGTGCCCAGAGATGGAAGCCACCCTGACTGGGGATGAGCAGTTACTTCACCAACTCAAACTGGCTTAGACGGTCAGTGCTACCACCTGGCATGTCAACAAAGGATGGAGGAAGTGCAGTGCTGCTCCCCGCAATGATATGAGCTGCAATGGTGTCCTTTGGGCTGATTTCCTCTCTCCACCCACGTCCGAAGTTTTGGGGCGTCTCTTTAGAGTTCTTTCTCTCTAGCCACAAGTCCTGCAGGCCATTGGAAGACTAGGCTGCAGAAAGGTAATCCTGAACTTTGCCATTTACCCTCATCATGTAGTAAATGTGATGATGGATCAGCTTTAGAATGGTCCATAATGATCTGACATGGGCGAGTGGGAAGTTTCCAGAACACTCAAATCCCAATTAGAGGTGGCCAGTTGGTGGTTTCCAGAGTACATCACCTGTATCACCATGTATGAGTTCATAGCCTCATCACACACACTAAATCTGGCCCACCTGTATCAGCATGTATGAGCTCATAGCCTCATCATATACACTAAATCTGGCAAAAGAATCCTTTGATGGAGGAATTAAGGGTGATCATCATGGAACGGACAATGAAGCCTGCAGAATCAGAATTTTAGGGGGAGCGTTCTCTGACCAACTGATAGGGAATTTGTCCTGTGGTGGAATGAAGTCAATACACCATTATTATTGCTCAGTAACCAACTTTCTGCCTATTTTTTGCTTCCCATACAGCCAGCCAGTACACAAACCAGGTAACTTTGATGTTTATCATCATATAAATGAACCGATTAGCATCTGGGCACATACATTAGTCTCTTATGAATTAGATTTGTGAGTCTTGTTCCTGGAATTGACTCTCTCCCACTGATCCCATCAGGTTTCTTGGCTTAAAATACTTGACCAGTGGTGATGCCAACAGAGTCCCATCCTAGAGAAGCCAGCTTGTCTCGGAGGATGGGTGTTTCTCTGTGATACGCTGTTCATTCTTGTTTCTATATCCCCCTCTGCACTTCCACTGCACTCCTTGCGTCTGCAGAGCCTCAAGCATGGTATCACAACAGCTTCCAGACTGCTCCACTCCAAACTCTCCTGCTGGCTCCTGCTCAGACATGGTTGATACCACATGATTGCCCTGTTCAGGACCACGCCCATGCATAAAACCAAACTCTCTGGACTGGCTTTTGTTGCTTTCCATAATTTGATCTCATCAGTTTTTGTTTTCCATTACAGCTCAAACTGTTCCTTCCATTTTGGGACCAGGGAACAGAGCTCACTTAATGCTGCTCTCCCACTGATGATGCCCACCCATTCTCGGCCTGCAAGCCCTACCACTCACAGCTTCAAAAATGGCTCCGCCCTTCCTGATTCCACCCCACACAGAAGAAAGCAACTTCTTGTGATGCTTCCTTATTCTGGATGTGGCTCACCTCTTACCCCTTCCAACTCCTTTGGGTCCCCTAGAAAGCCTCCCTGGCTAAGGGGTACAGGCCCTCTCCTCAGCAGTGGGCACTGACCGTCTAACCAGGGCTCTGTCTCGGCACCTGGTAGCAAGGACGGCAAGATACAACAACATGCTGATTTTAATAGCCTCTGGCTTTCTCCACTGCGTTTCTCACCTGAATGCCCTGCACACCAAATCTTCCATGGGGTCACCCTTGACCTCTAGGGCAATTCCCAAGAATCTAGCAGAGGAGTGGGGGAAACCAAAAGGCTGACATGAAGGACTCAAGGGAAGCCTCTGGAAAGAAGAGACCAGACACTAAAAGGGATGTGTGTGAAATACTGGTTTTTATTGGTTGGCACAAGATTACAACCTACAATTTCAATGCCCTTCCCTCCCACACAGCTCAAATGGAAGGAAACTGATTAACACATAGAAAGGAACGGCAGGCTCACAGGTTTAAGCATTTGTTTTTACAAAAAGGAGTGGGATATGGGGGTGGTCAAGTTTTACGGGTAATAACAACATTCTCTCTAGATGGCAGGGGGTAAGTCTGCCTGTCCTCCATTGCTGGTACCACATAAGGGATACATTAGTAAAGTAGGGAAAGGGTTATATGTGTGGCTGGCCTGTTCTTTAGAGAGGAAGGTGGGATGGTATCTGCTGTGTACCTGTCTCAGACCAAACCTGGGGCTGGACCAGTGCCCCTTTCTTCTCAGCCCTCCTCCACAGCCTGACTGTACTGCCAGCCGCACCCATGAGAAGGAGGTGTGAAGGAAGCCTGAGGACATCCACCTCGAGAAAAGGAAACAGGAAAACTATTTCCTTCCGCCTTCTCTGGACCAAATTTCACTCCCCTCAGCTCCAGAGAGTGCTGCAAAAATCTTCCTTAGGGACGCTGTGAAGACACGGGGAAGAGGCCAGCCCTGAGCGGGCAAGAAGAAAAGCTTGAACTTTCCATGCAGTACCAAGCAAGGCTATTTTGGAAACAAGCAAACAAACAAAAAATGGAAACCAACACCATATAACCACAGGTTGGGTAGCTCCTAAATCCTGGACAGCATTTGGATTGGGGGTAAGGGCAATTTTACTCCAGCTCCTTGTTTTATAACCCGCACAAGGTGCCAAGAGGTTTAAGGACCACAACTGACCTCTCTTTCCCTACAAGCACCATTCCTTGGATTCCCAGTTTTGTTGAGCTCATTTGAGGTCATCCTTGCCATCCTCTTAAAAAATGACACAGCCTCTTGGTTATTCCATTTTCTATCCCTTTCTACAATTATGAACACACTCTCTAAACAGGAGATCTATATATGCTCTCATCCTGCAACCCAAGAGATTAGGTGACCTAATGATGAGAAGGCTAACTTATTTGCTTTCCTGGGTGGTCCTGATGGAAATGAACAGCAGCAGAGTTCTGGTGGGATAGAGCAGTCTAGTCTGAGCCACTGTGTGATTCCCCAGGGGACTGGTCCCTGGGTACATGGGTCCCTGGCTCTCTGTCTCAGTTCCACAGATATTACTCAACTTGGCCATTTACGCCTCAGCTAAAACATATGAGCATGAGGGAAAAGGGACAAGAAATACTTTTGTCCTCTAGAAAAACTTAACTCAATACATCTTGGCTACTTTGCCTCAACCCACGGGGTTCCCTGGAAACATTTGTTGAACTTGGCCAAGAGGAGATTGTATATGGATGGCACACCTGGAAAAGGGGAGAAAGCACACTAGTTCATCTCTTTTATAAGTAGAATGGTCCCAGGGATGTTAACCTTTCTGATGCTGATAGTAGATGAGTGGAGTGGAGGTAATCGTGAGAAAACTTAAAAACCCTTAAGCTGTTTGGAGACTACACACCACAGTGGAGCAAACCAAGGTGGGGCCTCACTGCCTCCTCAGAGCCCATCCCTGACCATGTCATTGGATAGGATGGAAGACAAAGTCTTTGAAATGGAGGCTGGGCTGGCAAAAGTAAGTATGAAGATGCTACTACTGGCCTTCCACTTCCTCTCTCTGATACACCTAAGAAGGTGAGAGACACTAGCTTCAATTCCATTTTACAACAGTTCTCAACAACCTGAAATATTCTTGACTTCCTTAAGCACATGGAAAACTGGTAAGCTATATCTTTCTAACTGAAATTTTACTTATTCTAACCACCAACCTTTTCTTTGATTATCAACCAGTTTGACAGTCTTCAGATCACAAAACAATAGAACAGACCTGACATTTACAAAACTGTACTACATACTTATTTCTTTTACAGTAGAGCTGACCAATTACTTTTCTAACTACTAATGCAACACCATGCCACTGGGCCCTGGACTCTGATGTTTCTGATCCCTGAGCAACACATCTATGTCCATTCACAGATGGAAATGAAAGAGTGAGATTCTCAGAGGCTAAACAACATTCTGGGAGCAAATTGGATTTTTGAAGGGAGAGTCCTCTTAGAAAATTCTGAGCAAACATGCTCCCAGTCACGAGGGATGGGGTGAGCGGGCAGGTTTCTGTCTGTGAGCTATAGCTCCCTTCTGAACTCCCTCATGTTCTTGGGAGGACACAAGCCTCTTGCTCATTAAGCAAAGGCCCTCCAAGTCTCCTTTTTACTTCAGCACTTTGGAAACTCTCCAAGACTTAACTTCCGATCTGGGGAGGTTCTACGTGGAGCAGACCTATCCCTTCTTATTCCTGTTCCTGGGTGTCTCCATAATCAGCCTCTACCTTCCCTGGCATAAGTCATATCTGTTATGCTGCAGGAACTGAGTAACCAAAGCTAGATATCCCTTGGACCACTGATTAGTGACACATTTTCTCCACAACAAAGGGAGGTTAAAGACAAAGGTTTAACCTGAGAAACTTTTTTTTTGGCAAGATAATAAAGAGGTTAAAGAGGCTACGTGGATCTGTCACTGCTTTAGCTTACCATTTTCAATTCAGCACCAAAGTGCTCAGAAAGACAGGCTCAGATCAGGACGACTTCTTAAAGGGATTCACAGGCAATATTACTGGCAAAATGATTTTCCAAAGCTGAGCCACGCGCCCCACCCTACAGGGAGGGGAGTAGAATCTTATGGCCCAGCATTGGCATTGAGGCATCTTGCTTTTTTTCCTCAGAATTCCACAAAGGCTTAAGAGTGATCTAAATGCCTGGCTGGAAGCTCAAGTCTAGGAGAGCTATTTTACTGCACTGTTGAGATGTTCTCTGCAAGGTAGTCACAGATAATAAGCAATTTAGTAGATAATTATTCTATACAAGAATTAATGTTCTCTGAAACAGTGATTAATAGAATCTTCACATCTGGCCTGGCTGGGAGGCTTGGGGGCAGGAAAGGGAGGGTGGAAGGATGGGTAGCACATCAAAATGGTGATGAACCTGGCAAAACGACAATGCTGCTGTTTTTGTATCCTTTAAAGCCTATATCCAGGGTTTTAAATGACGCTTTTTTTGTGTGCTTCCTGATAGGAAGTCAAATAAGTTTTAGTATTAAGAACTGGGGATATAAACCAAAGGAAACCTAGAGTCAACTGACTGCTGGAGGAACAGAAGCAATGACTTCTTTCCACCTTCTAGATAGTAATCTTACTTTTGTTGGCTAAAAGCACTTTCTTCAGCATTCTGAGTTAACACGGGTTCCCTATAAGCTCCCCTCCCCAGGTGGACAGTCTTATTTTCTAAGACAAGCTCAAAGCTCAAACTCACCAAATTACCACTATAAACAAAGCTTCAGGGAAGAGACATAACCTTACTTCAAAAGCTTCAGGTCAGAGACAGCCAAAATCATGTGACTGCTAGCCTCAGCTCAAGTAGTGTGCCCAAATCATCACAAAATGGGATTCCCTTCCCTTTTCTTTTTTTTTTTTTTTTTTTTGAGACGGAGTCTTGCTCTGTCGCCTAGGCTGCAGTGCAGTGGCGGGATCTCGGCTCACTGCAACATCCACCTCCTGGGTTCAAGCGATTCTCCTGCCTCAGCCTCCCGAGTAGCTGGGACTACAGGAGCGTGCCACTACACCTGGCTAATTTTTGTATTTTTAGTAGAGATGGGGTTTCACCATATTGGTCAGGCTGGTCTTGAACTCCTGACCTTGTGATCCACCCGCCTCGGCCTCCCAAAGTGCTGGGATTACAGGCGTGAGCCACCATGACCAGCCCTCCATTTATTAATTTATAAGGGGACTAGAAGGACAAACTATTTGATTAATTTGAAGGTGAGAGGTATCATTTTCTCAGATGCTCCAACTAGGCTTCTCACATCCCTCAAAGGTTATCAGCTAAAGACAAGAGTTTCTGAGGCTAATGCAAAAACATGGTCAAATGTGAAACCGCCCTTTTAGAGGCAGGGTTTGTGAAAGGCTGCTGGCCTCCAAAGGAGAGTATGCCTAAACTCTCTGGGCTCCCAGGACCTGTGGTGACCTCAAGCTAACCTGATGCACAGACAACAGTATCTTTTAGGGACTGCAGCCAATGTTCCCCAATTTACTTTTTTTTTATACCTTAAAATATCAAATGTTTCATTTTTAGGTGATATCCCAAGTGACACAGAAACACAGCTCCTCCGGATGGTGAAGTCTCCGCTGCAAAACTCACGAAACAGCACAGAGGATGACTCTAGGGTGCTCTCCCACTTGCTCCAAGTTAGGCAGGTGCCCTGATGGAGGCAAGGCTGAGCCATTAACATGCACAGCTCCATATCCTGGAAGCCTCTGTAGCCTTGAGGAGATAGGCTCTATCCAACAGGACTCAGAATAAATGACTGCCACCTCAACTGAGCAGTATGAACTGCCCACCTCAACTGGGCAGTCTGACCTCTTCCACAGTCTTTAAGAAACAGAAGAGCCATTTGCATTATTTAATCACCATTCAATAATCTCCTCCCTCCCCATAGCTGCTTGAGTTAACTGTCCCACAAGTGTCCTGTGTTTTGTAAAGATGAGGGTTATTTTCTGAAATGCAGATGGGACTAGGATGAAGCTGTATTATCAATTACAGAGACAGCCAACTCTCATTTCTCTTAAAGCAAAAATTCATTCCACTGTGATTTCTCCAGGTATTTCCTGCAATTCTAAATCCGCCCTTGATATTAGAGAATATTAAAATCACACAGTTGTGGCAAAAATCACATTGTGGCTATTAAATCCTTTTTGTGAACTAAAAAAAGTGAATGTGGCTTAGGCTAAGCTGTTTTTTTTTTTTTTTTTTTAAAGATGAGGATGCGGACTCCAACAAAGGCATTAAGAAAGTACTAGATGAAAATGAGAAATATGTGAAGGATAACATGTGAAATGTACACTCAGGTCTAACAAATACCTATTATTTCTCTGGTTAAGAAGGTTTAGCAGGAGCCTCCAATGAGCACTGTATGTAGAGAAAAGGGAAGGAGCAGGAGGAGGAACAGATCTGCACAGAATTTTTTTCTTAAAAACCACAAAGGGTGACTTTTTTCTTCTAAGCAAGCAAGCCTGAGAGGCATTACATGGGCTGGCTCCTAATATCAAAACAAAATATTTCTTTGCCACAAAGGAACTTGACTATGTAGCAACACATTTACAAAACTACTGCAAAACACTCCCAGAGGGCAGTGACCTACTCTGCTCCCCAGAGGCTCCAAGAAGCAAGGCCTCAAGTGCCTCATGTTCCATGGGGCTGTGCAGTGCAATGCAGAAGGCGGAAATCCTGCTGTGACGCCACCCTCGAGACCTTCTGCAGCCTGAGAGGGGGTGATACTCCCACACCCTTTGATCCTTCCAGATGGCTCAGCCTAGATCTAGCAGTGAGAGAGCCCTCTCCATGCAGGGCAGATGGAGTGGTGGACACTTGTGAAAACAAAACACTAACTGTTCCATCCTGTTATATTTGCTGTGAGGAAAATTAAGATTCCTGTTGTATGGGCTGCACTGTTTCTGGAAGACTACAGAAAATCTAACATGGTTGACACTTCCTGGTAGCCCTTCTGTACATACACACACACACACCCAGAGAGAAGACAGAGAGAAAATCCTGGTCCAAAAGATCACATGACCTTACTAGTGTTTCCCCAATGACTGTAATTTATAAACTAAAAATTTTTACAAATCCACTGCTATCTTCTTCTGTCCTGAGTTTGGTAGACTTTAATGGATGCTCCAGCAATAACCAGAATCTAGGACATGCAGACTCACTGTGAGCGAGAGGCTAGGGATCTGCCCTAAACATAGGAACCTGTTTCTATCAAGCCTGAATGAGGTCAGCTCTGGTAGAATTAATGACAAATCAATGTCAGTGAAATATTCTGCAAACAGGGTAGCTTTTGTGCTTTCTTTTGATTATTTTCTTTGGGGAGATAAAGGTATTGCAACCATGGGTCTAACTAATCTATCACTAAAGGACTGTGACGACATTCTCAATAAAGACAGTCATGGTGTTTACTGTGCCAAGGAGGGAAAATCCCAGATCATCAGAATCCCAGTGCAACAGAAAACAGCACCAGTTTCAACAATTCTGATGTTGGACAAAGCCTCTTTTTGTCAGTTAAGAAAGCGTAAGCACAATCTCTCAGTCAATTGCATTAACAGGAATCCATTCATGTCACTGAAAAATACTTCTTGGCACAGTTCACTTTCCTGACCCAAAGACACCAACAACAATCAAAACTGCACTTTCAGGGTAGTATATTGTTACACTAGCCCAGTCAAAACATACTCAGAACATTTAAAAATGTATAAATTACTGTTAGCACTGCAGTTCCGTTTTATTTTCTTATTTATTTATTAAGACAGAGTCTTACTCTGTTGCCCAGGCTGGAGTGCAGTGGCATGATCTTGGCTTACTGCAACCTCTGCCTCCCAGGTTTAAGCAATTCTCATGCTTCAGCCTACCAAGTAGCTGGGATTACAGGAGTGCACCATCATGCCCAGCTAATTTTTGTATTTTAGTAGAGATGGGGTTTTGCCATGTTGGTCAGGCTGGTCTCAAACTCCTGGCCTCAAGTGACCCACCTGCCTTGGCCTCCCAAAGTGCTGGGATTACAGGTGTGAGCCACTACACCCAGCCCTGCAGTCCCTTTTTAAAGAGTACTGACTGTTTTCCTGCAAAGTACTTTCAAATCCATACCATAAAGGTAGAATTTATCTGGAAGAATGTGTTTTTTGAATTCCACCTGGCACTTGGTTAAATCTACTTTATTTTGCCCTTTATTTATTTGAACAGAACTTTAGAATGCTCTAGGTCAGGAAAAGAAACAGTGTGTTCGTTTTTAAGAAGGATGTGTGAATAGTAAGTTGGCATTCAGACTCAAGTCCCATGGTATTGTTCTTATCCAATGGGACCTCTCCTTGGGAATATAATTCCTTTCCCAGAGGTATCATGGTATCCCAAGAATATAACTGCTCTTTGGCTCTGTGTGTGAAGATTGGGGGAGAGGATGTAAACTAAGAGTATATAGCAAAAAAAAAAAAAAAAATTTTTTTTTTTTTTTTTTGAGATGGAGTTTCACTCTTATCACCCAGGCTGGACGACAGTGGTGCAATCTCGGCTCACTGCAACCTCTGCCTCCCAGGTTCAAGCGATTATCTCGCCTCAGCCTCCCAAGTAGCTGGGATTACAGGCGCCCACCTAATTTCTGCATTTTTAGTAGAGACGGGGTTTCACCATGTTGGTCAGGCTGGTCTCAAACTCCTGACCTCAGGTGATCCACCTGCCTCAGCCTCCCAAAGTGCTGGGATTACAGGTGTGAGCCACCGTGCCCAGTGAGTAGACAGCAAAATTTAAAGTTCACCAACTGATGTTCCCAAAAGTGCTGAACACTAAATGACACAGGGCTATGAGGTACATACATTTCTTTTAGTAGGAGGGAAAAGTAAAAGCTTTTCAAAGTTTGAGTGCTTTATTAGAATTTTTAAATGAGGCGAACTATGATTTTAATTTCACATCTTGGCTAAGGAGATGCCACTGGAGTACAGAGATAATCTCCTGTCTTAAGCCACGGATCAGTCAGTGTAGCCCTCCCTACCCCTCAATCTCAAGACCCTCTTACTTCCGAACTAAACAACACAATTGGCAAATGAAGCCAGCACGAAACTGTATCAAAAAACAAGAGAGTCTGCAGTGAGCCAGTGTATTATGTAACCACTGTAATAAGTGATTACGTGGCCTCCCATATGGACCTTTCATATCCTGGTGGGAGATGGGAGACCAATTTAATAGCTCTGAGCATGCTCCATGGTGCAATCACAAGTGCCATGCCAATACAAAGACAAGCAAGCAGGTGAATTTCCCTAGTGTACTTTTCAGGAACACGGTTACTCAGTTCAGGGACAGGACTACATTGATGCACCTGCAAAGTAAAGTTGGATGCTTCAGAGCACATGGATGATACCCAGGTCAGCACGGTGTAAGGCATATATGGACACAAAGAGAGGCCATTGTTGGCAATAAATAGCATTACGGAAAAGATTCCAAACCAGCAGAACAGAAATGGACCTGATGCTCCAGTTTTTTAGATAAGTAATCCCAAGAATCCAGTTCCAACTCTACTGTCAACATGTGGGGCAGAATTCAATTTCTATCATTGTTTTTACAGATCTGGGCTGAGGCCATTTGCTCCTTGCTTGGTTAAAAAAAAATAAAAAAATAAAAAAAGGTTTCTTCCTGTTTCTTTCTGGGCAGGGAAATACAGCTTAAAGAAGGAAAGGCCATGAGTCCTGGGAGCACTATGAAGGTAGCTAAACTCTTCCCATATCTACAGTCAATGACTGGGAAATAGAGAAAGGACAGGGCAACCTGCCCAGCCACTAGCATCGAAAACAAAAAGGTATGTTAATTGTGAGGCTCTCAATTCTAGAAATGCCCAAATTAAAAGAGAAAAAAACCTTGAAAAATTAAACAAATTTCTCTTTCTAGAAGTCATTTATTTACATATTATATGTCCGATATATAATGTGTAGATAAATGTATACTGCAGTGAAAGTGACCACTCTACTGAACTGTACAGCACATTATAGGACAAATTATTGGAAGTTTTCATCTCATACTGGTATCTTTTAATAAAAAAAAAAAATTAAAAATCAAAGAAAACGTCTGGCCAGGGCCAGGATAAGACAAACAGGAACACTTCAGAATCCAAGGCAGGGGAAGGCTGTTGGCCTCTCTTCAGAGGACTGCAGGGGTGGGAAGAGGGAGGGACAGATCATGCACAAAAGTACTTACAAATTACACACCCAACCCCCACCCTCAATAAAAACAGAAGAAAAAGCCCCATCACTTAACACCAAACAGCAACATTATCAATACACCCTTTCTTTGCTGCCCACCATGCCTTATTTGAAAGAGGAGGCCTGTGAGAAGTGGAAAGAGCCAGGGTGAGAGGGAAGATTTGCACTTCAGTCTAGTTTCCAATTTCCATTTCTCTTACAGGAAGTCTTCAGTCATCTGATGCCTGACATCGAGCTCTGAGCAGAAACCGAGTATGTGGTGGCCACGACTGGGGTGCCATTGTTGGCTGAGTAGCCTTGCCTCAATGTTTCAAAATATGATGCCTGCACGGGTTTGTGATACTGCAGCACTTTTATGGCGTCTTCTATTTTAAACCATTCCCTCTTCCTTCCTGTGGAGGCAGAGAGAAAAGAAACTAGTACAAGAGTAATAAGGTTTCTGAGCCTAGAACTTTTGAGAAAATATAGAAAACATTAAAGCAATGTTTCTTAACACTTTTTTTCCTTACAAAAATAACTCAAGCACACTTCATATGCTTCAAATATTATATCAATGTCTAATGCAGAAAGGTGAGAAACCTGAAAACCAAAGAGCTAAGAGTAATTGTGTAAAACCTGCCCTCCAGAGAGAACTACGGCTAGTGTTTTCCTCCTGCCCTCCTGCGTCTCTGAGCTTTCCTTGCTTGCACATACATAGGGATCAAAGCCCAGCAGCATCCCCATCTCCTGTAAAAACTGACATGAGGGCCGGATGAGGTGGCTCACGCCTACAATCCCAGCACTTTAGGAGGCTAAGGTGGGCGGATCGCTTGAGCCCAGGAGTTTGAGACTGGCCTGAGCAACATGGCAAAACTCTGTCTCTACAAAAAATACAAAAATTAGCTGGGCATGGTAGCATGTGCCTGTACTCCCAGCTACCCAGGAGGCTGAGGTGGGAGGATCACCTGAGCCCGGAAGGTCGCGGCTGCAGTGAGCTGTCATCGCGCCACTGCACTCCAGCAGGGTGACAGAGTGAGACCCTGTCCCAAGGGGGGAAAAATCAACACGAGCATCAGCTTCCAGAATTACTAGGATGGCTGGTTTGTAATCAGTAATTCATTTAAAAGTTTTCTTATAAGAGTGAATTTATCTACATAATAGAAAATATTTCTTAAAAGAAGTAAAAATAATCTCAATACAATCACACTTTTATTTTTCAGTCTATTTTCTTACTCTTTTCTAGTCCATGCTTTAAAATCCTTTATATTTTTTATCTTATAAAAGTAATAACTACCCATAATCTTATAAACCAGAAAAAACCACTCTCAATACCCTAGCACAACTGCCCTTTTTTCATATACTTGAAAAAGAAACAATCTTGAGACAACCAAAATTGGATCATGCTTTCAGGTACTCTGAATCCTGACCAGCTCTGCTAGAGTGTTATGGTCAGGAACAAGGACTCTGAAGCCAAAGTGCTGGGCTCCAATCACATAAATGGCTCCAATGAGCTGTGCAGCCTCAGGTAGCTGTGTTCCTGCTCCATTTTCCTCATCTATAAAACAGACAATAAATAGGGCCTATCTCACAAGTCTGTTATGACTATTAGTATGGAAAGCACCTGAAGAGTAACTGGCTGCTAAAAGAATGTGCTGCTGAATTTGCTTTTTAATTTTTGTTACTGGTTTTTACTTCATGTTATTTTTTCTTTTCTTTTTCTTTCTCTCTTTTTTTTTTTTCCAGAGATAGGATCTCACAGGCTGGATTGCAGTGGTATGATCATAGTTCACTGCAAACTCAAGCTCCCGAACACGAGGGATCTTCCTGCCCCAGCCTTCCAAGTAGCTAGGACTACAAGCACGTGCCACACCTGCTGCTGCTTCTTTTTTTTTTTTTTTTTTTTTTGGTATAAATGAGGTCTCAAATTCCTGGCCTCAAGTGATCCTCCTGCCTTAGCCTCCCAAAGTACTTGGAATTACAGGCATGAGCCACCACACCTGTCCTATGTCACACTATTTCTTAAGCAATCTATATTATGAAAAAAATATGAGACATTGCCATTGCTAGAAAGGCTAAGGCAGGAGGACTGCTTGAACCCAGGAGGTTGAGGCTGCAGTGAGCTGTGATCATGCCACTGTACTCCAGTCTGGACAACAGAGTGAGACTGTCTTTTTTTTTAAGACATTTATGGCTGCATTATGTCATAGTATCTAGTATGGATGTATTATCATTCACTTAAGCATTTCCATATCACTGGACATCAATTGTCTGTGATTATTATTATTATTATTATTGAGACAGAGTCTCAGTCTGTCACCCAGGCTGGAGTACAGCGATGTGATCCCGGCTCACTGCAACCTCTGCCTCCCAGGCTCAAGCAATTCTCATGGCTCAGCCTCTCAAGTAGCTGGGATTACAGGCGCCCACAACCACACCCAGCTAATTTTTGTTTATTTATTGAGACGGAGGCTCACTCCGTCATGCAGGCTGGAGTGCAGTGGCGTTATCTTAGCTCACTGCAATCTCCGCCTCCCGGGTTCAAGCAATTCTCCTGCCTCAGCCCCCAAGTAGCTGGGACTACAGGTGCACACCACCACGCCCAGCTAATTTTTGTATTTTTAGTAGAGATGGGGTTTCAGCATGTTGGACAGGCTGGTCTCGAACTCCTGACCTCAAGTGATTCACCCGCCTTGGCCTCCCAAAGTGCTGGGATTACAAACGTGATCCACCATGCCCAGTGATTTTAATTATTATAAATAATGCTATTTTTTTAAAACGTTCCCCGTTTTTTCTTTCTTTTTAACCTTCTAGGGAAAGATATCTAGCACAAGAACTACAAAAATAGAGCTTCTGAACTTTCAAGGGCTCCTGATTTATACTGCAAAAGTGCTTTACAGAAAGGCGACACTGATCCCCAGTCCTGCTTGTGTATGTCAGGATGTCAGTCTCACCACATTCCTGCCAATATTAGCTTTTCTTTAACATTGACAAAAATTTTTTTTTTTGAAACAGTCTTATCTGTTGCCCAGGCTGGAGTGCATTGGTGTATTCTTGGCTCACTGCAACCTCCACCTCCTAGGTTCAAGTTATTCTCCTGCCTCAGCTTCCTGAGTAGCTGAAATTACAGGTGTGTGCCACCATGCCTGGCTAATTTTTGTATTTTTAGTAGAGATGGGGTTTCACCATGTTGGCCAGGCTGGTCTCGAACTCCTGACCTCAAGTGATTCGCCTGCCTCAGCCTCCCAAAGCGCTGGGATTACAGGCGTGAGCCACTGCAACTGCAGTTTAACAGGGTGGTGTTAAACTATGGTGTTTAACAGCTGTATAACATTCCATCGGACACATGTCATTCATTGATTTGTCATTCATTGAGTTATACATTTAAGATGCAAATTTTAACCAGTAAGAATAATGGTAGTAAGATCATCTGAAGGAAGGCTCCATAGCTTGTCATATTTTAGATTATTTCATTAGGGTCAATTCTCAGAAGTGGGAGTACAAGGTGAAAGGCTTGTTTGAATATTAATAGAGCAATGGTACCTAAAAAAATTAGTATCACAAGTGTATGACTCCTGCCTGACAGAGAGTGCTCTGAGGATAGGGCCACACCACACATCCACCGCAGTCTCCTTTTCAAGCTCTAGCACACCTGTTAGGGAGTCTGTTTTCAGTATATCCACACTGAATTTATTTCCTTGAGCACCCTGCATTATTACTAGACACAAAGCCATCAAGAGCCAAAGGGCTACGAACTGCCCAGAGTAACAATGTGAGGGGCATGGCGGCAAGGCAAACACTAACATTAAAGTGAGAATGTTGGCAAATAAATTTTATCTGTCTGCCAATTTGTAATGGAAATTAGTGTTCTCCTTTCTAGAATACACTTTCCTTCAGAAGTAAACAATCAAACCATGAACCAACCTTTGTACCACCACAGTTTATAGTTCCAAAGATGTAAACGTAACAGCCATCTGAGATCAAAGAAAATGGCTCCTTTGGGAGAAAGTTGGGTGTACCTAAAGGGTACACACAGCACCTTTTGTAAAAGTTCATAAATTTTATCATTTTTATATTCATATAAAATATGAAAAAATATAAAAATATATATTATAGATATATTCATATTTTATAAGAATAAAACTAGAAACCACCTGCACTATTCTGTATCTACTAAATGATTTCTGGAGGGACTCACACCACCAAACCAACAGTTTTCTCAACAATATAAATGTCATGAGGAACAAGACCAGGGTCCTGCTCTCACTTATGGTCCCCATGGCCAGCAGTGAGCCTGGCATGGCGGAGGCCCTCAATCAGTATCTGCTCAGGAGGTGCAGAAGTATAGCCCTTTTGGCAAGGACCCAGTTTGATTTTAGAAGCAACATTTCTTATTTTTAGGGGTCATGCTTCTATTTGTGGACCATGTACTCACTTCAGATTCCATTTAAACATTTCAAAATACTATCAGGTTCAAAATGTACATGCTTGTTTTATTATACACATCCTTCAATTATTTCTATTCTTTATCCAGCTCTTGTTGTTCTGTTTTTTTGTTTGTTTTTGAGACAGAGTCTCACTCTGTTGCCTAGGCTGGAGTGCAGTGGCATGATTATGGCTCAATGTGACCTCAAACTCCCAAGCACAAATGATCTTCCTGCTTCAGCCTCCTGAGAAGCTGCGACCACAGGCATGTGCCACCACGCCGAGCTAAGTCTTCTGATTTTTGTAGAGATGAGGTCTTACTAGGTTGCCAAGACTGGTCTAGAACTCTGGGCTCAGGTGATCCTCCTGTGTTGGCCTTCCAAAGTACTGGGGTTATAGGTGTGAGCCACTGAGCCTGGTACGCTCTTGTTTCTGGTTCTGGTCATGACCTGTGGCATGGCAAGGGCTGGTTGTGAGGAACCCTTTCCAGGCTGTCTGGAGATGGCTTACCAATGTTAACTGAATCTTCCCAGTCTTCCAGCACTTCAGTGACAATGAGCACATAGACATACGTCCTGTGCTTCCTCTCCTGGTTCTGAAGGGCAAAGAGAGAAGGATAGAGAGAGTTTTTCCTTAGAAAGCTGGAATTACTTAAATGAAACACACTCTTATGCATATGTCCAGAGAGCTCAGACACAAAGATTCTAAACTTTTACTTTTTATGGTCCTACAGTTATAGCTACATGATTTAAAGCAGGCCACACTTGAATTTGAGGGTGTGCTCTTTGGCTGGACTTCTAAAACCAAGTAATTATATTGGTTTTTCCTCCCCTTCCCCTAAATACAACTTAACAGGAATACTATGAGAAGAAAAAGGCATCATGTAAATTTAACTAGCTAGACCACCAGGGAGAGGACTGTGGATGGGTGGGCTACCACAGAGGTCTCAAACTTCAGTGACCCCAGCAAGGCAAACAAGCTGAGTGTGACACACACACACACCCACCCACACCCCTCTTCCCACCCACACCCCTTTTCCCACTAACCCCACTTACCTTATTTTTTGAGAGAGAGCCTTACTTTGTCACCTACGGTAGAGCGCAGTGGCATGATCATGGCTCACCACAGCCTTGACCTTCCTGAGCTTAGGTGATCTTCTCACCTCAGCTTCTTGAGTAGCTGGTACAGGTGCACATCACCATGCCCTGCTAATTTTTGTATTTTTAGTAGAGACAGGGTTTCACCATGTTGGCCAGGCTGGTCTCAAACTCCTGACCTCAAGTGATCCGCATGCCTAGGCCTGGGAAAGTGCTGGGATTACATATGTGAGCCACCACACCCAGCCAATTTTTGTATTTTTTTGTAGAGACAGGATTTCACCATGTTGCCCAGGCTGGTCTTAAACTCCTAGGCTCAAGTGATCCTCCCACTTTGGCCTCCCAAAATGCTGGGATTACAGGCATGAGCCACAGTGCCCAGCCACCTTTTAAAAAAATTTATTTATTGCCAGGGGCGGTGGCTCATGCTTGTAATTCCAGCACTATGGGAGGCCAAGGTGGGTGGATCACCTGAGGTCAGGAGTTCCAGACCAGCCTGGCCAACATGGTGAAACCTGTCTCTACTAAAAATACAAAAACTGGCCAGATGTGGTGGCGGGCACTTGTAATCTCAGCTACTTGGGAGACTGAGGCAGGAGAATCACTTGAACCTGGGAGGCGGAGGTTGTGGTGAGCCGACATCGCACCATTGCACTCCAGCCTGGGTGACAGAGCAAGACTCTGTCTCAAAAAAAAAAAAAAGATTTATTTACATATCTATTTTTTCATCAGAGACCTTTCTTCTGACATTTTTATTTTGTAAACTTTTTGTAGAGATAGAGTCTCACTCTGTTGCTCAGGTTGGTCTTGAACTTCTACCCTCAAGAGATCTTCCTGTGTCAGCTTCCCAAAACGCTGGGATTATAGGTGTGAGCCACCACGCCCAGCATCTGCTCATCTTGATTTCTCCTGATTTCTCACTTTTCCCTGCCTTCTTTCAAATTTGTATCACAGCTTATTTCCTTGTTTTTCCTCTCTTTGTTATAGTTACTTATCTTCTATTTTTCTTCTCTCTCTCTACACTTAGCTACCTTTCCTCCTACCTTGGTAGGAGACAAAGAAAAGTAGGAATGGGGTAAAATAATATTTAAAAATAATTCTAGTAGTTTAGGGGACAAGACTATGGGATTTCCTTCTTTCTTTCTTTTTTTTTTAAAGCATGTTATTCTCTGTTGGTGTTGCTTTCTTTAAAAAACTCACCGAGGTTGGGCATGGTGGCTGAAGCCTGTAATCCTGGCATTTTGGGAGGCTGAGGCAGGAGGATCGCTTAAACGCAGGAGTTTGAGACCAGCCTGGGCAACATGGCAAGACCCTGTCTCTACAAAAAATTTAAAAATTTAGAAGGATGGTGGTGTATCCATGTAGTCTCACCTACCTGGGAGGCTGATGCAGAAGACTGCTTGAGCCCAGGAGTTCAAGGCTGCAGTGAGCTATGACTGTGCCACTGCACTCCAGCCTGGGCGAGAGTGAGACCTTGTCTCAAAAAGTTAAAAATAACTAAAAAAAAAAAAACTCGCTGAAACAGAAATGGCATTTTTCCTATGTTAATATCTGTGTGGTTATTAATACATATCATTTGTACCAAAGATTTTAACAGACTTACCTCAAAAATTCCAACTAATCTTCCCAATGTCCCTTTTACTCCAGCCTAGAAAGTGAAAAGAACAATTAATGCACTGATAGTATTATATTGCTGGTCTCATTCTGAGTCTTCTTAAGCAGTTTATAAAATAGAAACAAAAAACAAGAGGACACAGCTTGGGCAGACTCCACGATCTGTGAAGTGATACCAGTGTTTCCTGTGTGTCACCGACTACTAACCTGCTAACAGCTGTGTATGCTCTGGGAAGTTAGAATGCCTTTCATTTCTTCTGGTCTCTCTCCCTACTGCAAAGCTAGCCAAGCAGAGCAAGATCATCAGGCCATGAAGCCACCACACCAAAAATATTCTGAGGTATTGATTACTTCAGGCCAGGCACTGCCACTCTGGGAGGCTGAATTGGGAGGATCGCTTGAGGATAAGAGTTCAAGATCAGTTTGGTCAACATAGCAAGATCCTGCCTCTAAAAATTTGTTTTTAAATTAGCCAGTCATGGCAGCATGTGGCTATAGTCCCAGCTACTGGGGAGGCTAAGGTGAGAGGATCACCTGAGCCCAGGAGTTCAAGGTTGCAATGAGCTATGATTGCACCACTGCACTCCAGCCTGGGTGACAAAGTGAGACCATGTCTCAAAAATAAATAAATTAATTAATTGGTTGGGTACTATGGCTCATGCCTGTAATCCCAGCACTTTGGGAAGCTGAGGCGGGTGGATCACTTGAGCTCAGGAGTTCGAGACCAGGCTGGGCAACATGGTGAAACCCTGTCTCTACAAAAAATACAAAAATTAGTTGGGTGTGATGGTGCATGCCTGTAGTCCCAGCTACTCGGGAGGCTGAGGTGGGAGGGTTGTTTGGGTCCAGGAGGTGGAGGCTGCAGTGAGCCGAGATCACACCACTGCACTCCAGCCTGGGTGACAGAGCCAGACCCTGTCGGTAAATACATACATACATACATACACGCATACATACATACATAGATTACTTCATTCACTTATTCATTCAACAAATACATACTAAATGCCTAATTTGAACCAGAAAACAGTATATGTGCCAGCGATGTAACAGTGAATAGGCTAGAACGCAAGATCCCATGGGATTAAGACCCTGCTCTGACTTGGCTGTCTGTATACAATATGGTGGAAGAGAGTTTGGCACCCTGCAAGAACTCAAGAAAGCCTAGATGAACAAGAACATAAACATGGTAATTCTGCTACGGGTAAGTATCATGACAGAAATACACAGAGTGATGTGATGACAAGGAGTGGCAGGAAGAGGGATAACTTCAGTGGTTAGACCTTTTTTTTTTTTTTTTGAGACAGTCTCGCTCTGTCACCCAGGCTGGAGTGCAGTGGTGTGATTTTGGCTCACTGCAACATCCATCTCCCGGGTTCAAGCGATTCTCCCACCTCAGCCTCCCAAGTAGCTGGGACTACAGGTGCCCGCCACCACGCCCGGCTAATTTTTTCTATTTTTTAGTAGAGACAGGGTTTCACCATGTTAGCCAGGATGGTCTCGATCTCCTGACCTCGTGATCCGCCCATCTCAGTCTCCCAAAGTGCTGGGATTACAGGCGTGAGTCACCGCGCCTGGCCTGCCTTTTCTTAAATAAGAAAACAGTAACTTGCTTCTCTACATTTTTATAAATAACTGCCCTCCACAGCCAGCTAAAACTAGCTAGCTTATACTTCATGAATTAACCAGTGAAGCTGCCTGACAAGTGGGACAAGCTGCCAGGCCAGCCTGGGTTGGAAAGGCAGTTCTGTACTCTGATCCCAGGCAGCCTGAACACACTCTGCTCATCTCCTGAGACATGTCACCTGTGCTCCTGCCACAAGCCTCCACTGAGGGTCTGGAAGGAGAGCTGTTGGGGCAGATGAGAGCCTTGGGGGACAGAGGTAAGAAAAGTCATTGTTTTTTTTTTTTTTTTAACTCTTGTCGCCCAGGCTGGAGTGCAGTGGCATGATCTCGGCTCACTACAACCTCCGTCTCCCAGGTTCAAGCGATTCTCTTGCCTCAGCCTCCTGAGTAGCTGGCACCACAGGTGTCCTACAGGTGCACATCACTACACCCGGCTAATGTAAAAAAAAAAAAATATATATATATATATATATATATATATAATTTTTTTTTTTTTTTTAGTAGAGACGGGGTTTCATCATATTGGCCAGGCTGGTCTTGAACTCCTGACCTCATGATCTGCCCGCCTCAGCCTCCCAAAGTGCTGGGATTACAGGTGTGAGCCACTGCACCCGGCCCAAGAAAAGATTTAAGAGGCCATCATTCACCTTTCTCCTCCACAAAGGAGAAAGTAGTCTCTTTAGCAGCTACTATCCAATATTTTTTTCTTAAACTAGAAGTTTATGAAACAATCTCCAAACTTTTAGGGCACAAATCAACTTAACATTATGACAACTCAATATAATTAATTTAAAACTTGTTTGGCTGGGCACGGTGGCTCAAGCCTGTAATCCCAGCACTTTGGGAGGCCGAGGTAGGTGGACTGCTTGAGCCCAAGAGTTCGAGACCAGCCTGGGCAATAAGG
Source organism: Homo sapiens (assembly GCF_000001405.40). Taxonomy (NCBI): domain Eukaryota; kingdom Metazoa; phylum Chordata; class Mammalia; order Primates; family Hominidae; genus Homo; species Homo sapiens. Next base: position 34,298,182 of record NC_000006.12, read on the forward strand.
TGAAACCCCATCTCTACAAAATACAAAAAATTAGCTGGGGATGGTGGCACATGCCCATAGTCCCAGCTACTCAGGAGGCTGAAGTGGGAGGATCACCCCAGCTCAGGAAGTCAAGGCTGCAGTGAGCCATGACTGCACCACTGTACTTCCAGCCTGGGCAACAGAGACATCTTGTCTCAAAAAAACAAAACAAAATAACTTCAAAACACAAAATTTCGTTTAATAATAGTAACCTCTGCTTTCGACACCAACATATATCTGTGATTCACTCTGTGTCAGATGCAGTTAAGAAAAATGTAAAAGTACCTATTTGAAATAGACACAAATGTGTAAAATCTAGTGTAAATCAAATTATGCTGCCATTTGTACACCAACATTTCAGTGGTATTTTTCACTTCTAATTAGTCTTTCACCTTGTAGAATGTAGAAACTAATGATGTTTGTTTGTTTAAAGAGATGGTGTCTATGTTGCCCAGCCGGCCTCAAACTCCTGGGATCAAGCAATTCTCCTGCCTCAGCCTCCTGAGTAGCTGGGATTACAGGTGCATGCCACCACACATGGCTAATGATACTTTTTATTTGTCCCTTAGCCTTTCTTTCATAATATTTATGGGATCTAATTAGCAGAATTCTATTTAATGTGATCTTACCAATAATTCTATAGTATAAAGCAAATAAATATTTCCCTATTTACCAATTTTAAAAATTGGAATTCAGCACTTTTCTCAGGAAGAGGTCCCCCCTTTAGTAAAAGGATTTCAGTTCTTTAAAGTCATAGTGCTGACAAAAAAGAAAAATTTCTCACAGGCAAAGGTTCTCCCAGACAGCTTACCTTAACTATCTTACTTTTTCACAATTTTCCCAGACTCAGAGTCCAACTTTCATCTCCTAGTTTTTTCTCAAATGCTGCCACAAGCAATCTGAGAGTGGGTTATTTTTATCTGTCACATGATTCCTGCATGCAGGTCGGGATATGTGTCAGGGCCACATCTGACAGATATTTGGCTCACACATTTGGGGATAAGATTGAATTCAAGGGTATATTAAATTTGGTCCCATCAGGATGCTGGTATGGATCTGTCTTTTGCAAAATTATACGAAAGCAGTTACAATTTCAATCTATATGTCAAAAGCCACTAATCTAGAGAGGGAGTCTTTATTTAAAAGTCCATCTTAGTAGAGATAATTCTTTCACCCTTTTCTAGTACTTTAGGCCTGGTTAACAAAAATAATCTGAACAATTGCCTACCCTTTTTCTTTTTTTTAAGAGACAGGGTCTCACTCTGTCGCCCAGGCTAGGGCGCATGGTCATAGCTCACTGCAGCCTTGAACTCCTGGGCTCAAGTGATCCTCCTGTCTTAGCCTCCCAAGTAGCTGGGGCTATAGGCATGTGCCACCAAGACCGGGTATTTTCTTGAATTTTTTTTTTTTTTTTTTTTAAAGTCCAGGTGTGGTGACTCACGCCTATAATCCCAGCACTTTGGGAGACTGAGGCAGGTGGATCACCTGAGGTCAGGAGTTCAAGACCAGCCTGGCCAACACGGCAAAACCCCATCTCTACTAAAAACACAAAAATTACCCGGGCGTGGTGGGTGCCCATAATCCCAGCTATTCAGGTGGGTGAGGCAGGAGAATCACTTGAACCCAGGAGGCAGACACTGCAGTGAGCCAAGATTGTGACACTGCACTCCAGCCTGGGTGACACAGTGAGACTGTCTCAAAAAAAAAAAAAATATTTTTTTTATTTTTGAGAGACAGGGTTTCGCTGTGTCACCCAGGCTGGTCTTGATATCCTGGTCTCAAGCAATCCTCCCACCTTGGTCTCCCAAACTGCTGGGATTACAGGTGTGAGCCACCTGCCCGGCCCTGCTTTTTTAAGAGAAAAAAACACAAGTGTCTCTTTTCCTATGAGGTGTTCTACTGGGATTGAGGTATTTCTCTGGAAAGGGCTGGATCCGATCTTGCTCTGTGGCAGTCTCCCTGTGTATGTACAAAAGCTTAGGTAGAGGCACTAATGTGGGTGATGGCCCTTTGAACCTGTGCCTAAAACAATCTACCACAAGGAATCCTGACTTTGTTGGCACAAGTGGACCGTCATCTTCTGAAACCAGCTTTTCACTCTACAGTGGACATTTTGACCGACAATGAGGTTTGCCCAGCCCACAGGCATTCCCCTTCCCTTGCTGCTACCAGGGAGACCCAGATTCTGTCCAGGTGGGGGTTGTGGTGTACTTTGAGATGGTATGCCTAAGCAAGGCACAGGAAATTCTGCTCCCCTCTGCAGGGACTAGTTCAGAGGTGCTGTATGTTCAACAGCTCCTTAGAGGCTGTCTCTCAGGGACTTCTGGAAAAGATTTCCCACCACGATAAAAAGACTGCACAAAAAGAAACCCTGTACTTCCTTGTCAAGTGGGGATGTGAAAGCTGGAGCTGCTACCATCATCTGATCATAAGGGGAAGGCCAAAGAAATCTAGTAAGAAGCTGACCCAGTGCCCTGATGCTGTGAAGCAATGAAGTAATAATGGCCAGTGTCTGGGGCTTTCATGTTTCCCACATAACTGATGATGCTGAAGCCACTTTTAGTCAGGTGTTCTGTTATTATTCGTAGCTGAAAGGTTCCTGCTACTTCTTCCCTTGATTTAAAAGGCAGCTCTCTGAGAAGACCAAGAACTGTATTCCCCACTCCCTGCAAGAGACAACTACTCACCTGAAAATGGTGTTTATTATTCTCTTGCATGTTTTTATACTTTTACTACTTGGGTATGTATCCACTATTAACAGTATTTGCTGCAAGTTTCTCTACTGAATTTAAAAAAGGTATTTTACCTTCTATAACTTTTTCCCTCAATATTATGTTTCAGAGTTTTAGCTATATTGACACATGTAGTTCTAGGTAATTCATTTTAATTGTTGAACAGTTATCTATTTTAGGAATTTACCATAATTTATTAATCTACTCCCTTGTCAGTTTACTTGTAGATCTAATCTATCTCCTTGTTACCAAGTGAAAGAGTTTCTCGAAGATTTATACTAAAAGTCAAATTTCTCAGTCACAGAGGATAAGTACCTCCAGATATTTTCAAGTTGGTCTCTTTTGGTAGATCAACTGCAGAGATAGTGACCATTCTCCACCTCTCCCTACATCCATATCCTTTGACATTAATTCTGCAGCTCTTCCCATCAAGGGATAGAATCTACTTACCCATCCCTATATCTAGACTTGCCTTGTGTCTTCGGCCAACAGAATGTAGAAGAATGGTTTACCAGGTCCAAGCCTAGGCCTCAAGAGGCCTTGTAGTTTCCACTTTTCCTCCTGGAACTCTGCCATCGGCATATGAATAAGCCTGAGCTTAGGCTCCTAAAGGATGAAAGACCACAGCTGTCTAGGCTGAGTGGCCTACAGCCAGCTAACCTCCAAACTGTGTGAGAGCATAGCCAAGATCAGCAGAGTTGCCTACTCAACTCAGAGCTAGCTGCAGACATCTGAATAGTCCAGCTGACACCAGAAGTTGACCTTGGCTTGTAAGGAGTAATAAGTACTATTTTAAGCCACTGCATTTTGGAATAGTTTGTTATACAGCAAACTGATACACTCTCCAAAGTACACAGGCAGTGTATGAGTTGCCATCACTCTTGTTCCTCTTCAATATTTAGTATTTGTTGTTAGCCATTTTCCCTCCCCACTTCTGGGTCAATATGAGTGTGAAATTGCATTACATTATTTTTTAACTGAAATTGTGCACTTTTTCCTACTTCAGTGAACATTCAGATTTCCTCTTAGGGGCATTATATATTCACAGCCTTATTTGACAAGTGACCATCATAATGAATCTGCAGTTCTTTGTATCTTTATTTATTTATTTATTTATTTTGAGACCAGTCTCTGTAGCCCAGGCAGGAGTACAGTGGTGCAATCATGGCTCACTGCAGCCTTGACCTCCCAGGCTCAAGCGATCCTCCTGCCTCAGCCTCCTGAGTAGCTGGGACTACAGGCACGTGCCATCACAACTGGCTTTTTTTTTTTTTTGGTAGAGATGAGGTTTTGCCATGTTGCCCAGGCTGGTCTCAAACTGCTGGGCTCAGGCAATTCTTCCATTTCAGCTTCCTTCTTGATACTTATGCTCTGTGGCAAATATTTTCTCCCAATCTGGCACTTGTCTTTTACCCTTGTTTTCAATGTTCTTTGCTGAGCATATTTTATTAGACACAGTTTATTTTACTTATCTTTACCTTTTGTGTTAG